>NT_167248.2:0-300000 GCF_000001405.40 Homo sapiens
TGGCTGTAGGAAACCAGGTCTTTCCCTCCCAAGGGAGGTGAACTACAAGCTTCTGTTCCACAGGAAAACATAACCCTTTTTGTCCAAAACTGACACCGCTTTGAGAGCGACCAGCGGCTTTTTCCATCTCTGAAAATAATTTTCTCAACTGTGTATTTTGAAAGTCTCGGAGTTTCGCCAGAAGCGTCTTTCGTTCGGAAAAAATTCTAAACATTCCTTCTTTAGAGAAAGCTGAGATCACAGCGCTCCCATGACTAATGATTGGACCCACTTTTGCCGCCCAACCAAGATTCTATGAGTGGTGGAAATGTAGGGGAGAATGAGGAAAGGTCTGTAGTCTGTCAGATATGGGTGGAGTGGGGGTGGGGGGGGGAGGAGAGAAATCTAATGGATGTTTTCCAAGGGCGATTTTTTTTTCTTCTCTTTCTGTTTTTTATTCCCCCCCGATTTCTTAATAGTAATGAGAAACGGCAGCAAAGGAGAACGAGTCTTTTTTTTTTTTTTTTTTTTTTTTGTGATGGAGTCTTGCTCAGTCGCCCAGGCTGGAGTGCAGTGGCGCGATCTCGGCTCACTGCAAGCTCAGCCTCCCGGGTTTATGCAATTCTCCTGTCTCAGCCTCTGGAGTAGCTGGGACTACAGGTGCCCGCCACCACGCCCGGCTAATTTTTTTTTTTTTTTGTATTTTTAGTAGAGATGGGGTTTCACCATGTTAGCCAGGATGGTCTAGGAGAACGAGTCTTCTATGACCGGCATGCCTGTTGCTTCACTCTCAGGGGATCTTGAATAAGCAGCTTCTCTATTTCAGTAAATAACTATAAAGCTGTGCTGAAGCAGTCAGGTTGGGAGGCTGAAGGAGTGTTAGGACCCATAGTACAAATGAATGAGTACCAAATGGCTTACCTTCGCTGTGAGTAGGAAAAACACAAGCTAGTGTATGCACAAAGAAAAAAGAAAAGACTGGAACTAAGTATTCAAAGACTGAAACGAAATGTTCAACGATAGATATAAGGAAATGTACTTGTGGAAGTGCTGGGGATCGAACCCAGAGCCTCATGAATGTTAAGCATACGCTCTACCACTGAGCTACACCCCCACTTACAATGCCGTTTTCTTACTGATTTATTATATGCTATTATCTAAAGGTGAGGGCTTAAGGCATGATAGGTTAAAGTCCGCTATGTTTTAACTCCTGTTTCTGAAACTTCTGAATGGAATCTTGTCTTGACGCTGTGTCAAGAGGAGAAAGGCATTCTGGACCGAAAGACCCTTGGATCCTCTCACAGCCGTCATCTATTTCAAGGACTGCTGTTAGCCAACTTTCTTTGTCAGTTTCCGTCCACCTGGAGCGAAGTTCCAAGATTGAATCTTCTGGTATGTCTTCAGATTCTCTCCTTTTTAAAAAAACCTCCTCTATGGAGCTGCCAACACACACACACACACACACACACGCGCGCGCGATAGTGCCAGAGAATATAAAGACGAGTTCTGTGAGTGCTGCAGAGGAAACGTAGATCCAGGTGAGGAGACAAGACAAGATGTTAATGCACAAAAGTCAACTAAAAACGAATTTAAATCTTAAACTTAAGCCCCTAAACTGTAAAATTCCTTGAAGAAAACAGGGGGGAATATTCTTGACATTGGTTTAGGCAATGGTTTCTTGAGTATGACACCAAAAGCACAGGCAACAAAAGCAAAAATGGATAAGCGAGACTATAGCAAACTAAAAAGCTTCTTCACAGGAAAGAAAACAATCAACAAAGGAAAAAGGCAAGCTATGGAATGGGAGAAAATATTTGCAAATCATTTATCTGATAAGGGGTTAATATACAAAATAAATTTTTTAAACCGCTACAAGTCAATAGCCACACACACACACACACACACACACACCCCTTAGAATCCCAAATAACCTGATTTTTAAAACGAGCATAGGACTTGAATAGACATGTCTCCAAAGAAGACATACAAATAGCCACTAGGTATGTGAAGAGGTGCTCTTAACATCACTAATCATCAAGGAAATGCAAATCAAAATCACAATAGATACCACCTCACACCTATTAGGATGTCTGTTATTAAAAAGAAAAAACTCAAAAGGTAAGTGTTAGCAAAGATGTAGAGAAATTGGAACCCTTCTACACTGTTGGTGTGTAAAATGATGACACCACTATGGAAAATAGTAAGGGGTCGCCTCAAAAGATAAAAATAGAACTACCATATGATCCAGCAATCCCACTTCTGGGTATATGTCCCCAAAAAATCGAAATTAGAATTTCAAAGAAACATATGCACTCCCATGTTCACTGCAGCATTATTTACAATAACCAAGATAAGGGAACAATCCAAGTGTCCATTGAGAGATGAGTGGACAAAGAAAATGTGGTATATACATACAATGGAATATTATTCAGCCTTTTATAAAAAAGAAATTCTGCCATTTGCACCAGCATCAATGATTAACCTGGAGGACATTATGCTAAGTGAAATAAGCCAGTCACAGAAGGACAAATATTTCATAATTCCACTTATATGAGGTATCTAAAATAGTCAAACTCATAAATGCAGAGAACAGAATGGTGATTGTCAGGGACCAGAGGCAGAGGGAAATGGGGAGTTGTTGCTCGGTGAGTTAAAATTTTAGTTATGAAACATGAATAAGTTCTAGAGATCTATTGCACAACCTAGTGCCTTCAGTTAACAATACCATAATGTACACTTAAAATTTTGTTAAAAAGATAACTCGGCCGGGAGCGGTGGCTCACGCCTGTAATCTCAGCACTTTGGGAGGCCGAGGCGGGCGGATCACGAGGTCAGGAGATCGAGACCATCCTGGCTAACGCGGTGAAACCCCGTCTCTACTAAAAATGTTTTAAAAAATTAGCCGGGCGCGGTGGCGGGCGCCTGTAGTCCCAGCTACTCGAGAGGCTGAGGCAGGAGAATGGCGTGAACCCGGAAGTCGGAGGTTGCAGTGAGCCGAGATCGCACCACTGCACTCTAGCCTGGGCGACAGGCGAGACTCAGTCTCAAAATAAAAAAAAAAAAAAAAAAGATAACTCTGATGTTTAAGTCTTCTTACCACCCATGAACATGAAAGAACACAAAGAAACTTTTGGAGTTGATAAGTGTGTTTATTACCGATTGTGGAAATAGCATTATAAATGTATGCATATGTCCTCACTCATATGCTTACCTTCAACGTGTAGGGGTTTTGCATATATCAACTGTACTTCAATAAAGTTGTTAATAACTCCTGAAAAACAACCAAACAAGCAAAGACAAGAGGTTAATTCACAACATTGACAAAAACAAAGAGTGACAAAGGTAGCAGTTTTGCACAAGGTTGCGTCCAACATCTGGATTTGGAAATGTGGCAGCGGCTTCATCGGCGACTCTACAGCTATAGGTTTTTTTGTTTTTGATTTTTTATAGAGACGGGATGGGGGAAGGGGGCGGGTCGGTCTTCTCCCTGTGTTGCCCAGGCTGGTCTTGAATTCCTGGGCTTAAGCAATACTCCCGCCTCCGCCTCCAAAAGTGCTCGGATTACTGGTGTTTGCCGCCAAGCCTGACTAGCTCTGGTTTTAAAGACAACACAAACGAAGCCGAAGACAGAGGACTCTTTCAGAGCAAATTTTTTTGAGCAAGGAGGAAAGCACAAAGGAAGCTGGTCTCAACCTGAGAAAACCAATTCACCCTTTGTAAAACCCTCCCTACACCCCCACAAGTGAGAAAATTTCATCAGTCCCTGAAGTGCAGAAAGTAGACCCTTCCCATCTGTAGCCAAAATGTGGTGCGACTGTTTAATCCAGATACGAATTTTGGAGAACATTGTAAACCCAGCAGGGGCGTAAGGGAGAGTAGGGAGAAGTTTGTCCCTAATGTACAGGTTATGTTCTTACTATACTAGAAAGGCAAGTGGCTGGGAACTGAAATGAGCTGAGGAGTGGACGCAAGGGAAGGCTTTGAAAAGGAAGGAAGGGCTCTTGGAGCCGGGAGGGATAACACTGAGTGGAGGAGAGAAGAAGCAGCGGAGAAGAAGGCAGAAGAAAAATCGGGGACGCGTCTTTAAAGACGGATAGTATTGAGACAAGCGTGGAGGAAGAAAGCAGCCAAGCGCCGCGTCTCTGCCAAGCTTTCTCTAGGCCCTGGGGAAGAGAGAAGGCTCTAGGTGAGTGGTTTCAAAGTGTATATCCCACAGAAGGGTACGGCTCGTGTTGCCCAAGATTTTGTGACTCTGAGAGTGCCTCACTGCACTGCACTCTCCATCGCAGGAAACAGGCTGAGCATTTTCGAGGGCGTGTGGTTGAGTATTCGTGGAGCAGTAGCCCCTGGTATTGGAGGTTTGAGGAAAGTGACGTTGTGTCAGTTCTCATGTGGAAGCAGCCTGCAGCTTTGATGCAGGCAGCAACTGTTTAGTTTGTGTTTCTTTTTGTTTGTTTGTTTATTTTCGCGTGTTTGGGTTTAAAATACAAGAGAAAGAATGAGGAAGAAAGGTTAAGTAGTGACTGAACGTTTTGGGTTAGAGTAGATACCCACTAAAACCATCGTACTTCTGGCTAGCTCAGCTGGAAATGCATCAGGCCACTAGTCCGGAAATTTAGGAATCACGATCCTGTTCTGATGTAGATACTTTTCATTTTCCCATACTTCTTTTTGATTCATACTCAACAGGCTACTGAACCCAGCTTTCTCCTGGAGCAACCGGGAGGGTATTTGCGGTGCGTTTTGCTGCTTATATTCTCTCTAGTCTCAGCGGAAGAGACAAGATTTGAACGGGGAAAGTCGGATTTGCAGAGAGGTATTCATTCAAGGCTCTTTTCTGCCCTACTGTCAAGTGGATGAACAAAACGCTGACTTAAGATATGAGGAGGATTGCAGTGTTGAGAGTGCAAAAAGTGTCAAGTCAAAACATGGACATATTTTGCTCATAATGTAGATAAATTATTTTGGTAGACATAAATTTTATTATTATTATTATATTTATTTATTTTTTGAGACGGACTCTCGCTCTGTCGCCCAGGCTGGACTGCAGTGGCGCGATCGCGGCTCTCTGCAACTTCCGCCTACCGGGATCAAGCGATTGTCCTGCCTCAGCCTCCCGAGTAGCTGGGAGTACAGGCGCCCGCCACCACACCCGTTTAATTTTTGTATTTTTAGTAGAGACAGGGTTTCACCATATTATTCGGGCTGGTCTCGAACTCCTGACCCCAGGTGATCCGCCCGCCTCGGTCTCCCAAAGTGCTGGGATTACAGGCGTGAGCCACAGCACCCGGCCATAAATTTATTAATATAAAAAATTATTGGTCAGGAGCAGTGGCTTACACCTCAAATCCCAGCACTTTGGGAGACCAAAGCAGGAGGATCAATTGAGTTCAGGAGTTGGAGACCAGCCTGGCTAACATAGTGAGAGCCTGTCTCTACAAAAAAATAGAAAAATTAGCCAGGTATGGTGGTGCACACCTGTGGTCCCAGCTACACCAGAGGCCAAGGCAGGAGGATTGCCTGGGCCTAGGAGTTTGAGGTAGCAGTGAGCCATGCTTGCAGTGCCACTGCACTCCAGCCTGGGTGACAGGGCGAGACCTCAACTCAAAAAATAAATAAAATAAACTTTACTTAAAAAAAATTACTGAGGGGACAGCCAGAGTGGCTCACGCCTGTAATCCTAGCATTTTCGGAGACCAAGACAAGAGAACTGAGTCCAGGAGTTTGTGCTCAAGTAATAACAATACTATCAGCACTCAATCTTGGTATCTTAAAACTTGACATTTAAATGAAATTTTAATTTGAGTCAATTAAGAATAGAATATTCCACTTTTGCATAATTAACCATGAATTCACACAACAAATCAGAATTTATTTATTTCATTTTTATTATTATTATTTTTTGAGATGGTGTCTCACTCTGCCACCCAGGCTGGGGTGCCAGTGGCGTGATCTCAGTTCACTGCAACCTCCACCTCCCGGGTTCAAGTGATTCTCGTGTCTCAGCCTCCCTAGCAGCTGGGATTACAGGCGCACGCCACCAAACCCAGCTAATTCTTGTGTTTTTAGTAGAGATGGATTTCGCCATGTTGGCCAGGCTGGTCTTGACCTCCTGACCTGAGATGATCCGCCCATCTCGGCCTCCCAAAATGCTGGGATTACAGGCATGAGCCACCATGCCCGGGCCAAATTGGAATTTAGCACCCACATTTATCTTAACTCAGTAGTTCCTAAGTAAAAGAGATTTGTAAGGCCAGGCGCGGTGGCTCACGCCTGTAATCCCAGCACTTTGGGAAGCCGAGGCGGGCGGATCACGCAGGAGATCAAGAACATCCTAGCTAACATGGTGAAACCCCGTCTCTACTAAAATTACAAAAAAATTAGCCGGGCTTGGTGGCATGCGCCTGTAGTCCCAGCTACTCAGGAGGCTGAGGCAGGAGAATCGCTTGAATCCGGGAGGCGGAGTTTGCAGTGAGCCGAGATCGCAGTTCACACCACCGCACTCCAGCCTGAGCGATAGAGCGACACTCCGTCTCAAAAAATTAAATAAATAAATAAATAAATAAGTATTTGTTTGTATGTCAATCTAGGAACAATTCACAGCCGTCTCTACTTTGAACCACCCAAAAGGCTGATTTATGTGAATTTAATTTCACTTGACAATTAATTAAACTCCTCTGCATATCCTGCCTTTTGTTTTGTTTCTTGTTTTGTTTGTTTACTAAGAGACTGCAATCTGCTTGTAGTTCACCCCTGCTCAAGCAAGACATACATTCAGTTTTGTTTTTTCAGTTGTGAGTAAATACCTCTTTTCCTCAGCAATATGTGGGTCCTGTGAGTTTCTTAGAGGGCCCTGGCTCATTTTGCTGATAGGGTTGCCAAACTCTTAGTGTGATAATAGTGCATTCTTTGACCACTTTGTTTCTAAATTCTGGCCATCCTTCAAAACTATGAGCTCGAGCGAGTGTCCCAACCACATGAGTTCCAGGTTGTTGTAATTGAGCCTTTATCAGTACATTTTGATGAAAGCTTTTCCTATTAGGATTTGGATTTGTGACCTTCAGATTTTTGTGGAAATTTATTAACAATGTTTGACTCTCGAGTTTTGAGAGCCCAAAGAAAGTTTTTGATAGAAACTTTCTTTTCTTGGTGATATACTCTCCTTGATTGTGACTTCTTCCTCTTCTTCCTCTTTTTGTTCTTTTCTTTCTCCTTCACCTTCTCCTCCTCGTTCTCCTCCTTGTTTCTGCTTTTGTTAACCAAGGTCTGGAAAGATTTTACTTTTCTGTTTACTGTTTTATTTAAGCTTGTGTTGAGAGTAATAAGGAAATCGTAGAAATCAGAGAGAATGGCATAGGCCCTGTAAGTCACCATCATCTTTAATGCGGATGTTAACCAGTACAAGAACCCCGTTAGAGTTGCATTTGCTTTCTAGGGCAAGATCTTTGCTCTAAGTTTTTTTAAACACATGGCTGTCTATCTTTAAAAAAACAAATCATTTTTATTTTATAGAGTATAATTGTCGAACAGTCTTAGCTTTACAGAAAAATTTAGAAGATATTAGAGTTCCCATATACCCTGCACCCAATACCCCTACTATTATGATAGTCCTTACTATTAAGATGGTACTTTTCTGCCGCGCGCGATGACTCACGCCTGTAATCCCAGCACTTTGGGACGTCAAGGCGGGCAGATCACCTGAGGTCAGGAGTTCGAGACCAGCCTGGCCAATATGGTGAAACCCCTTCTCTACCAACAATACAAAAATCAGCCAGGCATGGTGGCGGGCACCTGTAATCCTAGCTACTCGGGAGGCTGAGGCAGGAGAATAGCTTGAACCCTGGAGGTGGAGATTGCAATGAGCAGAGATTGTGCCACTGCACTCCAGCCAGGGCGACAAAGTGAGACTCAAAAATAAATAAATAAATAAATAAAATGCCGGGCACGGTGGTTCACGCCTGTAATCCCAGCACTTTGGGAGGCCGAGGCGGGCGGATCACCTGAGGTCAGGAGTTTGAGACCAACCTGGCCAACATGATGAAACCTCGTCTCTACTAAAAAAACACAAAAATTAGCCGGGCGTGATGGCGGGCGCCTGTAATCCCAGCTACTCGGGAGGCTGAGGCAGGAGAATCGCTTTACCCGGAGAGGCGGAGTTTTCAGTGAGCCGAGATCGTGCCACTGCACTCCTGCCTGGGTGACAGAGCGAGACTCCGTCTCAAAAAAAAAAAAAAAAAAAAAAAAAAAAAAAAAAAAAGAAAAGGGTGATTTTGTGTTGTGTTTGTTAAATTCATGAAACAAGTAGGACAAGACCATAAATTGAAAAACCAAGCCCATTCCAAATTACGAATGCCTCCGGTAGTACCTATGCCAGGGACAAAGTGCACTTTAATAGTCAATACACAGGTTGCTTACCGGGTTCTTGTTTTTTTTGTCAATAGTCTTCTTTCATTTCAAGTTCCCAAAGTCTTGGGAACAAGCCGGTTTTTTTTTTTTTAACTGGCTTGCAGAAAGCTCAAGGAGATGTGCAGAAAGTAAAGATATTTCCTGACAATAGTAAGAACACGACCACGAAGGGACTCGAACCCTCAATCTTCTGATCCGGAATCAGACGCCTTATCCATTAGGCCACGCGGCCGCACGCGGGTGCTAATTTGCACACATCAAGACTGAAGTGTAGTGAGGAAACGTTGAGTTTCTGTTTTCAAACCTTTAACTTCGTAATTAGAGATTTAACAACTTGAAGGGGGGCGGGGAGAGGCGGGGGAGGAGGTGGGCAGAAGGAATAAAACTCCATCTAAAATTCCTAATAGCAATTCCTTAGAATTATAAACTGCGAGATGATCAGAAGTGACATCTTTGCCTTCTTTGAAGGCTCTCTTCTCTAAGTTACTAATAATGATAATGCACGTTCGGGTACAGAAATATGAGCCAAGAACTCAAGTCTGCAATGAAGGAGTGGACATGACAGCGTAAGAGGGAGCATCATTGTTTGATCTATTTTAACCTTTTCCGTCTCAAAGATACGATGGTGCTTCCTCCAGGAAGAAAAGCCTGTAAGCTCAAACAAGAGCTCCCCTGGAACAGAAGACACTGGAGACCGTAAGAGGTGGGAGGTTGGAAGGGGGAAAAGGATAGAAAAACTGCCTGTTGGGTATTATGCTCACCACATGGGTGACGGGTTCAATCGTACTCCAGACATCAGCAACACGCAATACACCCTTGTCCCAAACCTGCACTGTACTCCCTGAATCTAAAATAAAAGTTGAAATTAAAAAAAAAAAAAAAGCTCCCCCTTGTCAGAAAAGCCCCAAGTATTTTGCCTAAAGGTTGATTGCTCTAAGCTCACCTTTGGATTGATCCAGAAAACAGTCTGGGGCGATTTTTTGTTACCCTTTCCCCAGCTATGTCCCCTATGTTGATAGGGTAGGAAAGATTAAAAAAAAAAACAACAACCAAGTTTGTAAAGTAAACCAATCACAGATTCCCTCAGTTTTCGCATCGTCTTGGCTTCATGGAAATGACGAGTTACTGGGAAGAAACTATTTCATTTTTCCAGTGCCCAGTCCTATCTCCTTTCCCCAGAGAGATGCATCTCTCAGCCCTAAACTTTTCCTGGATCCCTTGTACACCATTTTCTCCAGGTTTCTCCAGTCAAAACTCAAGAATTGTTTTAGGCCATATTTTGGATGGTGTATCCTATGTACACTAATTTATTAAGTAATGACCCATGTTTGAGACCACGGAACGCTAGTTCTGGGGCCGGACTAGATGAGTCTGGGTAGACAAAAGAAAGGTCTTCTGCTGTTCCCTATGAAACTGATTTAGTTAAGTCCCTTTCTTTCTCAGAAAGCGTCCTATGAGGAGCATTAGATTGAATAAGGGTTTCTGGTGTGATCCAGTTTGGGGAGGCTACTTGCTCTAGTCAGTGCTGAAGAATCCATCTCCATTTTGGGCAAGATGCACTACCATGACTTATGTTTCAACAGACTCAAACTTATTCACATGTTTTGAAATTGTTCTCAGTTTTGCTTCCTCACCTTCTCACTAGTGGATTTTGTGCCCAAAGAATAGCAATCCAAAATCTCAAAATCTAACAAATTTAAATAAAAGGGCATTTTTTGTTCAGTCTGGAGGAGGAAAAGTTAACTGGCAGACGTAGGCAGCAGATAGTAAAGTTGGCACAGTTAGTAAGGTTGGTAGACTGAGCCAAACCATCGAAATCTATTTATTTATTGTTATATTTATTTATTTATTTATTTATTCCTGCTGTTTGCAGAGCAGGGGTACCCTATAGAAAGTGTGTCCAAAGTAGCCTGAAATTTCTTTCTTCAGGAAGATGCTAAAAAGGATTGGCACTGAGATTTGAAAGAATAATGCTAAGAAACTATTAAATTGTATGAAATGTTTGTTTATACCAGTGATACCATTTCCTTTCCAAAGCCTTTCAGTGTTTTCTCTGATGCCTTTTGATTTTTATCTGATGGGTTCCAGGCAAGATTCCTTTAAAATGTTTAAATATTTCTAACAAAAGTATTTTGGGAGGAATCCAAGAGAGATTTGAAAGTATGACATTCTTAATCTCTCTATAACAATCTGTCTAGATAATTTCACTGAAGAAATGAATGGAGGAGGGTGTCTGTAGATAAAGGTTTCTATAATTGAGATTTGAAAAAAATAGAATTTATTTATTTGTTTAGATGAAACCAGACAACTTTCCAAGCCCTGAATCAAATTGGGGGATGTATTGCACCTTTAGACAAAGAATCTCCCAATGTAGCTACTTTAGCCATTTTACAAAAACCCATAATGCATGACCCTAATAATGTTCTTAACTTTAGAATTTGGAAAACTCAGCATTTCCTGTGAGGTGTGATCCAGTGTACAACAAACGTTCACTCACACACACAGAAAGAACTAAGATTTGCAGCACTTATGGTCTGGTTATTGACCTGACGTGTGTGTGTGTGTGTGTGTGTGTGTGTGTGTGTGTGTGTGTATGTGTGTGTGTGTTGGGGATGGGGGCTACTGTGAAAGGAAAGGATAAAGAAAACTCAGCCAAGTAAAGATTTTCTACTCACATATCTATTTACCATTCTTTTGTCTATATGTCTTTTAAAAGAAGACATACAAATGGCAAATATATGAAAAGGTGCTCAACACCATTGATCATCAAATAAATGCAAATCAAAACTAAAATGAAATGTTATCTCACCCAAGTTAAAATGACTTTCATCCAAAAGACAGGCAAGGACGTGGAGAAAGGAGAACCCTAGTACACTCTTGGTGGGAATTTAAATTAGTACAACCGCTTTGGAGAATAGTATGGAGGTTCCTCAGAAAACTAAAAATATTACCATATATTCCAGCAATCCCCCTATTAGGCCTATACCCAAAAGAAAGGAAATTAGTATATCGAAAAGATATCTACACTGTCATCTTTATTGCAGCACTATTCACAATAGCCAAGATTGGGAAGCATCCTAAGTACCCATCAACAGATAAATGAATAAAGTAAATGTGGTACGTATACACAACGGGGTACTATTCGGCCATGAAAAGAATGAGGTCTTGTCATTTGCAAAGCGGATGGAACTATGTTCTGTGCGGGAAATGCGAGAGGGGAGAAGAAAAGACACACACACAATACCTTTAAGGGTAAATAACCTTTATCCC
This sequence comes from Homo sapiens, assembly GCF_000001405.40. Taxonomy (NCBI): domain Eukaryota; kingdom Metazoa; phylum Chordata; class Mammalia; order Primates; family Hominidae; genus Homo; species Homo sapiens. Next base: position 11,656 of record NT_167248.2, read on the forward strand.
ACGTAAACGGCAATGCAGATATAATAAACAAATGATACAATAAGCAAATTGCAATGGGAAGGGGAGAAGGGAAAAGATATATATATATATATATATACACACACTCACCAAATATATATATATATATATAAATATATATATTTATATATATGTACACTCACAAGACTATGAAGGATTCATCACCACACCGGGAAGCAACAGCCCCGGCTCCAGAGTCGGCCACTCGTCCATGCACAGAGAAGGAGAGGTCTCATGAAGCTCACGAGAGCCCTTCGCGACTGAGCTCAAGGAACAAGAAAAGGTCAACTTGTTTTTGCGATTGTCTGTTGTTTTTCAATAACTAACGTATAGGAATAGATTGAAATAGAGATTTCTCCAAAACAGCACTGGATGAACACCTCAAGGGGTTCATACAACCTGTTCAGGATTTGGTGACCATTGTTTGTGTCCACGTTCAATTGAGTTCAAATTTAATACGTAACTTTTCCTCCACAAACTAGAGGACATTAAGTTAAGCTATACACAGAAAGTAAAACTTCACATATTCTCTCTCATTTGTGGAAGCCAAAAATAAAACAATTGAACTCATGGAGACAGAGAGTAGAATGATGGTTACCAGATGCTGGGAAGGGTATTGGAGGGGGCAGTGAGATGGTTAATGGATACAAAAATATAGTTAGCATGAATAAGATCTATCATTTGATAGCACAACAGGGTGATTATAGTCAACAAAAATGTATTGTACATTTAAAAATAACTTAAAGATTATAACTGGAATGTCTGTAACAAAGAAATGATAAGGTGTTGAGGCGATGGATGAGGTGATGGATGCTTCGTTTATCCCAATATGATTATTACACATTGTATGCCTGCATCAAAATATCCCATGTATCATATATATACATATATATACTATGCAGCAGTAAAAATTAAAAATTAAAAAAAAGATCCATAGACGAAGAAAAAATATCTTCAAAAATAAAACAAGAAAAAAACAAAGAAAAGATCCATTATTAATTACTGCCTTTGTCTGTCTGTGTTTGGAGAACGAATATCTGGCAGAAAAATGCTTGCTGTGTTTAACATCACTATTTCTAAAACCTTTAGACTGTGACCAGCAAAAGCGGCACTAAATACTAAACCAAAAGACACTGTTACACGCGGTTTTCCTCTCTGGCCAGCCAGACCGCCGGTCTGAGGTCCACTTGCCAAAGTGATGCCTGGCTGGCAGTTTCATCCACCAACAGAAAGGGGTCCATTATGGAATGTTCTCTTGCATCTTCAAATTCTTCCTCCTTCGTCTCTCTTACCCTCTGCCTACAAAGGCTTCAAGAAAGAGATGCAAGACAATACTGAGGGATACGAACAAAAGTAGCTCCACAGTTGCCTCGAGAAGTTTAGGTTGCAGGTAATTGGCGAGAATGAAACCCTCTGTATCTAGCAACTCCGCAGTGCTTTGTGTAGAAGACGCTCCATCTCAGGTTACGAAAATCTACAGAAAGGAAATGTTTAAAAAGAGAAAAGGAAAATATTCCTAGGGATTATAATGTCTCTCTTAAGCAGGGTCTTCGAAAAGAGGATAATTCAAGTAATATGATTTACAAATTGCAACATGAAACAAAATGAACTGAACAAATGGAGAAATCTAGATTACATACTCCGTGGGTTGCGTCTACCCAGGGCCTGGATAGCTCAGTTGGTAGAACATCAGACTTTTAATCTGACGGTGCAGGGTTCAAGTCCCTGTTCAGGCGAAATATTTGTGTGTTTTACTCTAGCTCCGGAGTCCCCAACCTCCAGTAAACGTAACCGCGTATCAGGCAGCGCGGCAGGCGAGCCAGAGAAGTTTCATCTGTCCTTATACAGCAACTCCCCAACGCTCCTGCGACCGCCTGAGCTACTCTTCCTCCCAGATAAGCGGGGGCGTCAGATTCTCACAGAAGTCCAAACCCTATTGTGAACTGCGTATGAAAGGGATCTAGATTGTGGGCTCCTTATGAGAATCTAATGCTTGATAATCCGTCACTGTTTTCCATCAGTGCCAGATGGGACTGTCTAGTTGCAGGAAAACAAACTCAAGGCTTCCAGTGATTCTACATTATGGTGAGTTGGATACTTATTTCATTATATATTACAATATAATAACAATATTAAAAAAGTGCACAATAAATCTAATGTGCTTGAATCATCCCAAAATCATCCCCCCCAACCCCTGCTCCCTCATCCATGGAAAAAACTGTCTTTCATGAAACGGTCTCTGGTGCCAAAAAGGTGGGGAACTGCCGCCCAAGATAGTTTATACCAATTAAGCACAGGAAGAAGTTCAGATACTTGTTTGTACAGTGACTAAAACTTTGCTACTTTATGCTTTACAAATGTGGAATGATTTACATCATGAAATTACCAGCCCTAAGGGATTGCCTTAGTGAAGTTGTTTTCCAAACACCAGAATACAGAAATCTAAACTATTTTAGAGACTGTTGACCTGGAGATTTGCATTTTTACATATTTTTTAGAGAATCTCCTTCAACGGTTAACTGAAAACAAAATCAATCAAAATTTCTAAACTCTAAAAACAGAGAAAGAGATATTGAAAGCAAGAAAAGAGACAAAACACCTTACCTACAGAGAAAACCAATTTGCATAACAGTGGGTATCTTATCAGAAATCACAGAAGTCAGAAAGAGTGGCACAACAGTTTTCAAGGACCGAAAGAAAAGAATTGTTAATTCTGAATTCTATATCCACAGAAAATATCCTTTAGAACTGAAGAAGAAATCAAGACATTTTCAGAGCAAAGAAAACTAAGATAATTAGCTTCTAGCAGAATTATCCTTTAAAAAATAGTTAAATTTCTCCAGATGGAAAGAAATGATAAAAGAAGAAATAATTGACACCAGGAAAGAAGAAAGAACATGGTAAGCAAAAAAAAAAAAGGTAAAAACAATACATTTTCCTTTTCCTCTTGAGCTTTCTAAATTATGTTTAACAGTTGAAGCAAAAAGTGTAACATGACCGGGCACGGTGGCTCAGGCATGTAATCCTACCACTTTGGGAGGCCAAGGTGGGCAGATCATGAGATGAGGAGATCAAGACCAGCCTGACTAACATGGTGAAACCCCGTCTCTACTAAAAATACAAAAAATTAGCTGGGCATGGTGGCACACACCTGTAGTCCCAGCTACTCGAGAGGCTGAGGAGGGAGAATCACTTGAACCAGGGAAACGGAGGTTGCAGCGAGCCAAGATCACGCCACTACACTCAGGCCTGGGCAACAGAGTGAGACAATGTCTCAAAAAAAAAAAAAAAAAAAAGAAAGAAAGAAAAAAGTATAACATGGTTCGATGTGGTTCGAAATGTATGTAGAAGAAATAATTTAAGACAATTATATTACAAGTAGGAGAGGCAAAGTGACAAAAAGGTAAAGATGACACACATCACTTTAACTGATAAAATAATGATACCAGTACACAGTGATAAATTAAATAAATATGTAATACTCAGACAAATCACTAAAAGAGTTATATAAAGAGATCATTTAAAAACACTACAGATAGGCTGGGCACAGTGGCTCACACCTGTAATGCCAGCACTTTGGGAGGCTGAGGGGGATCACCTGTGGTCAGGAATTCGAGACCAGCCTGGCCAACATGGTGAAACCCTGTCTCTACTAAAACTACAAAAATTAGCTGGGCATGGTGGCGCATGCCTGTAATCCCAGCTACTTGGGAGGCTGAGGCAGGAGAAAAAAAAAATCAAAAAAACAAAACCACACACACACAAAAACGCTACAGATAAATGACAATGAAATTCTAAAAAAGTATACTAGTAGTCCACAAAGAAGGCTTTAATAAATAAATACATACATACATACATATCCCCAGAAAATGGCAGTAACAGGGTACAAATAGAAAACAAACTGCTAGATTTCAGCCCTAACATATCAATAATTACATTAAATGTAAATGGTCGAAAGGTACCAATTAAAAGACAGAGATTAACAGAGTAGATTAGAAAATATAATCCAACTACATGCTGTCTACAAGAAACTTATTTCAAATATAATTATACATACAGGTTGAAATTAAGCATATAAAAATATATAACATTCAAATGTTAATTAAAAGAAAGCAAAAGTGAGTATATTAATATAATATGAACTTTATTTATTTATCTTTTTTCTTTGAGATGGAGTTTCACTCTTGTCACTCAGACTGGAGTGCAATGGCGCGATCTCTGCTCACTGCAACCTCTGCCTCCAGGGTTCCAGTGATTCTCTTGCCTCAGCCTCCCAAGCAGCTGGAATTACAGGCACGTACCACCATGACTGGCTAATTTTTGTATTTTTAGTAGAGATGGGGTTTCACTATGTTGGTCAGGCTGGTCTCAAACTCCTGACCTCAGGTGATCTACCCACCTCAGCATCCCACGGTGCTGGGATTACAGGCGTGAGCTACCACGTCTGGCCTAATATAAGCTTTAGAACAAAGAAAAATTTTAAAAATCCACCAAGAAGGCATAACAATCCTAAATATGTATAAACCAAACAGAGTTGAAAATATGTAAAGAAAAAAAGAATTTTTAAAAAATAGACAAATCCACAATTACATTAGAGACTTCAACACTTCTCTCATAATAATCGATAGAACAACTAAACAGAAAATCAGCAAGGATGTTGAAGAACTCAAAATCATCTTCAGCTAACAGAATTCAGTCAACATTTAAAGAAGACTCCACACAAGAAAAGCAGAACACACAGAACACAGGTCAAGATGGAACATATTCTGGGCCATAAAACAAACCTCAAATTTAAAAGAATTAACTCACACAGTATGATCCCTGACCACAATGAAATCAAACTAAAAGTCAATCACAGAAAGACAACAGAAGAACATCCAAACACTTGGAAAATGAACAACACACTACTAAATAGTACACAGGACAAAGAGAAAGACTTAGTAGATATCAAAAAATAAATTAACCTGAATAAAAATGAAAGCACAATATACCAAAATTTTCAAGACAACCTAAAAAAACACTGAGAGAGAAATGTATACCACTAACTGCATACATTAGAAAAAGAAAAAAGTCTCAAGTCAGTCATCTAAACTTTTATTTGAAGAACCCAGGTGGGGAAAAAAGCAAAATAAACCCAAAGCAAATAGACAAAAGATAACAATAAAAATAAGAACAAAATTCAGTGAAACGGAACACAAACAAAAAAAGAAAAACAAACAAAAAGCTAGTTCCTTTAGATCAATAAAAGAAGACCTCTAGTAAGACAGAAATTTTAGGAAGAGAGATGACACAAATTACCAATATCAGGAATAAAAAGAGGATATCACTGTAGACTCTGCTGACATCAAAAGGATATGTTTTTGGATGATTTCCTTTAAAAAATTTAGCCGGGCTCGGTGGCTCACACCTGTAATCCCAGCATTTAAAAAATAACTAGCCATGCATGGTGGCGGGTGCCTGTAATCCCAGCTACTCGGGAGACAGGTAGGAGAATCGCTTGAACCGGGAGGTGGAGGGTGCAATGGGCCGAGATAGCACCATTTCACTCCAGCCTGGGCAACAAGAGCGAAACTCCGTCGCAGACTTTTTCTCCCCCTTGTAAGGTCGGAGCGTTCCCACTCAGGAAACAACATTTCTCTACTCTAGGTTTATCTGGCCTCGCATCTCTCCCCAGCTGGGCCCAGCCTCAGCCTATGCTGCAGAAATGTTTAAAGTCAAGCATGTAGAGAAGGAAAAAAAAAAAGGAAAGTGATGTGGAAATTAAAATAGCAGCTGCATAGGAATCTCAACATAGTGCTTAAAATGTGCATAAACGAGACTAGGAGTGCCCTGCGCTTTTGTGAAAACTTCATTTAGAAATAAATGAGAAAGAAGGTGGAGAGGAGCCGAGAACCAGCAGGTGGGGAAAGGGAAGAGGCAGGCTAGAGTTAAAAAATGAAGGAGGAAAAGCATCCTCAAGATTATTCAGAATATATATATATATAATATACATAGTATATACTAATAATATATAAGGATATATTATATCCTAATAATATAAGTAAATAATAATATATAACTTGTTAAATAATCATATAAATAAATATATTTTATAATTATGTTATTTATTATATAATATTAACATAACATATTATCAATATAATATTTTATATAACATATGTAGTATGATATATCCTAATATATAAAAATAATATTAGGATAAGGGAATACTATTGTGGTGGTAAACTGAGGAACGGAAAGACTGATACAGGAGAACAGGAGGATATTTATTTTAAGGTAAGCAGCCACTGAGTGGATTCACATCCAAAAAGTTGAGCACTGGCCGGGCCTGGTGGCTCACGCCCATAATCCCAGCACTTTGAGAGGCCAAGGCTGGCAGATTACCTGAGGTCAGGAGTTCGAGACCAGCCTGGCCAACGTGGTGAAACCCCGTCTCTACTAAAAATACAAAAATTAGCCAGGCGTGGTTGCACATGCTTGTAATCCCAGCTACTCGGGAGGCTGAGGCAGAATTGCTTGAGCCCAGGAGGCGGAGGTGACATTGAGCCAATATCGTGCCACTGCACTCCAGCCTGGCCGACAGAGCAAGACTCTGTCTCAAAACAAAACAAACAAACAAAAAATGCTGAGCGTTGAACAAAGACAGAGCAGGAGTTTTTATAAGCAAAACAAAGGCAGTTAATCATACAGTGCTTAATTTGTGGCCTTGCAGCTGCGTCAAAAGAAAAACAAGAACTGACTAAATACAGACATTTGTAAAAACAGTTATGCTTAAGAAGCCAGGGAAAGGAGTAACAGTATAGGAATTTGCCTTTCCTTTTTTTCCCTTCAACCTTGTTCTTGGGTGGGGTGGGAGAAGGGCGTGTCTGGAAGCCGTTCCTTTGGCCTTGGCTTTTCGGAAAGTGTTATCTTGTAACTGTCCTTGAAGTGAGCTGCTAGGCAAACGAAAACTTGTTTCTTTTCTTTTTAACCCTTTCCTGTTACTTTTCTTGGAGTGAATGAATGCATATTTATTTTTAAATTTCTGCCTTACTATGAATAACTCTTTACACACAAACTTGACAATTTAGATGAGATAGACTAATTCCTTGAAAAACACAAATTAACACAACTAACTCAATATGTAATACATTTTTTATAACCCTGTAACTATTAAGGGAATTAAATTTGTAACATAATTTAAAAAAAAAATCAAGAATCTGGCCGGGCGTGGTGGCTCATGGCTGTAATCCCAGCACTTTGGGAGGCCAAGGCGGGCTGATCACCTGAGGTCAGAAGTTCGAGACCAGCCTGGCTAACATGCTGAAACCCCGTCTCTACTAAAGATACAAAAATTAGCCGGATGTGGTGGCAGGCACCTGTAATCCCAGCTACTTGGGAGGCTGAGGCAGGAGAATCGTTTGAACCTGGGAGGCAGAGGTTGCAGTGAGCCAAGATCGCACCATTGCACTCCAGCCTGGAGGCCAAGAGCAAGACTTCGTTTAAAAAAAAAAAATCAGGAATCTTCGAATCCAAGAAAATTTCACTGAAGAATTCTAAGAAGTTCTTAAGGAGGCCAGGGGCGGTGGCTCATGCCTGTAATCCCAGCACTTTGGGAGGCCGAGGTGGGCGAATCATGAGGTCAGAAGACCGAGACCATCCTGGCTAACACGGTGAAACCCCGTCTCTACTGAAAAAACAAAAAATTAGCTGGGCGTGGTGGCAGGGAGCCTGTAGTCCCAACTACTCGCTGGAGAATGGCGTGAACCCGGGAGGCGGAGCTTGCAGTGACACTCCAACCTGGGCGACAGAGCGCGACTCCGTCTCAAAAAAAAAAAAAAATGGTTAAAGAATTAAAACAAGGTCTACACAATCTATTCTGAAAAAAACAGAAGAGGACAAAAAACTTTCCATTTATTTATGAAGTTAATAGTATCCTGATGCTAAAACCAGGTAAATACAGTACAAAATAATGAGTATTGGTGCATAAATACTTACCAAAATATTATCAAATAGAATTCAGGAATATATAAGAAGCATTATACACCATGATCAAGTGGGGTTTATTCCAGAGACGTAAGACTAGGTAAATTTAGAAACAATCACTGCAATCCACCATATTAACAGGCTAAAAAATAAAATCACGTGATCATATCACAGTAGAAAAAGAATTTGTCAAACTTCAATAGCTACTCATGACAAAAAGTCTCAGAAAAATAGGAATAGAGAACAGCTAACACTGTACATCACGGTAAAAGACAGAATGTGTATTAGTCCGTTTTCACACTGCTATGAAGACACTACCTGAGACTGGGTAATTTTTTTTTTTTTTTAAGATGGAGTCTTGCTCTGTCGCCCAGGCTGGAGGGCAGTGGCCTCCTCTCGGCTCATTTCAACCTCCGCCTCCTGGGTTCAAGCAATTCTTCTGCCTCAGTCTCCCGAGTGGCTGGGACTACAGGCGCAGGCCACCATGCCCGGCTAATTTTTGTATTTTTAGTAGAGACAGGGTTTCACCGTATTGGTCAGGCTGGTCTGGAACTCCTGAACTCATGATCCGCCCGCCTCTGCCTCCCAAAGTGCTGGGATTCCCGGCGTGAGCCACTGTGTCTGGGTAATTGATAAAGGAAATAGGTTTAATTGAGTCACATAGCTGAGGAGGCTTCGGGAAACTTACAATCATGGCGGAAGGGAAATGGGAAGCAAGGACCTTCTTTACATGACAGCAGAAGAAAGAAGTATGAGCAAAAGAGGAACTTGCCAAACACTTATGAAACCATCAGATCTCATGAGAACTCACTCACTATCACCAGAACAGCATGGGGGAAGCCACCCCCATGATCCAACTACCTCCCACCAGGTTTCTCCCACAAAGTCAAAGGAATTAGAATAATTATTTAAAATCTAGGAGGGAAAAACAGTCTACCTGATTTCAAGACTATTTCATTACATTGTTGTATTCTTGTATTATTGTATTATTACTACAGTAATTAAGACTGTATAGTATTGGCAAGGAGATAGGCACGTGGTTAATAGAGAGAATGGAAAAATAAACCTACACAAATATTCTCAACTGGTTTTTGACAAAGTTGCCTAAGTAGTAATTCCATGGAAGAAAAATAAGTCTCATGCCTTCACAAAAGTGAACTTAAAATGGATCGCAGATATGAATATAAAATGTAAAACTATAAAACTTTGAGGAAAATATATGGAAGATAATATTTCCAATCTAGGGCTAGACAAATAATTTTACAGTTGACAGTGAAACATGATCCAGAGATCTTGTAAAAGCTGGTTCTTTTTTCCTCCTTTCCTCTCCTGCTATGTCAGTTGCTTTGGCTGGTACAGAGGCTGACCAAATAGAAATAGAAATAAGAGAGCAGTAAAGGCAATGAATTGGGTCATGTTTTTACTTTTTATGTGACAAAGAAATGACAGAATTGGTGGCCAGGTGCAGTGGCTCATGCCTGTAATCCCAGCACTTTGGGAGGCCAAGGAGGGCAGATCACCTGAGGTCAGGAATTCAAGACCAGCCTGGTCAACATGGTGAAACCCCACCTCTACTAAAAATTAGCTGGGCATGGTGACGCGCACCTGAAATCCCAGCTACTTGGGAGGCTGAGTCAGGAGAATCACCTGAACCCAGGAGGCAGAGGCTGCAGTGAGCCAAGATCACGCCACTGCGCTCCAGCCTGGGTGATAGAGTGAGACCCTGTCTCAAAAAAAAAAGAAAAGAAAAGAAAAGAAAGAAATGAGAGAAAAGGAAAGAAAAGGAGAAAGAGAGAAAGAAAGAAAGAAAAAGAAAGAAAGAAAGAAAGAAAGAAAGAAAGAAAGAAAGAAAGAAAGAAAGAAAAGAAAGAAAGGAAAAAGAGAAAGAAAGAGAAGGGAGGGTAGAATGATAAGAAAGGAAAGAAATAAAGAAAATTGGCTCAAAAGAGTCTCCTGGCTGACAAGAACTCTGGTGAGTTCTTCTACAGGAAAATCAGTCTCTTGTGTGTGACTACCAAAATCATCTAAAATGTTGACGGTGTCAAAGAGATAATAAATGCATCCCCACCCCTGATGTAAGGCAAATACAAACCTCACTGGCTTTCCTAGGTGGTTTGAGTTTTTGATTGAGAATAGGCAGGGAACCCCGGGAACAGCTCTTCCTCCTCAGCAGGCGCCTGGCCCTGGACCACCTTCTTAAACCTCTAGAACAGTGCTTCTCAAACTTTAGCATCAGCGGCTGGGCGGGTGGCTCACTCCAGTAATCCCAGCACTTTGGGAGGCCGAGGCGGGCGGATCACGGGGTCAAGAGTTCGAGACAAGCCTGACCAACATAGTGAAACCCCGTCTCGACTAAAAATACAAAAATTAGCTGGGCATAGCGGCGCGCGCCTGTAATCCCAGCTACTTGGGAGGTTGGGGCAGAAGAATCGCTTGAACCCGGGAGGCAGAGATTGCAGTGAGCCGAGGTTGCACCACTGCATTCCAGCCTGGGCGAGAGGGCGAGACTCCGTCTCAAAAAACAAAACAAAACAACTTTAACATCAGAGTCACTTGAGGGCTTATTCAAACACAGGCGGCTGGACGCCACCCTCAGCAATTCTGACTCAATAGATCTGAGGTTGGGCCTGGAATTTGGCATTCCTCTTGTAGCACCCTGATCCCTCACCCCTTATTCTCCTGTGCAGTGTCCACTGTGACTAACATGCCACTATTTGCTTAAAGTGCCTGGAGAGAACCAGTGGATAGAAGGGAAAACAAGTATGAAACGAAAAGAAAATGTCTGCATTACCTTCCTTCAAACAAAAAAAAAAAATGTATCTTATAACGAACATATGGTTTGTCCCTGGGGCACACAACCAGTCTTCAGCTAAGCAGGTTTCACTAGACAATATCTCTCCTGTAGGCTGGTTATGGATATTTTCACTGAACAAAAGAATCGAGAAGTAAGGACAGCCTACCCTGACAGAGTGTTAGACTGGTGGACTGATGACAAACATCGTACTCTGTTGCCTCTCAAAGACACTTTTGATTCAACGGCAAACATATACACAGAGGACAGCAGTTTTGAAACATGCAGCATTGGAAACCCCTAAAAGGTGTCATCAGTAGATAGGATTTCCTGGAGTTCCCTCGTCATACAAAGCAGATGTGATAGGATTGACAAAGAAAAAAGAATTTTTTTTTTTTAATTAGAAGTGCCAACACACCTGCAATTTACTCACCTTTACTTTGCATCTATTTTCCATTGTGGCAGAAAAGCTTTCTCTACTTTTTCATATGGGGCCTCTGTTTGCTGTTAACAGAGGTTTCCAGGCAATGTTTTATGTTATGTTATATTTTATTTTATTTTGAGACGGAGGTTCTCTCTTGCTGCCCAGGTTGGAGTGCAATGGTGGGATCTCAGCAAACTGCAACCTCCGCCTCCCGGGTTCAAACGATTCTCCTGACTCAGCCTTTTGAGTAGCTGGGATTACAGGCGTGCGTCACCACGCCCGGCTAATTTTGTATTTTTAATAGAGACGGAGTTTCTCCATGTTAGTCAGGCTGGTCTCGAACTCCCGACCTCAGGTGATCGCCCCGCCTCGGCCTTCCAAAGTGCTGGGATTACAGACGTGAGCCACCGCGCCCGGACCTCAGTGTTTTATTTTAACGAGGAGAATGGAGTGACTGATGCAATACAGGAAAATGAATCAATCGTATGGACTATCAGTAGGGAATGTGTTGATCCTTATTGATTTCGCTCCTTCCGTGTTGAAGACCTCTAATTCCCCGACAGTCTTCGTTCGGTTGTCCAGCGTCCTGCCACTCTCATCTCAAGCGGCTGGAGAGCCACATTTTCTCAGCTTTGGATCGCACTTGTGGCTGTGCTCTCTGCGCAGTTCGACAGGGAGAGAAATCAGTGGACAGATGCTTTGACTCTGGATTTGGCTCAGAAAACAAAAACAACGACCAAAACGAAATGCCCGGGGGGCGGGGGGGGGCTTTTCTGCCTTTCTTCTTCTCAGCCTTTCCTTCTCTTTAATCATAGTACAAAACCGAAGCCAAAGTGAGCCGCCTGTTGATGTGCACGCTTTTGTTTGCTTTCAAGAGACCCTGTTGCGACCTCATTCTTCTTTCTCCTCTTCCTTCTGCCGTCGCAATCGCCTTAGGTGATGTTGAGGCTTACATTATAGAGATGGGAGATAAGTGAAGGCAATCCATTGGGTTACGTTTTTACTCTCTATACGTGCAGAAATAGGATAGAAAAAGGTGAGGAGGCAGAAGGCTATGTTGCTTGAGAATTACATTTAAGCACTGCCAGAGCAAAACCACCATTTGGAGGTGCCGGGGATCGAACCCGGGGCCTCACACATGCAAAGCATGTGCTCTACCACTGAGCTACACCCCCCTCCTGAAAGACTGTTTTGTAATAATTTTCAGGAGGTAACTTTCATTTTCTGAGACTGGCTCCGTGAGCATGCTGGTAGTAGTGGTTAGTATCATGGAGCGCCTTCAGCTGCTCTGAGTAGAAGATACTCGGTACTAATGAGGGGATACAGATTCTTTAGTATACTGTACAGGACTTGAAATGGAAAGCAAAGTATTAGAAAAGTGTCAGATAACCGCCAAAAGAAGTTTCCAATGTGGCTTTAAAACGTTGAGTTGTCAGGATCTCCTTCTTCTGTTATGCTTGGCAAGGAATCAAATTCTGGTTTTTCATTCTTTCGATTTCTTTCAGAGATGACGCAAAGTTATTGAAATTCAGCTTTTTCTTACCTAAAATGCTTCATATTTGTTGTTTACTCAGCCGGAATATTAAAGGTTAGATTTGATTGAGGAAAATCACAGTCAGAAGAAAACCTGAGAGCGATGCACTCAGCATTTCATCTTAAGGGTCTTTAGCTGGTGTGTTGTCCTGCGCCTGTACTCACAGCTATTCCAGAGGCTGAAGCAGGAGGATCACTTGACCTTGGGAGCTGGAGGCTGCAGGGAGCTATGATCACGCCACTGCACTCCAGCTTGGGTGATGGAGTGAGACCCTGTATCAAAATCAAAAAGAAAAGAAAAGAAAAATTTATAAGGTGTGAGTGAAACAACACCTCTAGGGATGACGAGAAGAGTTGAATTATGAGGGTGAGATAAAAAATAAGTAGAAACAGGATTTAAGAGGTACGGGGGAAAGTGGTTTAGAAAAACAAACAGGCTATTGCCAAACAGAAGGAGGTGTAGAAAAGGGGAGTTTTTAACAACTCTTTAAGGAATGGGAGAAAGATTGGAAGATGGAGAAGATAAGTTAGCTTGGCTCATGCTAAATTCGGTGTATCTGTGGGGCACACTGTGAGGATGTTACATGGAGAACTCAGGCAATTGACTCTCCAGCCTGGGGTTTGTGAGCATTAGTAGTAGTAGACATATTGCATAGAGGGTGGATAAAGACTAAAAAGGGTCCTTTTAGATTTGGGAATTACAAACCTATTCACGATATTTGTTTAAAAGAAAAAAAAGCCGGGTGTGGTGGCTCACGCCTGTAATCCCAGCACTTTGGGAGGCCAAGGCGGGTGGATCACCTGAGGTTGCAAGTTCGAGACCAGGCTGGCCAACATGGTGAAACCCTGTCTCTACTAAAAATACAAAAATTAGCTGGGTGTGGTGGTGCATTCCTGTAATCCCAGCTTCTCGGGAGGCTGAGGCAGGAGAATTGCTTGAACCTAGGAGGTGGAGGTTGCAGTGAGTGAGATCATGCCATTGCTCTCCAGCCTGGGCAACAAGAGTGAAACTCTCTCTCAAATAATAATAATAATAATAATAAAGTAAAAAAAAATTTTTTTTAAAGTTTGCTCCTCTATGTTCTTGAACCCTGGTATTTATTATTATTTATCATGATTAGGGCTGTGTTCTTTGAACTACATAAGAAGATGAGAAGAAAATCCATTTCCTGACACCAAATTTCTAGTGACTGTTAACTCTTTCTCATTCTGATTTACTCATATATGAGCCTTTGCCAACACTCATGAAATAACATTGATCCCTTGTAGAACTGGCAGAAAACAGCAGGTTATATGGCAGACTTGTCTTTTCGGTTGGCTGATGGAATTTCTAGAACAAAAATAGGAAGCACTGAATGCTAGGTTTCACTGAATAAGAAACAAGAGAAGTGTTACACACAAAACTAGTGTTTGTGTGTGTGTTTGACTGTCTGTGTGTGCATGTAAATGCTAGGGAGATAATCTTAGCTCTTTGATGCTGCAGAAGTAATATTAGGACAATTTGCAGAAACACTCCTTCATCATTATGTCATGTTGCACCCAGAGAAACCTGGATGTCTACTGGATTCTTGGGAATTCATCATAATATGAAGGTCTGCTTTTTTGTTTGCCTCTTGAAAAGGAGAGAATTTTAAATAATTAAATATCTGTAGCTCTCTTCTGACTAACAACAACACGACTGAAACACAGTTTTTTTTGTAAAAACTGTGGGATGAGCTTATTTAACACAGAATTCCTCTGAGGAATTAAACATTTAATCCTGAAGACAGAACACCCTCATGTGATACATACTCAATTCAGAAAACCTAAAAATATATAAAGTATCTGTTTAAACCTGCACTGTCCAATATGGTTACCATTAGCCACACTGGCTATTGAATGCTTGAAATTGCCCAGTCCAAGTTAAGAGTGTTGTAAGTGTAAAATACATATCAGATTTGGCCAGGCACAGTAGCTTGCGTCTGTAATCCCAGTACTTTGGGTGGCTGAGGTGGGTGGATCACAAGGTCAGGAGTTCGAGACCAGCCTGACCAACATGGTGAAACCCCATCTCTACTAAAAATACAAAAATTAGCCTGGCTTGGTGACACACACCTGAAATCCCAGCTACTTGGGAGGCTGAGGCAGGAGAATTGCTTGAACCTGGGAGGCTGAGGTTGCAGTGAGCCGACATCGGGCCACTGCACTCCAGCCTGGGTGACAGAGCGAGAATCCTTCGCAAAAAAAAAAAAAAAAAAAAAAAATATATATATATGTAAATATATATATACATACACACACCAGATTTCAAAGATGTGTAATACTATTTTTTAAATATAAAATATCTCACTAATAATTTTATAATTGATAGCTTCTTAAAATAAGTTTTTGGATATACAAAGTGATTTAAATATATTATTGAAACTGGACATAAAAGATAGCAACAACAAACACTGGGGACTATGGGGAGGGGTGGGAGGGAGGGCAGAAAGATTTGAAAAGCTACCTCTTGGGTACTATGCCTACTACCTGGGTGATGGGATCAATTGCACTCAAAACCTCATGCAATTTACCCAGCATCATGTAGTATACCCATGTAACAAACCTGCACGTGTACCCCCAAATCTAAAATAAAAATTGAAATTACATAAAAATATAAATATTGACTTTTTTTAATGCAACTACTGCAAAAGGTAACACTACAAAATGGCTGTCATTTAAAACTTGTATTATCTCTTGATTGGACAGAATTGTCTAAAGACAATGTTATCCATTTAGGTGCTGTTCTGGGAGAATCCCAGAAGCAGAGAACACGGAGCATGATCTGCCAGTAATTAAGTTTCATGCTGTGAGTGGACTTGACAGAATGCATTTCTATGCATGATCTCCTTTGATCTTTACAACATCCCATTTTACAAAATCATTATTAACATCATTTTTAAGCCATTGAATGGCAGACAAATCATGCTTGGAATTGCCCTAGGCCTTCCATTTCAACAGAATGTAAAGGAATCTTTACTGCGTTAGGCACAAAACATTCAATGTTACTGTTTGTCTAGTCAAATATTTCTTAATGGAGTAAAACACAAGCTTCTGAGTTGAGAAAGCCTCAGTGAAAGGATAAAGTACCTGATTCCCAGTTTCTGTACAGTCAATGTCCCTAACCCAAGGTTACTTCTCATTTGGTACTAATTTTCCTTTTGCAACTTGCTGCAGTTCTGATAGTGGAGTATTGTAGATTATTGTCTCCTCACAGGGTATGCAGAAGTTAGAGAAAAACAACACTGAAACTGAAGCAGTAATTTGAAAGAAAAAAAATCAAAATGACCAAAAAAAGACCTATTATCCCAACAGAGAATTTCAAGAGAGGAGTTGAAGTGAAAAAGGGAAAATGGGGCACATGCACCTGAGTCTTGACTTTGCTGCCCATTTGCTTTCATTTTCAGTATTCTAGAGCCCCTCATGAATGTTTGATAAAATAATTCATATAGAAATACATATATTTCTTTTTTCCTGGATACAAACATGGAAACAGCTTAAGATTTGGAAATTCTAGACAAGGTTGCCAGGCTAAAGAAATGTCTTCTCAGCAAGAAAATTTAGAATGTTCTTGTAATTGGGCCTGGTGCGATGGCTCCTGCCTGTAATCCAAGCACTCTGGGAGGCCTACCTAGGCAGGTGGATTGCTTAAACCTAGGATTTAAAGACCAGCCTGGGCAACACGGTGAAACCCACAGTCTACAAAAAAAATACAAAAAAAAAAAAAAAAAAAAATTTAGCCAGGCATGGTGGTGCTCGCCTGTAGTCCCATCTACTCAGGGTGCTGACATGTGGAGTCACTTCAGCCTAGAGAGGTTGAGGCTGTAGTGAGCTCTGATTGTATAACTGTACTCCAGCCTGGATGACAGAGTGAGACCCTGCTTAAAAGAAAGAAAAGAAAGAAGAAAGAAAGAAAGAAAGAAAGAAAGAAGAAAGAAAGAAAGAAAGAAAGAAAGAAAGAAAGAAAGAAAGAGAAAGAAAGAAAGAAAGAGAAAGAAAGAAAAAAAAAGTTCTTACAGCACTTTAATAATGGAGTTGACTCAAGATACAAACCCGGGTTTTTCTAATTTCAAAATGTTTCTTGCATACACCACACCCCCATATATATGCTCATACAGTATAATAGTTACTTCACTGTATGTTTCTTTTTTTCATATTTCTTGTGATTTAAAAATAACCCTCGCCCAATACATATAAATAATATCAAATCAAAAATGACTTGTAAATGCCACAGCATATAGCACGTTGGAATTTCTTAGGTTTTAAAACTAATAACTTCCTAAGTTTAAGACTTTAAATAAGGACGGGCTTAGTGGCTCACGCCTGAAATCCCAGCACTTTGAGAGGCCGAGGCAGGTGGATCACCTGAGGTCAGGAGGTCGAGACCAACCTGATCAACATGGCGAAACCCTGTCTCTACTAAAAATACAAAAATTAGCCGGGCATGGTTGCGGGGGCCTGTAATCTCAGCTTACTTGGGAGGCTGAGATATGAGAACAGCTTGAACTCAGGAGGCGGAGGTTGCAGTGAGCCGAGATCGCGCCGTTGCACTCCAGCCTGGGCGACGGAGTGAGACTCCGTCCAAAAACTTTAAATAATTTATGTAATGAGAGCACTTCATGGAAGACTTCAGTGGAATATACAAAGGAGAGAGTGATACAAACATGTACATTACCTTTATCAGACTTTCAAAAACTCCCAAAAATTGGAGATATGTAAGCTTCTGGGATTGGCGTATAAGTGCTGTATAAGGGAGTGATAATTAGGCAGAACTCAAAAGATGCTGGCTGAAACCCAGGGTTGAACCAGGGAACTTTAAGATCTTCAGTCTAACGCTCTCCCAACTGAGCTATTTCAGCTACTCTAAGCACACACCCTTAGTCATTTCTTCAAAATATAAAAACGTCATTTGTAGAGTGAGTGTATTTTCTAATGCCTAATTCTGTTTTGTTCAATATCAATACAAAAATTAGCCAGGGGTGGTGGTGCGCGCCTGTAATCCCAGCTACTAGGGAGGCTGAGGCAGGAGAATTGCTTGAACCCGGGAGGTGGCGGTTGCAGTAAGCCGAGATCACGCCACTGCACTCCAGACTGGGCGATAGAGGGAGATTGTCTAAAAAAAATAAATTAAATAAATAAAATAAGTGACAGGAAAAGAAAGAAAAGAAGGATCTCTTATGTCCTCCAGTACATTCTATCTCTTCCTTAGAGTTTTTAAAATTGTGGTCTCCACACTGGTGCATAACAACTCTTTTTTGTTGTTGTTTTCGAGACAGGGTCCCGCTCTGTTGCGTGGGCTGGAGTGCAGTGGTGCAATCTCGGCTCGCGGCAACTTCTGCCTCCCCGGCTCAGTGGATCCTCCCACTTCAACGGAGGGAGAGGGAGTCTCGCTCTGTCGCCCAGGCTGGAGTACAGCGGCGCGGAGTAGCTGGGATTACAGGCGCGCGCCACCACCCCTGGCTAATTTTTGTGTTGATATTGAACAAAAAAGAATTAGGCATTAGGAAATACGCCCACTTTACAAATGAAGATTTTTATATTTTGAAGAAATTGCTAACGGCACGTGCTTAGAGTAGCCAAAATTGCTCAGTTGGGAGAGCGTTAGACTGAAGATCTAAAGGTCCCTGGTTCGATCCCGGGTTTCACCAGGTTTGTTTGGTTTTTTTAGTTCTGCCTAATTATCACTCCCTTATACAACACTTGCACGCCAATCCCAGAAGTGTATATATCTCAATATAAATTCTTACGTTAAGTCAAAAGTGTAAAAACATTGAACTTCTCTGGTTAGACATAGGAACAAATTCAGATGTTTACAGAATTTCGGAAACAACCCTCTCTGGAATGAGAAAATTGCTGAGGCCGACGATGATTTGCAAACTGAATTTTAATAAAACCTTTTCTATGTCTTAACAGTTTTCAAACTCAATCTCCTGAGAGTCGAGGCTTTCTATTTTTAGCCAAAATACGGTGGGAGGGTCAATTAGGATATATTTTTCAATTATTTCCTCAAAAAAAGTTTTAGATTCTCTTACAGACTTTTTTCTCCCCTTGTAAGGTCTGAGCCTTCTCAGACAGGAAACAACATTCCTCTACTCTAGTTTTATCCCCGCCACGCGTCTCTCCCCAGCTGAGTGCAGCCTCAGCCTATGGTGCAAAAATGTTTAAAGCTGAGCATACAGAGAAGGAAAAGAAGAAAAAAAAAATAGAAAGTGATGTGGAAAGATCTACATATGAATCACAACACAGTGTTTAAAATGTGCGTAAACGGGTCTAGGAGTGCGCTGCACTATTGTGAAAAGTTCATTCTGAAAGCTGGGCGCAGTGGCTCATGCCTATAATCTCAGAACTTCGGGAGGCCGAGGCGGACGGATCACTTGAGATCAGAAGTTGGAGACTATCCTGGTGAAAATGGTGAAACCCCGTCCCTACTAAAAATACAAAAATTAGCCGGGCGTGGTGGGGGGCTCCTGTAATCTCAGCTAATCGGGAGACTGAGGCAGGAGAATCGCTTGATCCCAGGAGGTGGAGGTTGCAGTGAACCGAGATCGCGCCACTGCACTGCAGCCTGGGCGACAGAGCGAGACTCCGTCTCAAAAAAACAAAAACAAAAAACAAAAACAAAAGCAAACAAAAAACAAAAACAAACAAACAAAAAGTAAACGGGAGGAGCCGAGCGCCAGCTTGCGGGGAGACGGAAGAGGCGGGGTGCCGTGAAGTGGAGGAAGCAAAGGACAAAAGGGAGAGAGGTAGAGGGCAAGGAAAAGCATCCTCAAGATTATTAGTACTTGGATAGACTGGATGGTAGAGTGAGTCTGATCGCCACATCTCTCCGTCCCTTCCTCTGGATAGGAGGGAAGAGAGGTTCCTTTTTGTCCCTAGGGGGGTAGGCTCGACCAGGAAGGGGACCTGGTTCGTTTCGCCCAGGCTGGCACGGCTTCAAGAGCGCCTCACCTCTCTTTACGTTGCTGGACAGACCAGTTGAGCTCTTTGGGTATGCACGTAATGTCGCATTTTTATTTTCAGTTCAGGAAATGCTGATATTGGAGCTTCTGAGGGAGCTGCAGTGATTTCCCGATTTCCTGCGCGCCTGTGTGGAAAGTTAGAAGCGGAATCTACCGGCAGCTTTGAGACTAAGCATGACGGTGGAAACAGCTAATTTTATTAGCTTTTGTCTGAAATGCAAAAGATGAGAAAGAAAATTCCCGTTTGTTTGCTCCACATACTTCTCTTAGAAGCCTATGGAAAGCCAACTTTCCCCCTGAAGAAACTCCTCCTGGCATTTGCAAAGAGCTCCTTTACTCCTCTTGTCCAGCTCTTCTCTCAAAAGGACTCTGCAGAGCTGGACAGCGGCTGCGGAAAGGCGAAGTTGTTGTACCCGAGCGAGTTAGAGAAATGCCACACTTTGAGACGAATTTAAGAGTCCTTTATTAGCCGGCGACCAAAAGAGGACTAACGCTCGATATTCTCTCGGCCCCGAGGAAGGGGCTTGATTTTCCTTTATACTTTGGTTTAGAAAGGGGAGGGGGAGCTTAGTTGCAGCAATTCTACAGAAGTAAAAGCATGCAAAAAAATTAAAAAGACAAATGGTTACAGGTAAACAAACAGTTCCAGGTGCAGGGGCTCTAAATCTATCATAAGGCATTAGGTATGGGGGTTCTGCCAGACACAAACTCAAGGCTTTATGGTGTTATCTCTTGAGTGAAATCCTGGGAACTTCGTGCATTGTTTGCTTCAGTACCTTATCAGTTAATTGGACTCTGATATGTTGAGAGTCAGCTTACACAAGTTAACTGCTTGAGGAAGGGGGTGGGTAAGGAGTCCTTGATGTTTTGTAAATGAAGGAGCCAAATGGAGTTCGTCCAGCTTTCTCAGCTAAGGGACAGCCTATTCATGTGGAAATAAGGCTAGGTGATTAACGGAGAGTCTAAAAACAACGTTAGGTATTACATTCCCCACTTGTGTTTTTGGGGAATCAAATCGTTGATTCCTCAGTTATAATAAGGGGGTCATATTGAGTTCTAAGATACATAAATTTGACAGAAGCTATGCGTTGTTTTACAAAGTTAAGAAACTAATTTAATATACACGGCCTGAAAATTAAGCTTAATAGTAGGATGAGGAGGGGTCCAACTAACCTAGTGACTAGAGTAGTTAGCCATGGATTCCAGTTAAACATGCTTTGATACCAGGGGATGTTATTTTCTCTTTCTTGTTGGCATCTATCTAGATTTTCTCGAACCTTTTGGAGAGTATCTTTTATGACTCCAGACTGATTGGCATAGAAGCAACAACTTTCTCCTAGAGCTGCGCATAAACCTCCTTGAGAGAGGAATAGTAGATCTAAGCCTCAGCGGTTTTGAAGAACTACTTCAGCTAGAGACTCTACCTGGGAATGTAACAAATCTACGACAGACTGGAGGTTACTTAAATTAGCATCTACCTGTTGAGATAGGGCCATTATTCCAGTTTCTCCTTGAACTAGGGCTGCTGATCTGGCTATGCTAAGGCTGGCCAAGAAGGGAACTAGGAGCAGGGCAGCTAGCGAAACCTGGGATCTAACTCAGGGGGAGAAATGAGAAGTTGTCCTTCTGGTCCACTGTACACGTATACCCAGGGAAGTACATGAACTTACATGCACAGGAGAGGTCCTGGTTCAGTTCCATTAATGCAGTGAGTGAGACTTGAAGTGCAGGCCAACCAGGTATTGTTAGGCACTTGGTAAGAGACTGAGGTGCTTATGGAAGTAAGCAGGGACTGATTACAAGTAGTCTGAAAGGGAGAAGCAGATAAGTTATACCCGGTACTAATTAGACAAGAAGCGTTTCCAGACACATCCCTTAGTGTGAGGGCACAGGGTCGTGCACGACAAGATAAAGGGCCACTTTTAAGTGTGGCCTCTACTCCTAAGCCTACATAATAAGGGGGTTTTGCTTTTAGACATAGCCAACAATCTTGGGCTAGTTTAGGCTGGGTGAGGTTAAGAAGGTGATGTACCCTGCCTAGTATGGACATCAGGCTGTGTTGAAGATATTGTTGCTGCAGCTGGGGTTTAGGAACTAGGAATGGTGGCGGAACAGTTAAATCGACCTTGTCAGGGTGTTTTTGGAACATAGGGTCGCCTAGATCAGTTAAAGGCCTGATTGGCTTGGGTGGGCTCCATGAGACCAGGATTTTCTTCTGGATGGCGAACATAGTCTTAACATCAAATCCTGGGATATAAAGCCTTAATCCTTATGACATGCCATAATACCATCGAGCTGAATTAGGGTCATGGACAGTTATAGTAAGAGGATTACAATTTTTTCTAGTACACAATCTAGGATGGGAAGCACGACTTATGGAAAGAGTTGAAGATCCGGTTGATCTCCCAGAGTTAAGTGTCTAAAGTTACACGTGTCCAATCAGGGCAGAAAAACTGGTAAATATCTCAACAGCTAGAGTCAGGGTGATTTCCAGGACAGAGGTAAAAGTCAACATTCTGAAGTCCTTTTTCCGCACCTTTGGAGCTCCCACATCCAGTCTGGCTCCCGGAGTGTCCAAATCCTGCCAAAAGGTCAACGCTTCCTGCCCCCTTGACTGTCAGATTGTGTTACTCTTTGTAGGTACGGGCTGGTTCTGGGAACAGTGCACATAAATCAACTGCAAAGGAGACTTCCTTGGAGGTTCCTGCCCTCCAAGTACTGTTTGCGAATATACGTCTTGTCATGAAATAGGTGAGAAGAAGGGAATAGGAAGGTGCAGAGGACATGACAGGCAAAAACCAAAAAGAGAAGTAAATAAAAAGAATTAATCTAATGGCTTCACCCGACTTAGGCACAGTTTTAAGGGGCCTGACCCAGGCTTGGGGACCTATGTTTCTTGCTGGGCTTTGTTGGCCTTTTTGATGCGGGAGTGACGAATCCAAGCAGGAATGCCATCCACCTTCAGAGCTGTTGGCATGGTGAGGATGACAGTATGAGGTCCTATGTAAGCAGGAGTGAGTCCTTCTCTCTGGAACTTTTTAACAAACACCAGGTCACCTGGCTGGAATGAGTGGCAGGGCCCCATCTGGTCAGGAACCGGATTGGGATGGGCTCCTCGGAAAAGTGGCTGGATGATATCTTGTACCTGTTGGAGAGACTTTAGCTACTGTAATAAATTAGCTTGTGATATTTCTGCCAAATTGGTATCCCTTAGCTTAGGCAAGATAGGTGGAGCCTTCCTATACATGATTTCAAAATGTGAAAACCTAGCCCAGTAAGGAGTGCACCTTACTCTAAGAAAGGCTAAAGGAAGGAGCCTTACTCAGTTCTCACCGGTCTCTAAGATTAACTTTGTAAGAGTGCTTTTTAGGGTGCGGTTCATGCGTTCTACCTGCCCAGAGCTCTGGGGTCGATAGGCACAATGGAGCTTCCATTGAATGTGTAATGCCTTACTGACTGACTGAGCTATGGACGAGGTGAAGGCCAGTCCGTTATCAGACCCTATGGCAGCAGGCAGCCCATGTCGAGGGATGATTTCATTGAGTAAAAACCTAACTACCATGGTGGCAGTCTCATTCTTGGTGGCAAATGCCTCAGTCCATACGGAGAAGGTGTCTACTAGTACTAGAAGGTATTTGTACCTAGCCCGGTGTGGTTTTATTTCTGTAAAGTCAACTTCCCACCTTTCTCCTGGCAAGTTTCCTCAAAGACGGTGGCCTGGGCTGGGTTTAGCACCTTGCTTGGCGTTTACCTGGGCACAAGTTGTACACCGGAGAGCTGCTTGATCTGCTAAGCTTTGAAGATAGGGAATCTTAAAATGGCTCTAGAGGAGCCGGGCCAGTTTTGCTCCTCCTAAATGGGTGGTAGAATGCAGGCGACTGATTAAAGTTTCCCCGAGAGAGCTCGGGGTATGAAGATTCTGGAGTCAGGAAGAATCCACCAACCTTCCTGATTTTTATTGGCCCTGAGATC
Organism: Homo sapiens; assembly: GCF_000001405.40. Lineage (NCBI taxonomy): Eukaryota > Metazoa > Chordata > Mammalia > Primates > Hominidae > Homo > Homo sapiens. The sequence continues at coordinate 35,339 of NT_167248.2, forward strand.
TGAAGCTAGTTTTTTTTCTTCCGTTGAGTACGCGGGATTGTAGGGCAGATCTGGCTGTGGAAAGGAGACTGTGGGTAATAAGTTTAGAGGCATGACTGGAAGTCTGGCTGCATCCCGGGCCGCTGAGTCAGCTTTCTGGTTACCACGGGCAATGGCCGTGTTTTCTCCTGGATGTCCTTTGCAGTGGATTACAGCCACCTGCTGAGGGAGCCATACGGCTTCAAGCAGGGCTAGAATTTCTTCTTTGTTTTTGATAGTCTTTCCTGCTGAGGTGCCCACGCTCCTGATAGATGGCTCCATGTACATGTACAGTAGTTAAAGCATACCTGCTGTCAGTGTAAATGTTAATAAGTTTATCCTTACCCCATCGGAGAGCCTGAGTGAGGGCGATCAATTCAGCTTTTTGTGCCGAGGTATTTGCCGGTAAAGCCTGGGCCCATAGCACATCTGTCTTTGTAGTAATGGCTGCACCAGCCTTTCGTACTCCCTGTTTTGAGAAAGCTGCTACCGCCTGTAAACATGGCGGCGTCCACCTTCTTTAGGGGCACATCTTGGAGATCAGGTGGGCCAGTTTCTGTAGTTTCTAACAGTTCCTGGCAGTCATGGACAGGTGTAGTGAAGTCTGGATCAGGGAGTAAAGTAGCTGGATTTAAACACCTTCTGGGAGAGAAAGTCAAACGAGGCTGATCTAACAGTAAACTCTGATACTGCAGGATGCGAGCATTTGACATCCATTTGCCAGAAGCACTTCGTAATAAAGTCTCTACGGCATGAGGAGCGGTAAAGGTTAAATTTTGACCTAGAGTTAACTTATCAGCCTCTTAGACTAGGCTTGCTGTTGCCACTATGACTCGCAGACAAGTTGGCCATCCAGAGGCCACAGGATCCAGCCTCTTAGACAAATAGGCCACTGGGCATCTCCAGGGTCCTAAAGTCTGAGTAAGCACCCCCTTAGCAACTCCCTGGCTTTCGTGGACAAACAGGTGAAACGGCTCTGGGATATTTGGGAGGGCTGGAGCAGGGGCTTCAGTTAATGCCTTTTTCAGATTTTGAAAAGCCTGTTCTTCTGTGTCCATCTAAACTAGCCGGCTATTCCCTCCTGTAGCAGTGTACAGGGGCTTCGCAATCTCCGCGAACCCCGACATCCATAGGCGACAGTATCCTACGGCCCCCAGGAATTCACGTACCTGTCTCTTGGTGGTGGGAGTGGGGATTCGTAGGATGGCTTCTTTCCGGGCACTGGTGAGTGCCCTTTTTCCTTGGCTTATGTCGTATCCTAGGTAGGACACTGTGGGAAGACAAAGCTGGACCTTCTTGGCTGAGACTCGATACCCGAGCTCCTGAAGGAGGTAAAGTAGGTCCCTAGTATGTTGCAGGCAACTGTCTTTAGTTTCAGTAGCTAATAAAAGGTTGTCCACCTACTGAAGAAGAGTACAGTTAAGGTGACTAGCTTGGAATGGTATAGGATCCTGCTGGAGGGCCTCTCCAAAAAGGGTGGGGGAATTTTTAAAACCTTGAGGTAACTGAGTCCAAGTCAATTGGGTAGTGTCTCCTGAGCTAGGATCTGTCCATTCAAAAGCAAAGATCAGTTGGCTCTTGGGGGCCAGAGAAATAGCAAGGAAGGCATCCTTTAGGTCAAGGACAGTGTATATACTGTAAGTTCTGGCGGGAGCAGGTTGAGTAGAGTATAAGGATTGGGGACAGTTGGATGGACAGTAACAGTCTGTTTGTTAACTTCCCTTAAGTCCTGTACCGGCTGGTAATCATTCGTTCCGGGTTTCTGGACCGGCAAAAATGGAATATTCCAGGCGGACTGACACGGTGTGAGTATGCCAGCTTGTAACAGTCATTGAATATGGGGATTAATCTCCTGTCTAGCCTGCTGACTCATAGGATATTGCTTTACCTGGACAGGCAAGGCAGTGGCCAGGAGTTCTACAACCACTGGTGGATGGTGTTTAGCCAGTCCTGGGGGGTTTGACTGGCCCAAACTCTGGGAAAGAGTGTCTGTAAGTCCAACAGGAGAGGATTAGTATTATTTTCCAGTGGTTGTGATGGTGACACTAAAAGATTTTCCTCTGACAGAGGGGTAGTTAGCAGGAGTTGGGCAGTGGGGGGCGCTGTATTTCCTAGCATGACGTTAGCCTGCTGGGCTGAGAAGGAGATAGAGGCCTGTAACTTATGGAGCAGATCTCCTCCGAGGAGAGGAAAAGGACACTCTGGAACCACAAGAAATGACTGTCTCACTCTTTTCTGTCCCAAGCTCACTTCTCGTGAGTGTGTGACAGGATATTCCTGAATAGCTCCAGTAGACCTTTGTACAGCCACTCTTTTATTAGAGACACTGCCCAAGGGGGTCTGTAGTACCGAGTGCTCCGCCCCGGTAGCTACTAGGAAGCGTACAGGCTGGCCCCTCACTGTAGCGGTCACCGTGGGCTCCTGGGGGCCAAGAGAGAGGGAGTCCTGGCTCCATCAGTCATCAGACTCTTCCGTTGCGGGGAGGGTGAGGGCCTTTTTCTTTTCTGATTTTTCCTCTGGCCGTAGTGGGCATTCCTTTTTCCAGTGCCCAGTCTGCTTGCAATAAGCACATTTGTCCTTTTCTAGGGGAGCCTGTTCTCCTCTTTTGCCCTTCTGGTAGGGACCTGAGGTTCCCTGGCTATTCCTCTGTGATGGGGGCCTTCCCTTCTTGACCTCTCCGATGGCCGCAGCTAAGATTTTTGCTTGTCTTTTGTATGCTTTATCAGCTGCTGCCTGTGCTGTTTGTTTTCTTTTTTCAAACTCTCGATTGTCAAAAACTTTTTGGGCTATCTCTAAAAGCTGAGTGATATTCATCCCAGGAAATCCCTCCAGTTTTTGGAGTTTTCTTTTAATATCAGGGGCTGCCTGAGCCACAAATGCCAAATTAAGAGCACGGCTATTTTCGGGAGCCGCCGGGTCAAAAGAGGTGTAAGTCCGATAGGCCTCCTGGAGGCGTTCTAAAAACGCTCCCGGTGACTCATCAGGCCCTGTGCGACTTCAGTCATCTTAGACAAGTTTATGGGTTTCTGAGCAGCTCCTTTGATACCTGCAAGGAGATACCGGTGAAAATCGTCCAAAGCTTTCTTCCTACCCGAGGAATTCGTGTGCCAGTTAGGCCGGGTAGAGGGAAAGACCTCCTCAAGAAAGTCTCTAGCTTCCTCCTCTGGCCTATTGGCTGATGTGAGGAAATACTTTCTGGCCTCTCTTCGGATATGTTCCCTCTCTTCAGAGGTAAAAAGGGTCAAAAGGAGCTGCTGACAGTCATCCCAGGTGGGCCGATGGGTCCGGAGCACAGACTCCATCAGTGAGATCAAGACCTGGGGCTTTTCAGAGAAGGGAGGATTATGAGCCTTCCAGTTACAGAGGTCAGAAGGAGAAAAAGGGACATAAACCAAGAATGGGGCTGAGCGCTCATCACCCGGAGGGACTTGTGCTTCTTTCCGCGGTAGAGGGGGGGCTACTTCCTCCTGCCGCGGCCGCAATCGAGAGGCAATAGGCGGCGAGCCTACAGGGGATGTAGTCGAGGAGACAAGGGAAGATTCTAAGGGAGCAGGACGGTTATAAGGCGGCGGAACTGAGTGGGGGAGACTCTCCTCTTCTTCAGAGGGAGGCAGTACAGGGTGAGCCGAACAGACTGAGGGTCCAGGCGGAAGTGCGGTCTGGCTCAAAACGACCTTGGAGGCAGAATTATGAATGGCGCATGAGCGGAGCCATGGTGGGGAGCTTCTGACCAAACTCAGCCATTGATCAATGTGGGGAAACTGATCGGGGTGGCCGGGAGTTCCAGCAACAACCCGCCACACAGCCTGAACAATTGCTAGGTTCAGTGACCCTACTGGGGGCCATCCGACTCCAAACTTTGGCCATTCTACTTCGCAGAGTGTCCGGAGTTTGCCTTTTTAAAGGCGGACCCCATAATCCTCTGAGAAGCCTAGAGAAAAATTCTGCAGCATACATTGGAGGGGGCTCCAATCCTTACAGGGCCGGGAAGAGGAGTTTCCCATTTTTGGAGGCAGTTTGACAAGGTTTGAGCAGGGATATCAAACCCAGCACGGACAGAAAAACTCATTCCCTAGGGGGCTGGAGTATCGGAAGAACAGAATTAACATAACCAGAAGGAGCCGAAAGACAACAATAGCTCACACTACTTGCCACAGGACGGTTAACTAGCTTTAAGATTGAGGGAGGTCGGGCGCAGTGGCTCACGCCTGTAATCCCAGCACTTTGGGAGGCTGAGGCGGGCGAATCACGAGGTCAGGAGATCGAGACCATCCTGGCTAACACGGTGAAACCCCGTCTCTACTAAAAATACAAAAAATTAGCTGGGTGTGGTGACGGGTGTCTGTAGTCCCAGCTACTTGGGAGGCTGAGGCAGAAGAGTGGCCTGAACCTGGGAGGCGGAGCTTGCAGTGAGCTGAGATCGCGCCACTGCACTCCAGCCTGGGCGACAGAGAAGACTGTCTCAAAAAAAAAAAGAATAATTATCCAAGATTGAGGGAGGAGGACTAGAGGCCAACCTTAGGTCTCCTTGGCTGGATGGACCTAGGCGTCCTCCCTCTTTCCCTGGACCTGTAGCCTAAATACTTTTGGTGTCTCCACGACTCAAAGGCAAATAGCTCAAATTCGGCCTTTTCTTTTAAGAGTTTGAGGAGTGAGAGCAGAGCCAAGTCCTGGAGACGCTGAACTTGCTGTGACACGGGAAAACGAGATGTACGGGGTAAGTGGTAGGGATGAGGAGGAAAAAGGGCCACTCGGATCTTTCCTAGGGTAGGAGAGTAGCCACAGAGGAATAGAATAAGGGTTTAAACGAAGTAAAGTGGTACGGGCGTAGGTTTCTCTGCACAGTGCCGTATTTAAGGGCACAGAAAAAGTTACGGGATGACAAAAGAGGTGAGCAAGGAGGTCTGCAGGGTGGCTATTTTGAACCTACCACCGGTTTAGTCTGGAGGTGGCCCAGTCACTTGGACATGGGGTATGACAATCTAAATGCCAGCAATCTTCATGGTGCCAGAAATCCCAAACAGGCGAATGTTCCTCACACTCGTTCCCGTTCCCGTAACAACACCTGATTTGTTTCTGACAGAAAAGGCAGGACTGGGATGGCCAGCCTAAGCGATTGATGAGAAATTTAACCTCCTGTGATAAAAAATCAACACTAAAGACCTTGAAGAAGTTCCTGCCCAGACGTCTTGGGCAGTATCGATGACCTGACATACGAAACTTTGACAACCACTAAACAGGACAATAGACACCGAGCAGGACAACAAACACAAAACAAACAATAGACCCTTGGGTATATAAACAATTATGGTAGGTTTTTATTAGACAGACAAGGGGAGGGGGTCCCATGATGGGATCAGTCAGATGCCTGCCTGGCCGCTCCCCCTGAGGGGACTTGGGCTTCTCTTAGCATTGGCAGGCAGGTATAAACCCCCGGCTCGGATGGAGCTATGCCCGATGCTGCCTTAAGCCTTATGAGGTCGCCACGGAACGGCAGGTGAGGGCCCACTCGAACTCCGTAGCTTTCGCCGTGGAGCTACAAACTGGGGATCCAGAGGCAGGCCCCTGGACTCCTCAGTCGTGCACACATTCACAAAGAGTTTATAACAATTTTTGTTATTTCCCGTTCTAAACAAAGGTCCCAGAAGACCTGAACGAGAGGAGGAGAAGAGATAGAGCAAGGGGGAGAGAAAGAAAAAGAGGAGGAGAGAGTGAGAGACTAGTCTTAATGGAGAGGCCGGCCTGCCAGAAACCAGGGCTCTATCCTCCAGCGTCCTGGAGTATGGATAGAGTCAAAGAGAGGGACACCGTCGTCAGGGCTGCCTCCCTCTCACCAAACCAGAACCAAAAGGCGCCTAACAGAAAAACCAGGGCTCTGTCCTCCAGCGCCCTGGAAAAGCGGGCAGTGTCAAAGACAGGGATGCCCTCGTCAGGGCTGCCTCCCTCTCACCAAACAGAAGTCAAATCTAACTTACCTGACCCCGGGGTCAGAAGCTGAGGACTCAGAGGTTGAATTTTGTGGGCACACACACACGGTAGTCGATCCGCTGTCCTCCGGAAGACGGTCGCCTTTCGGGGACCTGGAAAATTTTTTTTCAGGTGGCTCCTCGCCTATAAGCCGGCCGTCCCTCCGGGGGAGCCCGGAGCTAGCCCGGCTCTCGCCCAGTGGCGAATATATCTCGCTGGGGCTTCCAAATGTTGTACCCGAGCGAGTTAGAGAAACGCCACACTTCGAGACGAATTTAAGAGTCCTTCATTAGCCGGCGACCGACAGACGACTAACGCTCGAAATTCTCTCGGCCCCGAGGAAGGGGCTTGATTTTCCTTTATACTTTGGTTTAGAAAGGGGAGGGGGAGCTTAGTTGCAGCAATTCTACAGAAGTAAAAGCATGCAAAAAAATTAAAAAGACAAATGGTTACAAGGAAACAAACAGTTCCAGGTGCAGGGGCTCTAAATCTATCATAAGGCGTTAGGTATGGAGGCTCTCCCGGACACAAACTCAAAGCTTTATGGTGTTATCTCTTGAGCGAAATCCTGGTAACTTCGTAAATTGCTTGCTTCAGTACCTTATCAGTTAATTGGACTCTTTGATATGTAAGAGTCAGCTTACACAAGTTAACTGCTTGAGGAAGGGGGTGGGTAAGGAGTCTTTGACGTCTTGTAAATGAAGGAGCCAAAAGGAGTACTTCCGGCTTTCTCAGCTAAGGAAGAGCCTATTCATGTGGAAACAAGGCTAGGCGATTAAGGGAGAGTCTAAAAACAAGGTTAGGTACTACAAAGTCGCGGTAAAATCGGTGTTAACTACGTGTGCAGCCACCTTTTCCTTAGTGCTATTCCTGAAGGAAATAATGTATACAGTGATCTATTTCCAAGACAAAGTGCCTTAAATTGGCTTAGGTCAGCAAAGTACAGAAGAAACAGGGTATACTAGGTCCCTGCTTGGATAGCGGATGCCTGCTTGTCGCCCCCCTCTTTCCTCCCCCTTCCCATCCCCCATCCTTGGTGGCCTTCACCCAAACAAAAACAGTTTAGTCTAAGATATAAGTTTACTAGTCTGCAAAATAGCTCACTTTGTCTGTTCTTATCAGCCTGCCCAGCTACTTAGGTCATAAGTCAAACACTTAAAGAGCCCTTGAGCTAACCAGGATTGCAATGCATTGTGGGCTGCAACAAAATGCAGCAAGACAACCCTAAAAAAGAGACACCTAAAGCCTTTGCCTAACAATCAGTAGGCAAACGCCGAGAAAATTGTAACCCCATAGCACTCAGCCTATGAGGAACCTGGGGAGGGACTTGCGCACTAGGGGACAAATTGCTTGTTGAAACTGTTCTGGGTGTGCCTGCACGCCAGACACCCGATCTTGATCTCTCAAGACCGTCATTAAAAGTCTCACTTTCGCTGTTCTCCGGGTCTCTGAGTCCATTCTTTGGGTTTAGATGGATGAGTTTATTTCTCACATAACAGCTGCAGAGGTGGTACAGGTGAATCCCTCTCAAGTCAAGTGGGTTAACCTCAAAATTGACTTAAGGGGTGGTTTGTGATCGCCTGGTAGATGGTGGACGGTTACAGCTTTTAGAAAGTGAGTAAAAGAGATGATGCATACAGAAGCCCCACTGGGTTGCTTAGCTTCTGCACATGGAGAAAGAGGCTGCTTTTCTGCCTTCTAGGTGTTTAGTAACTTAATTTTTAATCCTTTGATGAAATAGAGTGGAAAATAAAAGGAGATTTTCTTTTAACAAAATAGTGTTAAGATGCTTGCCAAGTATCCCCCTGTGAATTTCTGCTTAGCACTGTGATATCAGAATTAGAAATTGTGCAGGGTTCTAATCTGGAGATATGGGATGTTCAGTAGCTAAGAAGGAAGTTATTCCTTGAAAGTAAGTACAGTGAGGTAGAAAAGGATCCATTGGGATTGGGAGAATAAAAGTTCATTATTTTTATTTATTAAAAAAAACAAAACAAAACAAAGAAATGAGGTTTTGGCTGGGTGCAGTGGCTCACGCCTGTAATCCCGGCACTTTGGGAGGCCAAGGTGGGCAGATCACGAGGTCAGGAGATTGAGACCAGCTTGGCCAACATGGTGAAACCCCATCTCTACTAAAAATACAAAAAATTAGCCAGGCGAGGTGGCAAGTGCCTGTATTTCCAGCTATTCAGGAGGCTGAGGCAGGAGAATTGCTTGAACCCAGAAGGCGGAGCTTGCAGTGAGCCAAGATCGCTCCACTGCAGTCCAGCCTGGGCAACAGAGTGAGACTTCATCTCAAAAAAAAAAAAAAAAAAAAAAAAAAAAAAAAAAAAAAAAGAAAGAAAGAAAAAAGAAAAAAAAAAGAAGAAACGAGCTTCTACCCTAGATGGATCTTGGACTCTGGAGTTCAGAGAGCTTGCCATTTCAGACCAGAAACTTCCTTAAAGAACCAAGAGAAGTAATTTTCTCCCTGCTAAATTTCAGCTGAGGTGATTGAGATCTTTTCCTCATTTGTCATTATATTTGTCATTTGTCCTTATGTTTGTAGTTAAATAGCTTGGATTAAGTTTCAGAATTTGTCGGTCTCTAATGGAAAAAGTGACCACCAGCACATCACCAGCAATCATCAGCCACTTGTAGTGGAATCTTTTAGTGAAAGCTTGCAGGACTTTTGCAACCTGGGTGAGGAAGCAGTTAGAAGAAAGTAAGAAACGCAAAAGAACTTGAGCCTTAACCTTCTGATCTGAAATCAGACTTAGGTCACAGAATTCAATGGTTTCTGACTATTTTATTTAAACTGGAAATCGGCGGGATGGCAAGGAATACTACTTGCTTCTATAGTGTGTGATCCACATTAGTGATTTGTGGAACTAATTAGGACAGGGGGATAATTCTAAGCAACAAAGAACTGTAAGTGAATGAACACGAATTATCTCCCTGTATGAGAGAGAAATGCAGAGGCCAACACAATTCCCTTGAATAGGTGGGGAATATCATGGAGAACTTCCTAAGGTGGCTCATAGGAAAAAAAAGAGTGGAAATACTGGAAGTTGAACGCAGGACCTCACGCATGCTAACCACGTGCTCTGTCCCTGAGCTATACCCCCGCAGGAGATCAGGAGCTTGGGAAAATGTTTTGGTGATCTCCGTTGCCTGAGTCTGTGCTCTGTGTCATCAAGACAATCACTGTATGTTTCCAATTCCACTGTTTATGAATTCCCGACACTAAGCGCCCTCTCTCTCTCTCTCTCTCTCTCTCTCTCTCTCTCTCTCTCTCTCTCTCTCTCTCGGGCATGGCTACACCAGGAGAAAGATATCTTGTGGTAAAAACAAAGGCATTGTTCCTGATGTTCCTGATTTGTGGTCAGTCCAAGATCAACTCACCCCAAAGTGGTCTCCCCATCATATTAGACTTTCTGGAGCATAATTCCATTCTATCCCTTGAGTGACCTCCGGCATACAACATTCTCTTGCAAATTTTCTGATTATAACTTTTTTCTTTTGACTCTGGGAAGCATCTTAGTGTTTCCCATAGTCAAAAAATAAAACTCAGGTATGTGTGAAAATACCCTAAAATTCAGTACAAATAGAGGCAAATTAACTGCATTTCAAAAGAATAACATAACCACATTGAAGAGGAAAGAACTGATATAAGAAAATGGTTTACACAGATTGTTGTTCTAATTGTGAGATCAAAAAGAACATCGAACAAATCTTAAACTCTATGTATCAGGATTATTTTTTGTAGAGTGAGGGCTGTAGCAATTCTGATATTTTGTGTGAATTTTAGGATTGGGAAATCGAGTGTCTGTTGTTGGAAACAGACTCTCACTGTGGGAGAAGAAGGAAGGTAAAGAATAGTCCTGTTGATACTGATGGGAATTAGAGGCATCAGTATGAAATTGTACATATGAAATTGTAAAATTTCCCCACAGATCTATCTGCTAACTGGGCCTAGAAGAAATGATACCTCAGAAGCAATGAGCAAAGATAACTCTGTATCTTGATTTTCAAATACCATTCCCTACTAAAAGGAACCAGAGATACTAATAGAAAGTAGCTATTAGTGTCAACTACACAGACTCCAGGACTGTGCCAGGGAAACTGCAAAATGAACCTAAGATATCTTGCCTTGCCAGAATGTAAGTGCTCAGAAATGACGGGGGTGATTTAAAAGGACACAGAAGCCAGCTTGAAGGGAATCTCACTGGCCAAATCTGACACACTTTTAGCATCAGTGATGACAATAACTGATTATCATTCTTGGGAACTTAAACAAATAAATATGGAGGACGGGACGATTTTCCTTACAGTGGTTTGCCAAATGATAAATGTGAAAGTGAGTGCCGGGCGCAGTGGCTCACGCCTTTAATCCCAGCACTTTGGGAGGCTGAGGCGGGTGGATCACGAGGTCAGGAGATCGACACTATCCTGGCTAACACGGTGAAGCCCCCTCTCCACTAAAAATACAAAACCTTGGCCGGGCGTGGTGGCGGGTGCCTGTAGTCCCAGCTACTCGGGAGGCTGAGGCAGGAGAATGGCGTGAACCCGGGAGGCGGAGCTTGCAGTGAGCCAAGATTGCGCCACTGCACTCCAGCCTGGGCGACAGAGCGAGACTCCGTCTCAAAAAAATGAACAAAGAAACAAAGTGAGGATAAAATTTAAAAATCCCCATTTAAACAATACCATCAGAATGATGATAGATGCAGGCAAAATTTGTAAGTTAATGTTAAAGTATAGGTAAAAATTTGATGAGGATCAGGATATTTACGTAGTCTCAGAGTATTTCCCTGTAGATTATTTATTAATTACAATGAGGAAAATGATAATTTTTCAGGGAAGAAACAGTAATTACAAACTTAAAATCAAGTGATCAAGCTAACTTCAGTCAGCTCATGCCTCTTGGTGTGAGAGAGGGTAATAACGTGATTTCTGTGACATTTCTCCCAAATTCCATAACCCGATGTAATCTTATCATGGCTAATACAGATTAAGAAACGTTGCACAAAACCACTGGAAAAACTCTTCAAAAACATGTCGGTGTTGTGAAAGACAAGAAGATTAAGAAACTGTTCCAAATTAAAGGGCACTAAAGAGTCAAGACAACTAGATTCATATGTGATTCTGAAATGGATCCTAGCTTGGAAGAGAAATTTCTATAAAAGTTTTTATTGGTACAATTAGACAATTTTTAATAGACTTTATATTAGACTATATTCACATTTATCAATGTCAAATTTACTGAACTTGATAATTGTGTTGTGTTAAGGAATTGACCTTTTTCTTAAGAAATACACATTGAAGTATTTAAGAATAAAAAGATATGATGTCTGAAAATCATTATCAAATAGTTTAGAGAAATAATCTTTGTCTGATATATATATATAATACATACTACATATATATGATATGTATTCCAGTATTGTTGATTTGTCATTGAGGAAAAGATGTTTTGAAATTATCCCAAGATTTGAACAATATATGCTTCTCAGATGGTCCCACTTTATTTTAAATGTTGCAAGGCAGAGACAAAGGTACAAATTTCTCAATTTGTATTAGAATTTAGAAGGTGTTTTATTCTATTTTCCTTGTCACACTCCTTGCTTGTGAGTCAATCAACTAAGGACATCTGAAAGAGACAGAGTTTCTTTCTCAGAGTCAGGAGGTAATGAGGGGCTGCTCTGGTAGGGAAAGAAATAGTGAAGTTCTTTTTTGGAGAAAAGCAGCAAAAAAAAAAGAGAGTGACAGGAGAAAAAGAAAGAAAGAATGGAAGGAAGGGAAGGAGGAAAAGAAACAGTAAAGTTGACAAACAGAACTCCCTTCCCTCTTTATTAGTCTTCAGGAAATATAGAGTTTGAAACTATCATAGCCCAGGAAACCCTTTAAATAGGGCCATCAGTAGGCCAGAAATTTTGATTAGTGCCTTGAAAATAAAAGCATAGCCGGGCGCGGTGGCTCACGCCTGTAGTCCCAGCACTTTGGGAGGCCGAGGCGGGCGGATCACGAGGTCAGGAGATCGAGACCATCCTGGCTAACACAGTGAAACCCCGTCTCTGCTAGAAATGCAAAAAATTAGCCTGGCGTGGTGGCGGGCGCCTGTGGTCCCAGCTGCTCGAGGAGGCTGAGGCAGAGAATGGCGTGAACCCGAGAGGCGGAGCTTGCAGTGAGCTGAGATCGCGCCACTGCACTCCAGCCTGGGAGAGAGAGCGAGACTACGTCTTAAAAAAAAAAAAAGAAAAAAGAAAGAAAGTAAAAGCAGAAGTGATTAGACGGACAGGAAACAGCAGAGGAAATGGCTGCTGTTTCACTACAGTTAAAATGTCTTACACATCTGTGAACTATTTGTCCTCTTCTCAGAGGAGGGACACTTTTTTAGGTACTAAAAAAGAATTGTCTGGCACTTCATGGCAGCAACATGTTTGATGTTAACTGACATTTCCAGACATCCAGGTATGATTTTTATTTAGCGACTTTAAAAGAAGGATGAGAAAAAAAACAAAAAAACAAAAACAAACCATGAGCCAGGCGTGGTGGCCTGCATCTATAGTCCCAGCTACACCTACTCAGGAGGCTGAAGAGGAGGCAGGAAAACAGCTTGAGGTCAGGAGTTGGAAGCCCCAGTGCTCTACGATTGCCCTGGTGAATAGCCACTGCACTCTAGTCTGGTCATCAAAACAAGATCCCGTCTATTAAAAATAGAAAGAAAATAAAGGAAGAAAGAAAAGAAAGGAAGGAAGAAAGAAGGAAGGAGCGAGAGAGAAAGAAAGGAAGGAGAGAGGGCAAAAGGAAGAAAGGAATGGAGGGAGGGAGAGATTGACAGAACAGATTAGAAAACATAATCCAACTATACACTATCTAAAAGAAACTCATTTCAAATATAATTATATAAGCAGGCTGAAATTAAGGGGATAAAATATATTACATGCAAAAGTTAATCAAAAGAAAGCAAAAGTGACTATATTAATATAAACTTAAGAACAAAGAAAATCCACCAAGAAGGCATAACAATCCTAAATATGTATACACCAAACAGCAGAGCTGCAACATGTAAAAAAAAAAAAAAAAAAAAAAAAACAGGACCGGGCGCGCTGGCTCACGACTGTAATCCCAGCACTTTGGAAGGCCGAGGCGGGCGGATCACAAAGTCAGGAGATTGAGACCATCCTGACCAACATGGTGAAACCCCATCTCTACTAAAAAAAAAAAAAAAAAAAAAAAAAAAAGCTGGGCGTGGTCGTGCGCCCTGTAGTCCCAGCTACTCGGGAGGCTGAAGCAGGAGAATTGCTTGAACCTGGGAGGCGGAGGTTGCAGTGAGCCAAGATCGTGCCACTGCACTCCAGCCTGGGCAACAAAGTAAGGCTCTGTCTCAAAACAAAACAAAACAAAACACCCAGACAGGGCGCAGTGGCTCACGCCTGTAATCCCAGCACTTTGGGAGGCCGAGGTGGGCGGATCACCTGAGGCCAGGAGTTGGAAAGTAGCCTGGCCAACATGGTGAAACCCGTCTCTACTAAAAATACATACATTAGCCGGGCATGGTGGTGCAGTGGCGTGCACCTGCAGTCCCAGCTACTAGGGAGGCTGAGGCTCGAGAATTGCTTGAACCCGGGAGGTGGAGGTTGCAGTGAGCCGAGATGGTGCCACTACACTCCAGCCTGGGTGACAGAGCGAGACTCTGACTCATAAATAAATAAATAAATAAATGTAATACATAAATAAATATTTTAAAAAACAAAAAAGATAGAATTAAAAAAATCGACAAATGCAGTTACATTAGAGACTTCACTTCTCTCTCTCTCTTTTTTGTGAATTTGTTCTTATTGGGGAAGACGGCACAGGGTGGGAAATGTCGCCTTGGGCTATGGTATGCCCCACCTCCCAGAGAATGTCCATTTGCATTCTAATCTTCCTGGGATGCTTTATGGAACTTTTTCTTCTTCTTGGAGCTGCTCTTGCCAGCCGCCTCTTCAGGCCCACTGCTGACCAGCTCCTCTTTGGAGAATTTCCTCGTTTTCTTGGAGCCACTTCTGTGGCCTGACTCTTCGGTGTCATTAACTGTTTCCTCCTTGGGTGAAGACTTCTTCCTCTTGGGAAGACTGGTGCTGCCAGCGGTCTCTTCAAGATCGCTACTCATCAACTCCTCCTTGGAAAAAGATTTCTTTTTCTTGGGTTTGGAGAAAGAGATAGATGGGTCTTCCATTCCATTCTCCTGATGAATCTCCTGGGGCTTTTGCTTTTTCTTCTTTTTGGGTTTTTCAATCGTCTCCTCACACGCTCTGTCGCCCAGTCTGGAGTGCAGTAGCGCAATCTTGGCTCACTGCAAGCTCCGCCTCCCGGGTTCACGCCATTCTCCTGCCTCAGCCTCTGCGTAGCTGGGACTACAGGCGCCCGCCACCACGCCCGGCTAATTTTTTGTATTTTTAGTAGAGACGGCGTTTCACCATGTTAGGCAGGGTGGTGTCCATCTCCTGACCTGGTGATCCACCCGCCTCGGCCTCCCAAAATGCTGGGATTACAGACGTGAGCCACCACGCCCGCGCCATTTCTCTCATAATAACAGAAAAACTACACAGAAAATCTGCAAGGATATTGAAGAACCCCAAATCATCTTCAGGCAACAGAATTCAGTCACCATGTATAGAACAGTCCACACAAGAAAAGCAGAACACGCATTCATTTCAAATTCATACGTAACGTAGATCAAGATAGAACATACCTCATACCTTGGGCCTCAACAAATTTAAAAGAATTGACTGACATAGTATGATCCCTAACCACAATGAAATCAAACTAAAAATCAGTCACAGAAAGACAACAAAAATATCCAAACACTTGGAAAATGAACAACACACTACTAAATATTCCATAGGACAAAGAGAAAGCCTTAGTAGAGATCAAAAAAATAAATTAACCTGAATAAAAATGAAAACACAATGTATCAAAATTTCCAAGACAACTTAATCTCTGAGAGAGAAATTTACAGCACTAAGTGCATACATTAGAAAAGAAAAAAGTCGGCCAGGCGCGTGGCTCACGCCTGTAATCCCAGCACTTTGGGAGGCCGAGGCGCGTGGATTACAAGGTCAGGAGTTGGAGACCAGCCCGGCCAAAAAAAAAAAAAAAAAAAAAAAAAAAAAAAAAAAAAAAAGAAAGAAAAGAAAAAAGTCTCAAATCAGTCCTTTAAGCTCTTACTTGAAGAACTCAGGTGGGGGAAAATAACCCAAAGCAAATAGAAGAAAGGAAATGAGCAGAAATAAACGGAACTGAACACACACGCACAAAATAGAAAAACAAACAAAAAGCTAGTTCCTTTAAAAGATCAATAAAAGAAGACCTCTAGGAGGACTGATAATTTTTTAAGAAGAGAGATGACACAAATTGCCAATATCAAGAATAAAAAGAAGAGTATATCACTATAGACTCTGCTGACATCAAAAGGGTAAATGAATACTATGAACAACACTTTACACACAAATTTGAAAACTTAGATGAGATGGACTAATTCCTTGAAAATCACAAACTATCACAACTCACTCAATATGAAATATATTTTTCTATAACCTTGTAACTACTAAGGAAATTAAATTTGTGATATAAAAACTTTAAAAAAAAAACAGACTCTTCAGGTTCAAGAAAGTTTCACTGTATAATTCGTCGCCCCCGCCCTCCACCCCCTCCCCCAGAAGGAGTCTTGCTGTGTTGCCCAGGCTGGAATGCAGTAGTGCAATCTGGGCTCACTGCAACCTCCACCTTCCAGGTTCAAGCGATTCTCCTGCCTCAGCCTCCCAGGTAGCTAGGATTACAGGCACGTGCCAGCACGCCCGGCTAATTTTTGTATTTTTAGTAGAGATGGGGTTTCACCATGTTGGCCAGGCTGGTTTCCAACTCCTGGCCTCAGGTGATCCGCCTGCCCCGGCCTCTCAAAGTGCTGGGATTGCAGGCATGAGCCACCGCCTATGCCAATGTAGGCATATCTTAAAAGGATACATGACCTGGGGATACTTTGAGTATTCAGATTAATTAATTTTTAAAGTGTTTTTTAAATTCTCCCTTCTTACATCTTCTTTTCCTTCTGCCTTCAAGGGCTGTCACACGAAGAGTAGCGTAGGTGGATAAAAAAACAGAATGGTCAGTACCGCCTGGGGGATTTAGGTCCAGGTGAGGAGGTGAGAAGGTGGAATTCCCAGCTCTTAGAAATGAAGACCCAGGAAGTGGGTCGCTGCCTGTCCTTACCCTCGCCAGCCCCTGGGCCGGCACCGTGGCTGAAACCCAGCATGGATTTCATCTTGGGGACGTTGTGGCTCCAGTTTTGAGACTCAAGTAACGATGGATGGAGAGGAGAACAAGGACCACCTGAGCTCGACCACAAGAGCTCGAGGAGGGAAGCAGGGACGCGGTGGGGTGCGCACCTGCGGCTGCGGCAGCAAAGGCGGAGGAGGAGCGAAGTGGACGAGCACCCGAGGCTGCCAGAGGATCTGGGCAGCCTGGGTGCCCATCTCTGCTGCGTTTCCTCGGTGTCCACGATAGGTGAGAGGGCTCATTCCCTGTAGGAGAAGTGAGCTGAAAACACTTTCCCCGCAAGATCTCCCTCGTTTTACTCAAGGTAGTCGCGGCGTTGAGAACGCCTCGCAGCTCCTTTACTGGCTGGGGTACTGGGGAGCAGGGGTACCCTTGAGTTTTGGTACAGGCGGGTGGTATTGGTGGCTTCCGAGGAAAGGACAGAGAAGCCGCCTATTTCCAATCCCTACTGTTCGTCAGGGGGAGAGTGTTGAACCAGGTCTCTCTAGACCCTCCTGCTTAAGCCCCTTTGTTATAGGTAGGAGAGTGTGTTCTGTTTTGGTATTTGAGTGTGTGTGTGTGTGTTTAGCTTCTTGAGCTTGGAATATGTCATGAAATACAAGAAAGATCAGGGAGTCTCAGTATATTTTAAACTTAAATTGGTTTTCAGAAGTACTTATACCTTGTTCCTAAGGAATTCAGGGTGTCCAGATTTCAACCTGCCTAGCAGTGCGAAGCTCTATGAGTCGAATATCCTAGGCTTTCTTCCATATCAGCAAGCCTCTGAAATTTAGGTTTCTTTCTGGAGAATATCACCCACACTTTGGCAGTGGGCTCCTACATTGCCTACATCCAACTCTTGGAAGCAAGAAGAGTGGGCAAAACCAAGGTCACCACACAAAAGTATATCCCTACACGAGATAAGTGGAAATAAAGCACTGGCTTAGGTGTGGAGAGGAAGAGACAAATGTGAAAACGCAGAAGGTAGACAGACAGAGAACATCTTCCAAGGAGGAAGAGTCTCCTAACCACAAGGAACTCTCTACTTAATGCTGCGAAGATATTTTAATTACATTTTATGCATTAGATTGCTTTTTTTGTTTGTTTTTGTTTTTTGTTTTTGATGGAGTCTCGTTGTGTCACCAAGCTTGAGTGCAGTGGTGCCATCTCGGCTCACTGCAATCTCCGCTTCCCAGGTTCAAGGGATTCTCCTGCCTCAGCCTCCCCGTAGCTGGGACTACAGGCATGGCCATCATGCCCAGCTAATTTTTTATTCTCCTGCCTCAGCCTCCCCGGCCACCATGCCCAGCTAATTTTTGTATTTTTGGTAGAGACGGGTTTCACCATGTTGGCCAGGAATGTCTCGATCTCTTGACCTCGTGATTCACCCGACTTGGCCTCCCAAAGTGCTGGGATTACAAGCATGAGCCACCGCCCCCAGCCACATAGACTGGGTTTTTAACAACTGGATCTTAGACCAGAATATTGGCAGAATTGGTGGGGGCTTGACAGAGAGCAGGGTGAATTCCAACCCTGAGGGTGGAGCAAGAATGATTACAGTGTCTTCCTCAGAGCTTAGAAACTTCCAAGCTCTAAGGAAAGGCCTTAGGTTTCAAATTGAAAGGCCAAAATAGCTTGAGATGGCTCCAGGTATTTTGGCTGGAAAGAGTCTCCTGGCTCTAAAGAACCCCTGTGAGTTCTTCTACAGGAAAATCAGAGGCTCTTGTGTGTGATCTCTAGTCATCTAAAATATTGAAGGTCTCAAAGAGGTAATAAATCCACTCTCATCCTGATGTAATGCAAATACGTCACTGGCTTTCCTACGTGGTTTGAGTTTTTTATTGAAAATAGGCAGGGAACCCCGGGAGCAACTCTTTCTCCTTAGCAAGCATCTGGCCCTGAACTCCTTCTGAAACTTCTAGAGCAGTGCTTCTCAAACTTTAGCATCAGAGTCACTTGAGGGCTTATTCAACACAGGTGGCTGGGTCCCACTCTCATCAATTCTGATTCTGTAGATCTGAGGTTGGGCCTGGAATTTGACATTCCACTAGTAGCACCCTAATCCCTCATGCCTTGCTCTCCTGTGCAGCATCCTTTGTGGCAAACATGACACTATTTCCTTAAAGTGCCTGGAGAGAACCAGTAGATAGTAGGGGGGAAATATTAAGAAATGAAAAGAAAATATATGGCATCTCTTCGTTACCTGTCTCCAAAAAATGCATCTTGAAACAAACATATGATTGGCCTGGGGGCACACAGCCAATCCTCAGCTAAGCAGGTTTCACCAGACAGTATCCCTCCTGGATACTGGTTATGGATATTTTCACCGGATAAAAGAATCAAGAAGTGAGGACATCCCAGCCTGATAGAGTGTTAGACTGGTGGATGGTGACAAACATCATACTCTGTTGCCTCTCAAAGATGCTTTGATTCAACAGCAAACATGTACAGAGGACAGCAATTTTGAAACATACAACATTGGAAACCCCTAAAAGGTATCATCAGTGAATAGGATTTCCTGGGAGTTCCCTGGTCATGCAATGCAATTGTGATGGGATTGACAGAGAAAGAACAAAAAAAATTTGTTTTCTTTTGTTTTTACCTGAGGAAGTGCTCAACACACCTGCGATCCACTCACCTTTTACTTTGCGTCTATTTTCCATTGTGACAGAAAAACTTTTCCTACTTTTTCACATGAGTCCTCCGTTGGCTGTTAACAGAGGTTTCCAGGCAATGTTTTATTTTAACAAGGAAAATGGAATGGCTGAGGAAATACAGGAAAATGAATCAATTGTATCAGTAGGGAATGTTGATCCGTATTGGTTTCTGCTCCTCTCATGTTGAAGGTCTCTTATTCCCTGACAGTCTTTGTTCGGTCATCCAGCGTCCTTCCACTCCCATCTCAAGCGGCTGGAGAGCCACAGCAGTCCTTGTCTCAGTATTGGATTACACTTGTGGCTGTGCTTTCTGCGCAGGTTGACAGGGAGAGACTGGAGGAGAAATCAGTGGACAGATGCTTTCGCTCTGTTCTTTGGCCCAGAAAACAAAACTAAAGTAAAAAAAAACAAAAAACAAACAAACAAAAAAGATGATGCTGGGAGCGGTGGCTCACGCCTGTAATCCCAGCACTTTGGGAAACTGTGGCGGGTGGATCACCTGAGGTCTGGGGTTCGAGACCAGTGTGGCCAACATGGTGAAACCCCGTCTCTACTAAAAATACAAAAATTACCCGGGCCTGATGGCACGCACCTGTAAACCCACCTGCCGAGGCAGAAGAATCGCTTGAACCCGGGAGGCAGCGGTTGTAATGAGCCAAGATTAAGCCACTGCACTCCAGCCTGGGCTACAGAGCGAGACTCTGTCTCCAAAAAAAAAAAAAAAAAAAAAAAAAGAATGGCCGCGGGGCGCTTTTCTCCCTTCTTCTTTGTCTTTCCTTCTCTTTAATCATAGCACAAAATGAGAGCAAATGTGAACCTCCCGTGGATGTGCACACTTTTGTTTGGGTTCAAGAGACCCTGTTGGGATCCCATTCTTCTTTCTTCCTCATTTCTTTTTCACCTTCCTTCTGCCGTCACAATCGCCTTCAGTGATGTCGAAGCTCACGGCATAGAAATGGGTTATAAATGGAGGCAACCCATTGGGTTACGTCTTTACTCTCTATATGTGCAGAAATAGGACAGAAAAAGGTGCGGAGGCAGAAGTAAGTCTATGTTGCTTGAGAATTAGGTTTGAGCACTACCAGAGCAAAAAGTCACCGTTTGGAGGTGCCGGGGATCGAACCCGGGACCTCATACATGCAAAGCATGCGCTCTACCACTGAGCTACACCCCCTTCCTGAAAAAAATCCTTCTTGTAATAATTTCCAGGAGGTAACTTTCTTTTTCTGAGTATTGTGGAGCGTCTGCAGCTGCTGTGAGTAGAAGATACTAGGTACTAACGGGGGATACAAATTATTTAGAATACAGTATACGACTTGAAATGGAAGGCGCCTGTAATCCCAGCTACTGGGGAGGCTGAGCCAGGAGAATCCTTGAACCCGGGAGGCGGAGATTGCACTGAGCCGACATCGCGCCACTGCACTCCAGCCTGGGCATCGGAGCGAAACTCAATCTCAAAAAAAAAAAAAATCACTTCCTAGGTTTCAGACTGTAAATAATTTATTTAATGTCAGCGCTTCATGGAAGACTTCACTGGAATATGCAACCAAAGCAGAGAGTGATGCATATATATATATATGCGTGTGTGTGTGTGTGTGTGTGTGTGTGTGTATTACCTTTATCGGATTTTCAACAGCAAAAAATTGGAGTTCTATACACCTTTCTGGGATTGGCATGCAAGTGTTGTATAAGGGTTGTATCAGCCGAGCGCTGTGTCTTACGCCTGTAATCCCAGCACTTTGGGAGGCCGAGGCGGGCCGATCACCTGAGGTCGGGAGTTCGAGACCAGCCTGACCAACATGGAGAAACTCCGTCTCTACTAAAAATACAAAATTAGCCAGGCGTGGTGGCGCATGCCTGTAATCCCAGCTACTCGGGAGGCTGAGGCAGGAGAATCGCTTGAACTCAGGAGGCGGAGGTTGCGGTGAGCCGAGTTCGCTCCATTGCACTCAGCCTGGGCAACAAGAGTGAAACTCCGTCAAAAAATAAATAAATAAACAAAATAAGGGTTCTATTAGGCAAAACTGAAAGAAAGAAAGAAAAAAAAAAAACCCTGCCGAAACCCGGGATCGAACCAGGGACCTTTAGATCTTCAGTCTAACGCTCTCCCAACTGAGCTATTTCGGCTTCCCGAATTTGTTGTTTTAGGTGTTTCTTCAAAATATAAAAACTCATTTGTAGGGTCAGTATATCTTCCAATTCTGTTGTCTTCAATATCACCTGTCATTCACTCACCCCTTCACCCCCAAAATATAGATTCTTCCCCAATTTATGTCTGAAAACAGGACCCAATTTTAAGGACAATGAATGGGTTAGCAAAAGCCAGGGAAAGAAAAGGCAAAAATGAAGAATAGAGCAAAGTAAGAACATGCTCCCCTACATGGTCACTGCTCAGAATACCAAGGGAATTCAAAAGAAAATTTTCTAGGCTTTTCCTTTTCTCTGGGCTCTTGTTTTTCTGTCTTGCTCTTCAACGATATGGCAAAAAGGAACAGAGGATTATTGGGCACGTTAATGTGGTGGCAGGTTTATAGCTTCTGACTAAGGAAATCCTGAGCGAGAAAATTCATTTTCGCTATTCCCTTCCTTTCACTCGTCTTGTGCTGACACATCCACCTTGGGTGGTACAGAGACCCAGGGAGTGGAAATGGAAAGTATAATATGTTTATTTTAGTGTGACCACGCAAGGCATGTTTTTAAAAGGAGAAAAGTACAGAGTGGCGAGAATTGTGAAAAACAGATGAACATGTATGCTTTTGAACTCTGTGCAAGGCAAGGACACACTACCACTGAGCCACACCTCTCTCGCTACAGAAACATCGTGAAGATCTTTTTTGACGCATTAGTCATATTTCTGAGAGGTCTTCAAAAATATGGTAAGTTGGCCGGATAGAAAATCCACTGTCTCATATCTCACTATTTCTTACCTCTAAACTATATCCCCTGAAGCTGCTAGGAGAAATGTAAGAGAATCACAGACCAGAACACAGTTTCTGCTTTTGGAACATTTCATCCCATCAGTTTATTCTGAGGTTTCCTCTCCAGCAAACTGCCTGGGGGCATTTTCTCCCACAGCCAACAGGTAAGATGTCCAGATGGAACTTCCTCTGGGGTCTTCAACCTGTCTGTCTCCATTTCTTCTCTTTCATCTGCTTACAAAGTTTTTCAAGCCCCATCCTCCTTAAGAAAAGATGATGAGCCACAGTCTAGGAGAAGATATTCCAATACTTATATTTTACTAAGGATCTTTATCTGGAATATGTTAAGAACTTCTACAAAGCACTAAGAAAAAGACTAAAACTTCAATAAGAAAGAGCAAATTAATATGAACTTCACAAAAAATCGCTATTGAGTAAAATAAAATATGCTCGACATCTTTTGCTATAAAGGAAATGCAAATTAAAAACACAACAATGCTGGACACAGTGGCTCACGCCTATACTCCCAGCAGTTTGGGAGGTCGAGGCGGGTGGATCACTTGAGGTTAGGAGTTCAAGACCAGCTGGCCAACATGGC
Source organism: Homo sapiens (assembly GCF_000001405.40). NCBI lineage: Eukaryota > Metazoa > Chordata > Mammalia > Primates > Hominidae > Homo > Homo sapiens. The sequence continues at coordinate 57,775 of NT_167248.2, forward strand.
GAAACCCGGTCTCTACTACAAATACAAAAATTTAGACGGCCACATGCCCCTGTAGTCCCAACTACTCAGGAGGCTGAGGCATGAGAATCTCTTGATCCTGGGAGGCAAAGGCTACAGTGAGCCAAGATTGTGCCGCTGCACTCCAGCCTGGGCAGCACAGCAAGACACTGTCGAAAAAAAAAACACAAAATAATATTGCTCTTCATTGGAATCATTTAACCCAAAAAGTGGATAATATCAAGTGTTGCTGAGTATGTGAAGCAATTGGAACGTGCATACATGGCTGATGAGACTGTAAACTGCTATATCTACACTGGGAAACTATCTGAAAATATCAACTAAATATATATATATATATATATATATATATATATATATATATATATATGCTATGACCCCAAAACTAGACGGTTACATTTATACCCAAGAGAAGTGCATGAGCATCTCCCTTGAAGGACATGTATCAGAATGTTTACAGCAGCATTAGACATTTCAACCAAAAACGAGGGGTGCTGCAAATGTACTTGGACAGTAAAATGAATTAATAAATCATGATGTACAGTATTCAGACAATAGAATACTCGAGAGCAACAGAAAATAACTACTGTTACTAGCAACAATATATAGAAAATGAAGGCTGGGCACGGAGGCTCACGCCTGTAATCCCAGCACTTTGGAAAGCTGAGGCGGGCAGATCACGAAGTCAGGAGATCGAGACCATCCTGGCTAAAACAGTGAAACCCTGTCTCTACTAAAAATACAAAAAATTAGCTGGGCGTGGTGGATGGCACCTGTAGTCCCAGCTACTCGGGAGGCTGAGGCAGGAGAATGGCGTGAACCTGGTAGGCAGAGCTTGCAGTAAGCCAAGATCGCGCCACTGCACTCCAGCCTGGGCGACAGAGCAAGTCTCCACCTTGAAAAAAAAAAAAAGAAGAAAAAAGAAAAGAAAATGAATCTAATTTTTTTAACAAAAATTAAGTGAAAGAATCCATACTCAAATGAGTACAGATTTGCTGTGGTTTGAAAGTGTCCCCTCCAAAGCTTAGGTGTCACCATGTGATAATTATCAAGACATAGGGCCTTTAAGAAGATTAAGCCATGAGGGTTCCTTCCTCATGAATAATATTAGGTACCCTTATAATAAGAGTTGACAAAGGAAGTTCATCTCTCTATTGCCTTCAGTTTTCTGCCATGTGAGAACACAACAAAAAGGCCATCACCAGACATGAGAGCCAGTGACTTGATCTTGAACTTCCCAGCCTCCAGAACTGTGAGAAAATGTTTCTGGGCCTGGTGCAGTGGCTGTCTCCTGTAATCCCAGGGTTTTGGGAGGCCAAGGTGGATGGATCACCTGAGGTCAGGAGTTCGAGACCAGCCTGGCAAACATGGTGAAACCCCATCTCTACTAAAAATACAGAAAAATTAGCTGGGCGTGGTAGCATTCGCCTGTAATCCCAGCTACCCAGGAAGCTGAGACAGGAGAATTGCTTGAATCCGGGAGGCAGAGGTTGCAGTGAGCCAAGACTGAGCCACTGCACTCCAACCTGGGCAACAAGAGTGAAACTCTGTCAGGAAGTGAAGGGAAGGGAAGGGAAGGGAAGGGAAGGGTTCTGTTCGTTACAAATTACCAGTCTTGAGTGATTTTGTAGCAGCCCAAAATAGACTACGATGATATTATATGATCCCATTTATATTATTTAAAACATAAGAAAAATAATCTATGGAGGTGGAGGTCAGAGAGTTAGGATAATTGAAATGAGGCAAAAGGCAGCTGTTGGTTGCTGAAAAATTCAGTATCTTGGCCTGAATTTTGGTTATATATAATAAGCCGTAAGCTGAATAGGTTTCATGTGTTTTATTTTATATAAATGAAGGCTTAAATTTAAATACAAGAAAAAAAAAGGTTTTCCTAAGTACTTCCTATCCTCCAGTACATTCTCTCTCTTCCTTAGGGTTGTTTTGTTTTGTTTTGTTGAGACGGAGTCTCGCTCTGTCGCATCCTCATGATTATTAGGACTTGGATGGACGGGATGGTACAGTGAGTCTAAGCGCCACATCCCTCCGTCGCTTCCTCTGGATATGAGGGAAGAAAGGTACTTTTTTTGTCCTTAGGGAGGAAGACTCGACCAGGAAGGGGACCTGGTTCGTTTCGGCTTCAAGAGCGCCTCTCCGCTATTTCCGTCGCTCAGCAGACCGGCTGAACTCTTTGGAGGAGAGAGTGATACTGGGTTTTGGTTTGCCCTTCAGGAACCGCTGATACTGTAGCTTCTGAGGGAGCTGCAGGGATTTCCCGATTTCCTGCGTGCCTGTGTTAAAAGTTAGAAGCGGGATCTGCTGGCAGCTTCGAAACTGAGCATGACGGTGGAAACATCTAATTTTATTAGTTTTTGCTTGAAATGCAAAAGATGAGAAAGAAAGTTTCCGTTTGTTTGCTCCACATATTTCTCTTAGAATGAAGCCGATTGAAAGTTAACTTCACCCTGAAGAAACTCCTCCTGGCGTTTGCAACGATCTCCTGTATGTCTCACGTCCAGCTTGACTCAAAAGGACTCTAAAGAGCTGGAGAGCGGCTGCGGAAAGGCGGAGTCACGGTACAATCGGTGTTAACTACTTGTGCAACCACCGCCTCCTTAGTCCTATTAGAGGCGCAGAGGCAGTATAGCTGAATCCCTCACAAGTCGAGTGGGTTGACCTCAGATTGACTTTAGCGATGGCTTGTGACCACCTGATAGATAGTGGCCGTTACAGCGTTTAGAAAGTGAGTAAAAGAAAGGATGCATAGGGAAGCCCACAAGTTTGCTTGGCTTCTGCAGATGGAGAGAGGTCGCTTTTCTGCCTTCTGGATGTTTAGTAACTTATTTTTTATTTCCTTTGTTGGCATGAAATAGAGCTGAAAATAAAAGCAGATTTTCTTTTAACAAGATAGTATTAAGATGCTTGCAGAGTATTTCTCTGTGGATTTCTGCTTGGCACTGTGATACCACAAAGAGCTCTAATCTGGAGGTATGGGTTGTTCCCTAGCTTAGAAGGAGGTCAATCCTGGAGAGTAAGTACTGTGAGGTACAAAAGGATCCTTTGGGATTGGAAAAATAAACGTTCATTACTTTTATTTATGTAAAACAGCAAAATGAGCTTTCTCCTATACTGATCTTGGTCCCTGGAGTTCAGAGTGTTTGCATCTCAGACCAGAAGCTTCCTCAGAGGACCCAGAGAAGTGCTTTTTACTTCCACCAAATTTCAGCTGAGGTGAATGCTGTCTTTTCGTCATTTGTTGTGTGTTTGTAGTTAAGTAGTTTAAGTTTCAGAGTTTGTGGGTCTCCAATGGAAAAGGTTACCACCACACATCAAACCATCAACCCCTGGCAGTGTAATCTTTTAGTGAAAGCTTGTAGGGCTTCTGCAACCTGGTTAGGAGGAGTTAGAAAAAGAAACAGAAAAAGACTTGAGCCTTTTAGCTTCTGATCTGAAATCAGACTTGGGCCACACAGGTCTATGGTTTCTGATGATTTCATTTACAGCTAGAAATTGGCTGGATGGCCAGGAATACTACTTGCTTCCCCCGTGCGTGGTCCATGTTAATGATTGATGGGACTGCTTAGAAAGAATAGGCGGATAATCCTAGGCAGCAAATAACCTCAAGTGAATGAACACGCATCACCCTCTGTATGAGAGAGAAATGCAGAGGCCAACACAATTCACCTTGACAGACAGAAAAATTTAAAGTTGGGGAATATCATGGACCGCTTCTTACTGGTGTCCCGGGGAAGAAAACACGGCCTGGAGGTACTGGGGATCGAACCCAGGACCTCGTGCATGCTAAGCACGCGCTCTACCACTGAGCTATACCCCCTCTGGACTCAGGGCCTTCGGAAAACGCTTTGGTGACGGCCAATATGTGAGCCTGCCCTCTGTGTCAGGATAATCACTATATGTTTCCAATTCCATTGTTAATTCCCTACATGAAGCGCTTCCTCTTTTAGGCACGGCTGGGCCAAAAGAAGAGTAGCTTAGCCGGGTGCAGTGGCTTATGCCTGTAATCCCAGCACTTTGGGAGGCTGAGGCGGGTGGATCACGAGGTCAGGAGTTCAAGACCAGCCTGGGCAAGATAGTGAAACCCTGTCTCTACTAAAAATAGAAAAATTAGCCGGGCGTGGTGACAGGCGCCTGTAATCCCAGCTACTCTGAAGTAGAGAATTGCTTGAACCCGGGAGGCAGAGGTTGCAGTGAGCCGAGATCGGGCCACTGCACTCCAGCTTGAGCGACAGAGCGAGACTCCGTCTCAAAAAAAGAAAGAAAGAAGAAAGAGAGAGAGAGAGAGAGAGAGAGACAGAAACAAAGAAAGAAAGAGAGAAATAAAGAGAAAGAAAGAAAGAGAAAAGAAAGGAAAGTAGCTTAGTGGTAAAAATAAAGGCACTGTTCCTGATTTGTGGTCAACCCAAGATCAACTCACCCCAAGGTGGACTCTCCATCACGTTAGACTTCCTGGAGCATACTTGCATTCTATCATTTGAGTGTGTCCCGGTATACAACATTCTCTTGCAAATTTTCTGATTATAACTTTCTGTATTCTTTTGACTCTTGGAAGCATGTTGGTGTTTCACATAGTCAAAAAATAAAACTGACTCAAGTGCGTGTGAAAATACCTTAAAATTCAATACGAATAGAGGCAAATTCAAATGGCGTTGTCTATCGCTTCTCGGCCTTTTGGCTAAGATCAAGTGTAAAATTGCATTGTGAAACAATAACATACTCCTACTTGAAAAGGAAAGAACTGATCTATGAAAATGGTTTATACAGTTTGTTGTTCTAATTGTAAGATTAAAAAGAATTGCAAACAAATCTTGAACTCTGTATCAGGGTTATTTTTGTAGAGCTAGGGCTGTAAGAATTCTGAGATTTTGTGTGAATTTTAGGATTGGGAAAATGAGTGTGTGTGACCGGGTGTGTTGGAACCAGGCTGTCACTGTAAGAGAAAGAAGGTAAAGAATAGTCCTGTTGGTGTTGATGAGAATTGGAGGCGTCAGTATGAAATTATACATATGTAATTTTATAGGCTGGGCGCAGTGGCTCACGTTTGTAATCTCAACACTTTGGCAGGCCAAGACGGGCAGCTCACTTGAGGTCAGGAGTTCGAGAACAGCCTGGCCAACATGGTGAAACCCCCGTCTCTACTAAAAATACAAAAATTAGCCGGATGTGGTTGTGCGTGCCTGTAGTCCCAGCTACTCGGAAGTCTGAGGCAGGAGAATCGCTTGAACTCAGGAGGCAGACGTTGCAGTGAGCCAAGATCCTGCCACCGCACTCTGGCCTGGGTGACTTAGACTTTGTCTCAAAAAAAAAAAAAAGTAAAATTTCCCTGCAGATCTGTCTGCTAACTGGGCCTGGAAGAAATACCTCAGAAACAATAAGCAAAGATAACAATATTTTGATTCACAAATACCATTCCCTACTAAAAGGCACCAGAGATACTAATAGAAAGTAGCTACTAGTGTCAACTACACTGACTCCAGGACTCATGCCACTGCACTACAGCCTGGGCGACAAAGCGAGACTCTGTCTCAAATAAATAAATAAATATGGAAGATGGGAAGATTTTCTTTACAGTGGTATGCCAGCTAATAAATGTGGAAAGAAGGATAAAATTTGCAAATCCCCATTAGAAAATTAGAAAATCTGGACACCATCAGAATGCTGATAGGTGCAGGCAAAATTATAAGTCAATGCTAAAAGTATAGGTAAAATTTTGATGAGGATCAGGATATTTATATAGTCTCAGAGTATTTCTCTAGAGCTTACTTATTGATTACAATGAGGAAGATGATACTTTTGCAGGGAAGAAATAGTAGTTACAAACTTAACCAAATGATGAAAGCTAACTTCACTAATAATGGGGAAAATTGGCATCACATGCTTCTTGGTGTGATAGAGGATAATATGATTTTTTGTGACATTTCTTCCAATTTCCATAAACTTAATCTTACCATGAGTAGGACAAATTAAGAAATATTCCACAAACCACTGGCATATACTCTTCAAAAACATTATCAAAGTTGTGAAAGACACAATTGAGCAACTGTTCTAAATTAAAGGAGACTAAAGAGTCAAGACAATTAGATTCATATGTGTCTGTGAAATGGATCCTAGCTTGGGAGAGAAATTTCTATAAAAGATTGTATTGATACAATTAGTTAAATTTTTATAGATTGTATATTAGATAATGCTATTTTATCAATGTTAAGTTTACTGAATTTGATAATTGTGCTGTGTTAAGGAACTGATCTTGTTTTAAGAAATACACATTGATGAATTTAGGGATTAAAAAGATATAATGTCTGAAAATCATCAAATAGTTTAGAGAAATAATCTTTGAGATCTCTCTCTGTGTCTCTCTCCATATATATATATGGAGTGTATATATATATATATATATATATATATATGGAGTATATATATATATATATATATATGGAGTATATATATATATGGAGTATATATATATATGGAGTATATATATATATATGGAGTATATATATATATATGGAGTATATATATATATATGGAGTATATATATATATATGGAGTATATATATATATATGGAGTATATATATATATGGAGTATATATGTATATATATATGGAGTATATATATATATGGAGTATATATGTATATATATATGGAGTATATATATATATATGGAGTATATATATATATATATGGAGTATATATATATATATATTCCATTGTTGCTGATTGTTTGGTTGAAGAGGCAAGATGGTCTGAAATGATCCCAAGATGTGGACAATATGTGCTTCTCATGTGGTTCCCATTCCATTTTAAATGTTTCCAGGCAGAAACAAAGATACAAATTTCTCAATTTGTATTCAAATCTAACAGGTGTTTTATTCTATTTTCCTGTTCACACTCCCTGTTTGGGAGTCAATCAACTAAGGACATCTGAAGGAAACAGAATTTAATTCTCAGAGTCAGGAGGTGATGAGAGACTGCTTTGGTAGGGAAAGTAATAGTAAATTTGTTCTTTCTTGGTTAAATAAAGAAGAAAAAGAAAGAAGAGAGGGAGGCAGGGAAAGAAATAGAAGACATAACAATCCTAAATATGTATCCACCAAACAGGAGAGCTGCAACATATGTAAAGATAAAAAAACAGAACTTTAAAAAAAAATAGACAAATCCACAATTACTTTGGAGACTTCAAAACTTCTCTCATAATGATTGATAGAACAACTAAACAGAAAATCAGCAAGAATGTTGAAGAACTAGGCCGGGCGTGGTGGCTCACACCTGTAATCCCAGCACTTTGGGAGGCCGAGGCGGGCGAATCATGAGGTCAGGAGATCAAGACCACCCTGGCTAACACGGTGAAACCCCATCTCTACTAAAAAATACAAAAAAATTAGCCGGGCGTGGTGGCGGGTGCCTGTAGTCCCAGCTACTCTGGAGGCTGAGGCAGGAGAATGGCGTGAACCCGGGAGGCTGAGCTTGCAGTGAGCCGAGATCGCGCCACTGCACTCCAGCCTGGGCAACAGAGCAAGACTCTGCTTCAAAAAAAAAAAAGAGTGTTGAAGAACTCAAACATCTTCAGCCACCAGAATTCAGTTAACATTTATAAAACAGTCCACACAGGAAGAGCAGAACACACTAGTCAAATCCACACTGAATATAGGTAAAGGTAAAACATATCCTGGGCCATAAAACAAACCTCAACAAATTTAAAAGAATTAACTAATATGGTATAATCCCTGACCAAAATGAAATTAAAGTAAAAATCAGTCACAAAAAGACAGAAAAATGTCCAAACGCTTGGAAAATGAACAACACACTACTAAACAGTTCATACAACAAAGAGAAAACCTTAGTAGATATCAAAAAATAAGGTAGCATGAATAAAAATGAAAATACAATATATTAAAAATTCCAAGATATCCTAAAGGAGTGCTGAGAGAGAAATATACAGCACTAAGTGCATACATTAGAAAAGAAAAAAGTCCCAAATCAGTCCTCTAAGCTCTTACTTGTAGAAATCAGGTGGGAAAAAGAGCAAAATAACCCAAAGCAAATAGAAGAAAGGAAATAATAAAAAATAAAAGCAGAAATCAGTGAAATGGAACACACGCACACACACACACACAAAAATAGAAAAACAAACAAAAAGCTAGTTCCTTTCAAGGATCAATAAAAGAAGAACTCTAGCAAGATAGAAATTTTCAGCAGAGAGATGACACAGTTTACCAACATCAGGAATAAAAAGAGGACATCACTGTAGACTCAGCTGACATCAAAAGGATGAAGGAGGCTGGGAATGGTGGCCCACGCCTGTAATCCCAGCACTTTGGGAGGCCGAGGTGGGTAGATCACTTGAGGTCAGGAGTTTGAGACCAGCCTGACCAATATGTCAAAACCCCGTCTCTACTAAAAAACAAAAATTAGCTGGGCATGGTGGCAGGCGCCTGTGATCCCAGCTACTCAGGAGACTGAGGCAGGAGAATCGCTTGAACTCAATAGGCGGAGGTTGCAGTGAGCCAAGATTGCACCACTGCACTTCAGCCTGGGTGACAGAGCAAGACTCCCTCTCACAAAAACAGAACAAAACAAAACAAAAACAAACAAAAAAGAAATGGTAAATCCAACCCCACCCCTGACATAATGCAACTACAAACCCCACTGGCTGTCCTACGTGGTTTAAGTTTTTGATTGAGAATAGGCAAGGAACCCCAGGAAAAAATCTTCCCCCTCAGCAGCCACCTGATCCTGGGACCTCCTTCTTAAACTTCTAGAACAGTGCTTCTCAAACTTTAGCATCAGAGTCACTTGAGGGCTTATTCAAACACAAGAGGCTGAGCCCCATGCTCAGCAGTTCTGATTCAATAGATCTGAGGTTAGGCCTGGAATTTAGCATTCTGCTTGCAGCACCCTAATTCCCCACCCCTTGCTCTCCTGTGCAGTGTCCGCTGTGGCTGACATGCCGCTGTTTGCCTGGAGAGAACCAATAGATGCCAGGAAATTAAAAAAGAAAAAGTATGAAACACAAAGAAAATACATGACACGTGGGTATTACCTTCCTCCAAAAAATGTATCTCAAAACAAACATGTGATTGGCCTGGGGGCACACACACAGCCAGTCCTCAGCTAAGCAGGTTTCACTAGACCGTATCCCTCCTGGATGCTAGTTATAGATACTTTCACTGGACAAAAGAATCAAGAAGTAAAGACATGCCAGCCTGATAGAGTGTTAGGCTGGTGGACTGGGAATAAACATTGTAGTTTCTTGTCTCTCAAAGACACTTTAATTCAACAATAAATAAATAAATATGTACAGAGAGAACAGCAGTTTTGAAACTGTATACCATTGGAAACCTTTAACAGGTACCATGAGTGCATAGAATTTCTTGGGAGTTCCCTTTTCAAAAAAAGCAGTTGTAATCAGATGGATCGAGAAAGAACATGAAATGTTTGTTTGGTTTTTTCCAAGGCAGAAAGCGCCCACACAATTGCGATCTACTTACCTTTTACTCTGCATGTATTTTCCATTGTGACAGAAAACCTTTCCCTGGTTTTTTCTTATGGGCCTCTGTTTGCTGTTACCAGAAGTTCCCAGGCAATATTACAGTGACTGAGGAAATGCAGGAATATGAATATGAATCAGTCTTATGGAATATCAGTAGGGAATGTTGATCCGTATTAGTTTTTGCTTCTTGCATGTTGAAGGCCTCTAATTCCCGGACAGTCTTCGTTTGGCCGTCCAGCGTCCTGCCACTCCTATCTCAAGTGGCTAGAGAGCCACAGCAGTCCTTGTCTCAGTATTGGATCGCACTTATGTCCCTATGTAGGTTGACAGGGAGAGACTGGTGTAGAAATGAGTGGACAGATGCTTTCGCTCTGTTCTTTGGCCCAGAAAACAAAAATAACTTAAAAAAAAAAAGATGCCCACTGGCATTTTTCTCTCTTCTTGGTCTTTGCGTCTCTTTAATCATAGTACAAAATGGAAGGCCGGGCGCGGTGGCTCACGCCTGTAATCCCAGCACTTTGGGAGGCCGAGGCGGGTGGCTCACGAGGTCGGCAGTTCAAGACCAGCCTGACTAACATGGTGAAACCCCGTCTCTACTAAAAATACAAAAAAATTAGCTGGGCGTGGTGGCGGGCGCCTGTAATCCCAGCTACTTGGGAGGCTGAGGCAGGAGAATCTCTTGAAACCGGAAGGCGGAGGTTGCAGTGAGCCGAGGTGGTGCGACTGCACTCTAGCCTGGGCAACGAGAGCAAAACTCCGTCTCAAAAAACAAAACAAACAAACAAAAACAAAACAAAACAAAACAAAATGGGAGCGAACGCAAGCCGCCTGTGAATGTTCATGCTTTTGTTTGGGTCAGGAGACCACTGTTGCGATCCTGTTCTTTCCCCCTCGTTACTTTTTTGTCTTCCTTCTGCTGTCGCAATCGCCTTATGTGATGTTGAGGCTCACAGCATAGAGGTTGGAGATAGTTCAAGGCAATGCATTGGAGTACATTTTTACTTACTATATGTGCAGAAATAGAATAGAAAAATGTGAGGAGGCAGAGGTCTGTCGCTTGAGAACTGCCAGAGGGAAACCATCACTTGGAGGTGTCGGGGATCGAACCGAGGCCTCATACATGCAAAGCATGCGCTCTACCACTGAGCTACACCCCCTTACTATAACACCCATTTGTAATAATTTTCAGGAGGTAACTTTCATTTTCTGAGACTCCGTGAGCATGCTGGTAATAGTGGTCAGTACCATAGAGCGTGGAGAGCTACTCTGAGCAGGAGATACTTGGTACTAATGGGGGATACAGATTCTTTAGAATACTGTGTAGGACTTGAAACGAAAAACGAAAGATTAGAAAAGTGTCAGATAATAACCACAAGAAGTTTCCTTTGTGGCCTGAAGACGTTGAGTTCTTAGGGTCTGCTTCTATTATGCTTGGCAAGAATCAAGTTCTGATTTTCGTTTCTTTTGATTTCTTCCAGATATAACACAAAGCCATTGAAATTCAGCCTTTTCCTGCCTAAAACGCTTCATAATTGTTGTTTGCTCAGTCGGAATATCAAAGGTAAGATTTGATAGAGGAAAGCCATGATCAGAAGAAAACCTGAGAGCGGTGCACTCAACATTTTTTCACAGGGGTCCTTAGCTGGCGTGGTGTCTTACTCCTGTACTCACAACTCCAGAGGCTGAGGCACGAGGATCGCTTGAACTTGGGAGTTAGCGATTGTAGGGAGCTATGATTGCACCACTACCCTCGAGCCCGGACAATGGAGTGAGAAAAGCAAGCAAGCAAGCAAGCAAGAGAAAGTGGGAGTGAGGGACGGAGGGAGGGAAAGAGGGAAGGAAGGGGGGAAGGAAGGGAGAAAGGAAGGAAGGAAGGAGAAAGAGGGAGGAAGGGAAGGAAGGAAAGGAGAGAGAGAGAGAAGAAGACGGGAGGTGAGGGGAGGGAATTCATAAGGCATAAATGAAAACCAGCTTTGGGGGTGGAGATGAGGGTTGAATTATGAGAGTAAGACGAAAGATAAATAGAAACAGGATTGAAGAGTAGTTCAGAAAAACAAACATGCTATTGCCAAAGACAAGCAGGCACAGAAAAGGGGAGGTTTTAACAACTCTTTCAGGAATGGGAGAAAGATTGAAAGATGGAGAAGATGAGTTAGTTTGGCTCATGCTAAATTTAAAATATCTGTGGGGCACGCCTGTGAGGATATTACACAGAGAACTCAGGCAATTAACTCCGTCTCCAGCCTGGGGTTTGTAAGCATTAGTAGTAGTAGACACATTACATGGAGGTGGATAAAGACTAAAAAGTGTACTTTGAGATATGGAAATTACAAACCTATTCGTGATATTTGTAGGCAACAAACAAGTTTTCTTCTAACTAGTTCTCGAATCTTGGGACTTATCACGGTGAGACTGGATTCTTTGAACTATATAAGAAGATGAGAAGAAAACCCATTTCTCGGAACCAAATTTCTGGTGACGATTAACTCTTTCTCATTCTGGTTTGCCCATATATGAGCCTTTGCCAATGTTAATAAAATAACATTGATCCATTTTAAAATTGGCAGATTGCAAGTTGTATGGCAGACTTGGCTTTTCAGTTGGCTGACGGGATTTCTAGAATAAAAATAGGAAACTGAGTAATAGGTTTCACTGAATGAGAGACTAGAGAAGCGTTACACACAAAATTCATATGTATTCATGTGTGTGCGTGTCTGCCTGTCTGTGTCTGTTTGTGTGTGCATGTAAATGCTTGGGAGGATTATCTTGACTCTTTGATGCTGTAAAAGCAATATTAGGACAGTTTGCAGAAACACTCCTTCATCCTTATGTCATGTCACAGCCAGAGAAACCTGGCTGTCTATCAGATTCTTGGGAATTCATAATAAGAAGATATGCTTTTTTGTTTGCCACATGAAAGGGGGGAATTTAAAATAATTAAATATCCATATCTATCTTCAGGCTATCTACCAACAACATGATTGAAACACTTTTTTTTTTGCGTATAATGTGTAGGATGAGCTTATTTATCACAGCATTCTTCTGAGGAATTAAACATTTAATTTTGAAGACAGAACACCCTCACGTCATACATACTCAGTTCTGAAAACCTAAAAATATATAAAGTACCTGTTTAAATCTGCACTTTCCAATATGGTTACCATTAGCCACATTGGCTATTGAATGCTTGAAATTGCCCAGTCCAAGGTAAGATGTGTTGTAAGTATAAAATATATACCAGATTTCAAAGATGCAATATCATTTTTAATATAAAATAACTCACTTATAATTTTAAGATGGATTACTTAAAATAATGTTGTTATACAAGGCCATTTACGTATATTATTAAAACTGGACATAAAAGACGGAAACAGTAAACATCGGGGACTACTAGGGAGTAGCTGGGAAGGGGAAAGGCTTGAAAAGCTAACTATTGGATACTATGCTCACTACCCGGGTGACAGGATTAATCCCACCCCAACCCCAGCATCATGCAATATACCCATGTAAGAATCCTGCACATGTACCCCCTGAATCTAACATAAAAGTTGAAATTATTTTTAAAATAATATAGAGACCGGGCTCGGTGGCTCACGCCTGTAATACCAGCACTTTGGGAGACCGAGGTGGGCGGATCACCTGAGATCGGGAGTTCAAGACCAGCCTGACCAACATGGAGAAACCTCGTATCTACTAAAAGTACAAAATTGGGGCCGGGCGCGGGGTCTCACGCATGTAATCCCAGCACTTTGGGAGGCCGAGGCGGGCGTATCACGGGGTCAGGAGATCGAGACCATCCTGGTTAACACGGTGAAACCCCAATTCTACTAAAAAATACAAAAAATTAGCCAGGCGTGGTGGCAGGCGCCTGTAGTCCCAGCTACTCGGGAGGCTGAGGCAGGAGAATGGCGTGAACCCGGGAGGCGGAGCTTGCAGCGCGCGCCACTGCACTCCAGCCTGGGCGACAGAGCGAGACTCCGTCACACACACAAAAAAAAAATTAGCTGGGGTGGTGGCGCGTGCCTGTAATCCCAGCTACTCGGGAAGCTGAGGCGGCAGGAGAATCGCTTGAACCCTGGAGGCAGAGGTTGCGGTGAGCCGAGATCGCGCCATTGCACTCCAGCCTGGGCAACAAGAGCGAAACTCCATCTCCAAAAAAAAAAAAAAAAAAAAAAAAAAAAGATATAGAATAAATATTGCCTGTTTTTTTTAATGTGACTACTAGAAAATTTAGAACTACAAAAGTGACTCGCATTTATGACTTGTGTTTTTTTAATTATTTTTATTCCGGAAGATAAAGTAGAAGACTTGTATTATCTTTTAATTGGACAGCATTGTCTAGAGATGATGTTATCTCTTTAAATGCTGTTCTGGGAGATTCCCAGAGCCAGAGAACATGGAGCATGGTCTCCCAGTAATTAAGTTTCATGCCTTGAGTGTTCTCGACAGAATGCATTTCTATGCATAATCTCCTTAGATCTTTACAACATCCAATTTAACATAATTATTATTAGCTACATTTTTAAGCTATTGAATAGAAGACAAATCATGCTTGGAATTACCCTAGACCTTCCCTTTCAACAGAATGTAAAGGAATCATTACCGTGTTAGGCAAGAAAACATTCAGTGCTACCATTTGACTAATCAAATATTTCTTAATGAAATGAAACACAAGCTTCTGAGTTGAGAAAGCCTCAGTGACCTAAAGGATAAAGTATCTGATTTACAGTTTCTGTAGAGTCAGTGTCCTCACCCTGAGGTTTCTTCTCATTTGGTACTAATTTTCCTTTTTCAACTTGCTGCAGTTCTGATGTTGAAGTACTGTAGATTGTTTAGTCTCCTCACACAGTATGCAGGAGTTAGGGGAAAATAACTCTCAAAATGAAACAGCAATTTGAAAGAAAAAAGGAGGGAAAAAAAAGACCCATTACCCCCAACACAGTATTTCAACAGAGAAGTTGAAGTGGAAAAGGGAAAATGAGGCACATGCACCTGAATCTTGATGACTTTGCTGCCCATTTGCTTTCATTTTCAGTATTCTAAGGCCCCTCATGAATGTCTGACAGAATAATTCATATACAAGTACTTGTTTTTGTTCTTTCCTGGATTCCAACACAGAAATTAGTTAAGATTTGGAAATTCTGGACAAGGGTGCCAGGCTTCCTGTCAGTAAGAAAACTTAGAATATTCCTGTAATTAGGCCTGGTGTGGTGGCTCAAGCCTGTAATCCCAGCATGGTGAGAGGCAGAGGTGAGCCAGGATTTCCAGAAGAGCCAGGGCAACATGGTGAAACCCAGTCTCTACCAAAAAAATTAAAAAAAAAACAAAACCAAAAAACAAACAAACAAACAAAAAGCCAGGCTTGTTGTTGCATTTCTGTAGTCTCAGCTACTCAGGAGGTTGACATAGGAGGATCGCTTGAGTCCAGGGAGGCTGAGGCTGCAGTGAGCTGTGATCATACCACTGCATTCCAGCATGGGTGACAGAGTGAGACCCTGCCTCAGAAAAACAAAACAAAGCAAAAGTTATTTTTCCAGCAGTTTAACTGCGGAGCTATGGAGTTGACTCAAGGTACAAACCCGGTTTTTTCTAATTGCAAAATGTTTCTTGAATATACCACCACCACATATATACACTCATACAGTATAATAGTTCTTCTTCTACAGGTTTCTTCACATTTCTTGTGATTTAAAAACACCCCCGCCCAACACACATAAATAACATCAGATCAGAAATGAATTGTAAGTGCCACAGCATATAGCATATTGGAATTTCTTAGGTTTTAAAAGTAATAACTTGCTAGGTTTAAGACTTTAAATAATTTACGTCCTGTCAGTTAACACTTCATGGAAGTCTTCAGTGGAGAGAGTGTTACAAATATATATATATATATGTGTTTGTGTGTAAATATATATATATAGATGTGTGTGTGTGTGTGTGTGTGTGTGTGTGTGTATACATTACCTTTATGGAATTTTCAGAAAACAGCCAAAAAAAAGAAAAAAGAAAAAAGAAACAAAAAAACCACAAACACCTGGAGTTATATATAGACCTCTGGGATTGGTGCGCAAGCGCTGTGTTGAAGGAGTGACAATTATGCTAAAACCAAAATGCAACTGCCGAAACCCGGGATTGAACCAGGGACCTTTAGATCTTCAGTCTAACGCTCTCCCAACTGAGCTATCTCGGCCACCGTGATCCTACTGCTTTTGTCATTTCTTCAAAATACAGAAACTGCCATTTGTAGGGTCAGTGTATCTTCCAACGCCTAATTCTGTTGTCTTCAATATCACCCGTCATTCACTCACCTCCCCTCCACCCAAGAAATATAAGTTCTGCTGCAATTTATGTGTGAAATAGGATCCAATTTTCCCCAGCAAAAGATGGGAAAGAAAAGGCGAGGAATAGGTCAAATGAGGAAGATACTCCCATGCTTGGTCACCGTATAAAACACTGCTCAGAAAACTAAGGAATTCAAAATGAAATTATGTAGGCATTTCCTTTTCTCTTTTTTCGGATTTTCTTTTTCTGGCTTGCTCTTCAATGGCATGTCATAAAGGAACAGAAGATTAGTGGACACTTTAACACGGTAGTGGGCTTATAGCTTCCGAAAAAAGACATCCTGAGCGAGGTAGTTCTTTTTTTCTATTTTCTTCCTTTTACCAGTCTTGTGCTCACACATCCACCTTGGGTGGTACGGAGACCCAGGGAGTGAAAATGGAAAGTATAATATGTTTGTTTGTTTGTTTCTTTGTTTCTTTGTTTTGAGATGGAGTCCCGCTCTGTCTCCCAGGCTGGAGTGCAGTGGCACGATCTGGACTTAGTGCAACCTCCGTCTTTCAGGTTCAAGCGATTCTCCTGACTCAGTCTCTTCCAGTAGGTGGGATTACAGGCGCGCCCCACCACGCCCAGCTAATTTTTTTGTATTATTAGTAGAGACGAAGTTTCACCATGTTGATCAGTCTGGTCTCGCCTCGGCCTCCCAAAGTGCTAGGATTACAGGCTTGAGCCACCGTTCCCGGCCTATTCCTTGGAGTTCAGAGAATTGTGGTCTGCACATTGATGCATAAGAATTGTTTTTTTTTTTCCAGCTGGGTGCAGTGGCTCACGCCTGTAATCCCAGCACTTTGGGAGGCCAAGGCGAGCAGATCGCCTGAGGTCAGGAGTTGGAGACCAGCCTGTCCAACATAGTGAAACCCCATGTTGTCTCTACTGAAAACACAAAAATTAGCCCCGCGTCGAGGCGCGCCCCTGTAGTCCCAGCTACAGAATCTCTTGAACCCAGGAGGCAGAGGTTGCAGTGAGCCGAGATCACACCACTACACTCCAGCCTGGGTGACAGAGCAAGACTCCATCTCAAAAAAAAAAAAAAAAATTGCTTTTTACATACACATCTGTAATCATGAGATTGTATTTATTTATTTTTATTTTGACAGTGTCCCACTCTGCCAGACTGGAGTGCAGTGGCAATCTCCTCTCACTGCAACTTTCACCTCCTGGCTCAATCAGTTCTTCCACCTCAGCCTAGAAGTTTTATATCAATTCAAAAGTGTCAAGACATTGGACTCCTCTTGATAAATAACTTAAGAACAATTTAAGACGTTTACAGAATTTCAGAAACAGTTCTCTCTGGAATGAGGGAATTGCTATGGCCAATAATTACTTGCAAACTGAATTTTAATAAAACCCTCTCTATGTCTGGACAGTTTTCAAACTGAGTCTCCTATTCTGAAAGAGTCAAGGCTTTCAGTTTTAGCCAAAATTTGATGGAAGGGTCGATAAGAAATTGTTCTTGAAGCCAGGAGTGGTGGCTCACGCCTGTAATCCCAGCACTTTGGGAGGCAGAGGCGGGTGGATCACCTGAGGTCAGAAGTTCGAGACCAGCCTAGTCAACATGGTGAAACCCCGTCTCTACTAAATGCACATAAATTAGCCAGGCATGGTGGCGGGCGCCTATAATCCCAGCTACTCAGGAGGCTGAGGCAGGAGAATCGCTTGAACCCGGGAAGCAGAGGTTGCAGTGACCCGAGATCGCACCACTGCGCTCCAGCCTGGGCAACAAGAGCGAAACTTCGTTTCCCCCCCAAAAAATTGTTTCTGGATGATTAGATGATTTCCTAAAAATTAAATAAATAAAATTTATAAAATTATGTTCGCTTTCAGTCTTTGTCTTGTCCTCCCGCTTGTAAGGTCCGAGCCTTCTCAGACAGGAAACAACATTCCTCTGGGTTTATCCCCTCCGCCTCACGTCTCTCCCCAGCTGGGCGCAGCCTCAGCCTATGCTGCAGAAATGTTAAAAGTTGAACATACAGAGAGGAAAAAAATGGAACGTGATGCGGAAATTAAAACAGCAGCTACATATAAATCTCAACACAGTGCTTAAAATGTGTGTAAATGGTTCTAGGACTGCGCTGCACTATTGTGAAAAGTTCATTCAGAAGTAAATGGGAGGGAAGGTGGAGAGGAGCTGAGCGCCAGCTGGCGGAGAGAGGGAAAAGGAGGGGTGCCGTGAAGTGGAGGAAGAAAAACACAAATGGGAGAGAGATAGAGGGCAAGGAAAAGCATCCTTAAGATGATTCGGACTTGGATGGACGGGACCGTAGAGTGAATCTAAGCGCCACATCTCTCCGTCGCTTCCTCTGGCCGTGAGGGAAGAGAGGTGTCCCTAGGGAGGTAGGCTGGACCAGGAAGGAGACCTGGTTCGTTTCGCCCAGGCTGTCACGGCTTCAAGAGCGCCTCTCCGCTATTTCCGTCGCTCGACAGACGGGCTGAGCTCTTTGGAGTGATGTTGGGTTTTGGTTTGCGCCTCAGGAACCGCTGATACCGTAGCTTCTGAGGGAGCTTCAGGGATTGCCTGGCTTCCTAAGTGCCCGTGTTGAGAGTTAGAAGCGGGATCTGCCGGCAGCTAAGAGACTGAGCATGACGGCGGAAACATCTAATTTTATTAGTTTTTGCTTAAAATGCAAAAGATGAGAAAAAGTTACCGTTTCTTTGCTCCATATATATCTCCTAGAATAAAGCCAATCGAAAGCCAACTTCACCCTAAAGAAACTCTTCCTGGCGTTTGCAACGAGCTCCTTTACTCCTAACGTCCAGCTCTTGGCTCAGGACCTGCAGAGCGTCACAGCTGTTGCAGAAAGGCGAAGTCGAGGTACAATCGGTGTTAACTACGTGTGCAGCCACCGTCTTCTTAGTCCTGTTACAGGTGCAGAGGCAATATAAGTGAACCACTCACAAGTCGTGTGGGCTGACCTCAGATTGAGTTTAGCGATGACTTGTGACCACCTGGTAGATGGTGGACCGTTACAGCATTTAGAAAGTGAGTAAAAGAAAGGATGCATACGGAAGCCCACACGCTTGCTTGGCTCCTGCAGATGGATAGAGGTCACTTTTCTGCCTTCTGGGTGTTTAGTAACTTATTTTTTTTTTTGCTTTGTTGGCATGAAATAAAGATGAAAATAAAAGCAGATTTTCTTTTAACAAGTTAGTATTAACATGCTTGCAGAGTATTTCCCTGTGGATTTCTGCTTAGTACTGTAATACCAGAATCAGAAACTCTACAAAGAGCTCTCTAATCTGGAGGTATGGGTTGTTCCCTAGCTTAGAAGGAGGTTATTTCTGGAGAGTAAGTACAATCAGGTAGAAAAGGATCCGTTGGGCTTGGGAGAATAAACGTTCATTACTTTTATTTATGAAAAACAACAAAATGAGCTTTCTCCTATACTGATCTTGTTTCCTGGAGTTCAGAGTATTTGCATCTCAGACCAGAAACTTCCTTGAGGACCCAGAGAAGTACTTTTTACTTCCACCAAATTTCAGCTGAGGTGACTGCTATCTTTTCATCATTTGCCTTGTGTTTGTAGTTAAATAGTTTAAGTTTCAAACTATGTGGGTCTCTAATGGAAAAAGTGACCACCAGCACATCAAATCATCAACCACCGGCAGTGTAATCTTTTAGTGAAAGCTTGTAGGGCTTCTCAACCTGGTTAGAGGGAGTTAGAAGAAGAAACAGAAAAGGACGTGAGCCTTTTTAGCTTCTGATCTGAAATCAGACTTGGGCCACACAGTTCTATGGTTTCTGATGATTTCATTTACAACTAGAAATTGGTTGCATGGCCAGGAATACTGCTTGCTTCCCTCGTGCGTGGTTCATGTTAGTGATTGGTGGACTGCTTAGAAAATATAAGTGGATAATCCTAAGCAGCAAATAGATTCAAAGGAATAAACACGAGTCACCTCTGTGTATGAGAGAGAAATGCAGAGGCCAACACAATTCACCTTGACAGACAGAAAAATTTAAAGTTGGGGAATATCATGGACCGCTTCTCACTAGTGCCCGGGGAAGAAAACAAAACCTGGAGGTATTGGGGATTGAACCCAGGACCTCGTGCATGCTAAGCACGCGCTCTACCGCTGAGCTATACCCCCTCTGGAAGACTTGCCTTTTAGAGAATATTTTGATGACTATTATTGTCTGAGTCTGGGCTCTGTGTCATGATAATCTTTATGTTTTCAATTCCACTCTCAATTTCCTACAGGAAGTGTTTCCTCTCTTAGGCCCTGCTACACCAAAAGAAAGGTAGCTTAATAGTACAAATAAAGGCACTGTTCCTGATTTGTGGTCAGTCCAAGATCAACTCACCCCACGGTGGGCTCCCCATCGCGTTAGATTTCCTGGAGCATACTTGCATTCAATCATTTGAGTGTGTCCTGGCATACAACATTCTCTTGCAAATTTTCTGATTATAATGTTCTGTATTCTTTTGACTCTTGGAAGCGTGTTAGTCTCACATGGTCAAAAAATAAAACTGACTCAAGTGTGTGTGAAAATACCCTAAAATTCAACACAAATAGAGGCAAATTAAAACTGCATTGTGAAAGAATAACATAACCCCATTGAAATAACTGATTTAAGAAAATGCTTGACAAAGTTCGTTGTTCTAATTGTAAGTACAAAAAGAAGAGGAAACAAATCTTAAACTCTATGTATGAGGGTTTTTTTTTTAGAGCTAAGGCTGCAGGAATTCTGAGATTTTGTGTGAATTTTAGGATTGGGAAAATGAGTGTGTGTGAGCGCGTGTGTTGTTGGAAACAGGCTGTCACTGTAAGAGAAAGCAGGTAAAGAATAGTCCTGTTGGTGTTGATGGGAATTGGAGGCATCAGTATGAAATTATACATATGTAATTGTATAGGCCGGGCGCGGTGGCTCACGCTTGTAGTCTCAGCACTTTGGGAGGTTGAGACGTGTGGATCGCTTCAGGTCAGAAATCGAGAACAGCCTGGCCAACATGGCAAAACGCCGTTTCTCCTAAAAATACAAAAATTTGACGGGTGTGGTGGCCGCCCCTGTAGTCCCAGCTATTCGGGAGGCTGAGGCAGGATAATCGCTTGAATTCGGGAGGCGGACGTTGCAGCGAGCCAAGATCGCACCACCGCACTCCAGCCTGGGCGACTAAGACTCTGTCTCAAAAAATAAAAATAGTACATTTTCCCTACAGATCTGTCTGCTAACTGAGCCTGGAAGAAATACCTTAGAAACAATGAGCAAGATGACTCTATATTTTGATTTTCAAATACCATTCTCTACTAAAAGGAACCAGAGATACTAATAGAAAGTAGCTACTAGTGTCAACTACACTGACTCCAGGACTGTGCCAGGGAAACTACAAGATGAACCTAAAATATCTTGCTGTGCCAGAATGATGGGGATGATTTAAAAGAACACAGAAGCTCCGGGGTGGCTCACGCCTGTAAACCCAGCACTTTGGGAGACCGAGGCGGGCGGATCACCAGAGGTTAGGAGTTCCAGACCCGCCTGGCCAACATGGTGAAGTCCCGTCTCTACTAAAAATACAAAAAATGGCCTGGCATGGTGGCTCATGCCTCTAATCCCAACTACTTGGGAAGCAGAGGTAGGAGAATCGCATGAACCCGGGAGGCGGAGGTTGCAGTGAGCCGAGATCGCACCACTGCACTCCAGCCTGGACGACAGGGCAAGACCTGTCTCAATAAATAAATAAATAATAAAGTACATGAGAAAAATAATAGTGTGTGTGTGTGTTTAGCCGTAAAGAGAGAGGAGAATCATTGTGGCAAAATATCGGGAATTGGTAAATATGAGTAACTTGTGTGTGGCAGTTCTTTGTATCATTTTTGCAACTTTTCTGTAGGTTTGAAATAATTTCAAACTAAAAAGGTTTTTCTAAATTCTCCCTTCTCAAATTTCTTTTCCCTCTTCCTTCAAGGGCTGTACTCTTCTATCAAGAGTAACGTAGATGGATACTAAAACAGAAGGGTCAGTACCGTCTCGGGGGATTTAGGTGCAGGTGAGGAGGTGAGAAAGTGGAATTCCCAGCTCTTAGAAACGAAGACCCAGGAGCGTGGGTCGCTGCCCGTCCTTACCCTGCCAGCGCCTGGGCCAGCACCATGGTCGCGAAACCCAGCATGGATTTCGTCTTGGGGACGCTATGGCTCCAGTTCTGACACTCAAGAAACGATGGATGGAGAGGAGAACGAGGACCACCTTCGAAAAGAGTTCGAGAGGGAAGCAGGGACGCGGTGGGGTGCGCACCTGCGGCGGCGGCGGCAAAGGCGGAGGAGAAGCGAAGTGGGCGAGCGCCCGAGGCTGCCAGAGGATCTGGGTGGGCCGGAAGGCGGAGTGCAGCCCGGAAGCCCATCTCCGCTGCTTTTCCTCGCTGTCCGCGATAAGCGAGAGGGCTCATTCCCTGTTGGAGAAGTGAGCTGAAAACACTTTCCTCGCAAGATCTCCCTCGTTTTGCTCAAGGCAGTCGCGGCGTTGAGAACGCCTCGCAGCTCCTTTACTGGCTGGGGCACTGGGGAGAACGGGTACCCTTGAGTTTTGGTACAGGCGGGTGGTATTAGTGGCTTCCAAGGAAACGACAGAGAAGCCGCCTATTTCCAATCCCTACTGTTAGCGAGGGGGAGAGTGTTTAACCGGGAAGAGAGACCCTCCCGCTGAAGCATAGGGTCCTTTGTTATAGATAGGAAGAGTGTTCTTTGCTTTTGTTTTTGTTATAGCTTGTCAAGCTTGGAATACAAGGCATGAAAAACAAGAAAGGTAAGGCAGTCCCAGTATATTTTAAACTTACGAGGGTTTTCAGAAGGAGTACTACCTTGTTTTTATGGAATTCAGGGTGTCCAGATTTCAACCTACCTAGCAGAGTGAAGCTCTATGAGTCTAATATCTTGGCTTTCTTCCACATCAGCAAGCCTCTGAAATTCGGGTTTCTTTCTGGACAATATCACCTACATTTTGCAGTCGGCTCCTATATTGCCTGCATCCAACTCGTGGAAGCAAGAACAGTGGGAAAAGCCAAGGTTACCACATAAAAGAAGATCCTTACATGAGACAAGTGTAAATAAAGCAGCAGCTGAGGTGTGTGTAGAGGAAGAGACAAACGTGAAAATGTAGAAAGTGGATACAGAATTTTTTCCAAGGAGGAAGAGGAATGGTCTGCTCACAACGAGGAACTCTCTACTTACTGCTGCAAAGATACTTTTATTACATTTCATGCATATGCTGGATTTTAACAACCAGAACATTGGTAGACTTGGTGGGGGCTGGAGAGACAGCAGTCACTCCCAACCCTGAGGATGAGTCCTCACCCTGAGGGTGGAGAGAAAATGATTACTCTCTGCCACAGGGCTTAGAATCGTCCAAGCCTGGGTTTCAAATTGCAAGGCCCAAATAGCTTGAGAGAGCTCCAGGTATTTCAGCTCAAAAGAGTCTCCTGGTTCAAGAGAATTCCTGTGAGTTCCTCCACAGGAAAATCAGTCTGTTGTGTGTGACCTGAAAAGTTGCATAAATATTCAAAGGGTCAAAGAAATGGTAAATTCAACCCCATCCCTGACATAAGACGAATACAAACCTCACTGGCTTTCCTAGGTTTGTGTTTTTGATTGAGAATAGGCAGGGAACCCCAGGACCAACTCTTCCTCCTCAGCAGGTGCCTGACCCTGGGACTTCCTGAAACTTCTAGAGCAGTGCTTCACAAACTTTAGCATCAGAGTCACTTGAAGGCTTATTCAAACACAGGAGGCTGAGCCCCATCCATACTCAGCAGTTCTGATTCAATAGACCTAAGGTTGGGCCTGAAATTTATTATTCTGATTGCAGCACCCTAATCCTCCACCCCTTGCTCTCCTATGCAGTGTCCACTGTGGCTAACATGCCACTGTTTGCCTGGAGAGAACCAATGGATACCAGGAAATTAAAGAAGAAAAAGTATGAAACAAAAAGAAAATACATGGCATGTGTGTATTACCTTCCTCCAAAAAATGTGTCTCAAAACAAACATATGATTGGTCTGGAGGCACACACACAGCCAGTCCTCAGCTAAGCAGGTTTCATCAGACAGTATCCCTCCTGGATGCTGGTTATAGATATTCTCACTGGACAAAAGAATCAAGTAAGGTCATGTTAGCCTCATAGAGTGTATCTATCATGCCAGCCTGATAGGCTGGTGGACTAGGAACAAACATCATACTCTCTTGCCTCTCAAAGACACTTTAATTCAATAGGAAATATGTACAGAGAGAACAGCAGTTTTGAAACCATACACCGTTGGAAACCATAAAAGGTTTCATGAGTGCATAGGATTTCTTGGGAGTTCCCTCTCCAAAAAAAGCGATGTAATCAGGTGGATCGAGAAAGAACATGAAATGTTTGTTTGTTTTTTCCCAAGGCAGGAAGTGCCCAACACACCTGCGATCTACTTATCTTTTAGTCTGCATGTATTTTGCATTGTGACAGAAAACCTTTTCCTAGTTTTTCATATGGGGCCTCCGTTTGCTCTTACCAGAAGTTCCCAGGCAATATTTTATTGTAAAGAGGAAAATGGAGTGACTGAGGAAATACAGGAATACAAATCAGTCTTATGGAACATCAGTAGGGAATGTTGATCCGTATTGGTTTCTGCTTCTCGCACGTTGAAGGCCTCTAATTCCCCGACAGTCTTCGTGTGGTTATCCAGCGCCCTGCCACTCCCATCTCAAGCGACTGGAGAGCCACAGCCCTTGTCTCAGTACTGGATCACACTGGTAGCTGTGTTCTCCGCGCAGGTAGACAGGGAGAGACTGGTGGAGAAATCAGTGAACAGAGGCTTTCGCTCTGTTCTTTGGCCCAGAAAACAAAAATAACTTAAAAAAAAATAGATGCCTTCAGGGCGCTTTTCTCCCTTCTCCTTTGTCTTTGCGTCTCATTAATCATAGTACAAAATGGGAGTGAAAGCGAGCCGCCTGTGAATGTGCACGCTTTTGTTTGGGTTCAAGAGACCGTGTTGCGATCCCGTTCTTCTTTCCCCCTCATTTCTTGTTTGTCTCCCTTCTGCTGTGGCAATCGCCTTTGGTGATGTCGAGGTTCACAGCATAACCAGTGGAGATAGTTCAAGGCTGAACATTGGGCTACACTTTTACTGTCTATATGTGCAGAAATAGGATAGAAAAACGTGAGGAGGCAGAAGTCTGTCGCTTGAAAACTACCAGAGCAAAACCATCGCTTGGAGGTGTCGGGGATCGAACCCGAGGCCTCATACATGCAAAGCATGCGCTCTACCACTGAGCTACACCCCCTTACTATAAGGTCTCTTTGTAATAATTTTCAGGAGGTAACTTTCATTTCCTGAGACTCCGTGAGCATGCTGGTAGTAGTGGTCAGTATTATGGAGTGCGGAGAGCTGTTCTGAGCAGGAGATACTTGGTACTAATGGGGGATACAGATTCTTTAGAATACTGTGTAGGACTTGAAACGAAAAACGAAAGATTAGAAAAGTGTCAGATAATAACCACAAGAAGTTTCCATTGTGGCCTCAAGACGTTGAGTTCTTAGGGTCTCCTTCTATTATGCTTGGCAAGAATCAAGTTCAGGTTTTCGTTTCTTTTAATTTCTCCCAGATACGACACAAAGCCATTGAAATTCAGCCTTTTCCTGCCTAAAACGCTTCATAATTGTTGTTTGCTCAATCGGAATATTAAAGATAAGATTTGATGGAGGAAAGCCACAATCAGAAGAAAACCTGACAGCGATGCACTTAGCATTTTTTCATAAGGGTCCTTAGCTGGCGTGGTGTCTTACGCCTGTACTCCCAGCTACTCTAGAGGCTGAGGCACGAGGATCGCTTGAGCTCGGGAGTTAGTTGTTGTAGGGAGCTATGACTGTGCCACTGTCCTCCAGCCTGGGCAACAGAGAGAGAAGGGAAGGGGAGGGGAGGGAAAGGGGGAGAAGAGGGGAGACGAGGGGAGAAGAGGGGAGGGGAGGGGAAGGGATTCATAAGGCGTGAATGAAAAACAGCTATGGGGATGGAGAGAAGGGTTGAATTATGAGAATAAGACCGAAGATAAATACAAACAGGGTTGAAGAATGCTTTAGAAAAACAAACACAGCAGGTGCAGAAAAGGGGAGAGGTTTTAACAGCTCTTTTAGGAATGAGAGATAGACTGGAAGATGGAGAAGATGAGTTAGTTTGGCTCATACTCAATTTAAAGTATCTGTGGGGCACACTTGTGAGGATGTTTCTCAGAGAATTCAGGCAATTAACTCTGTCTCTAGCCTGGGATTTGTAAGCATTAATAGTAGTAGACACATTACATGGAGGATGGATAAAGACTAAAAAAGTGTACTTTGAGATATGGAAATTACAAACCTATTCGTGATATTTGTAGTGAACAAACAAGTTTGTTTGTTCTTGAATTCAAAAGTTCTTGAATCTTGGGACTTATCGTGTGTCCTTTGAATTACATAAGAAGATGAGAAGAAAACCTATTTCTCAGCACCAAATTTCTAGTGACTATTAACTCTTTCTCATTCTGGTTTGCCTATATAAGAGCCTTTGCCAATGTTAATAAAGTAACATTGATGGCTTTCAAAATTGCCAAATTGCAAGTTGTATGTCAGACTTGGCTTTTCAGTTGGCTGATGGGATTTCTAGAATAAAAATAGGAAACACTGAGTGATAGACTTCACTGAAGGAGAAACTAGAGAATTGTTATAGACAAAATTGATGTGTATTCATGTGTGTTTGCCTGCCTGACTGTGTCTGTGTGTGTGCATGTAAATGATGGGAAGGATTATCTTGGCTCTTTGATGCTGTAAAAGCAATATTAGGACAGTTTGCAGAAACTCTCCTTCATCTTTATGTTGTGTTACACCCAGAGAAACTTGGCTGTCTATTGGATTCTTGGGAATTCATAATAAGAAGGTTGCCTCATAAAAATGGGAGAATTTTAAATAATTAAATATCTGTAGCTATCTTCAGACTATCTACCAGCAACACGATTGAAACATGTTTTTTGTGTGAAATCTGTAGGATGAGCTCATTTAACATAGCATTCTTCTGAGAAATTAAACATTTAATTTTGAAGACAGAACACCCTGTCATACACACTCAATTTCGAAAACCTAAAAATATATAAAGTATATGTTTAAATCTGCACTGTCCAATATGGTTACCATTAGCCACATTGGGTATTGAGTACTGAAAATTGCCTAGTCTAAGTTAAGATGTGTTGAAAGTGAGAAATATATACCAGATTTCAAAGATGTAATTTTTTTTTCATGGAGTCTCGCTCTGCCACCTAACCTGGAGTGCAGTGGTGCAATCTTGGCTCACAGCAACCTCCACCTGTTGGGTTCAATCCATTCTCCTGCCTCAGCCTCCTGAGTAACTGGGACTACAGGCGCGCACCACCATGCCTGGCAATTTTTCTTTTTCTTTTTTTTTTTTTTTAGTAGAGACAGGGTTTCACCATGCTGGCCAGGCTGGTCCCAAACTCCTGACCTTGTCATCTGCCCTCCTCGGCCTCCCAAAGTGCTGGGATTACAGGCATGGGCCGCCGCACCTGGCCAGATGTAATATCATTTTTTAAACATAAAATGTCTCACTGATAATTTTAAGATTGATTACTTGTTAAAATAATATTTTGGACATGCAAGGTGATTTACATATATTAGTAAAACTGGACATAAAAGATGGAAACAATAGACACTGGGGACTACTAGAGGGGGAGGCGAGAAGGGGAAAGGCTTGAAAAGCTAACTATTGGATACTATGTTCACCACCCAGGTGATGGGATTAATCTCACCCCAACCCCAGCATCATGCACTATACCCATGTAACAAACCTGGACATGTACCCCCTGAATCTAAAATAAAAGTTGAAATTATTATTATTAGTATTATTATTTTGAGACAGAGTCTTGCTCTGTCTCTCAGGCTAGAGTACAGTGGCGCTATCTGGGCTCACTGCAAACTCCTCCTCCAGGTTTCAAGTGATTCTCCTATCTCAGACTCCCAAGTAGCTGAAATTACAGGCATGCACCACCACACCCAGCTAATTTTTGTATTTTTATTAGAGACAGGGTTTCACCATATTGGTCAGGTTGGTCTTGAACCCCTGACCTCAGGTGTTCCGCGCACCTCGGCCTCCCAAAGGGCTGGGATTACAGGTATGACCCACCTTGCCTATCTAAAAGTTGAAATTGTTAAAAAATTATATAAAATAAGTATTGCCTGTTTATTTTTTAAATGTGACTACTAGAAAATTTAAAACTACAGAAGTGGCTCTCATTTAAGATTTGTATTAACTTTTTTAAAAATTCTTTTTATCCCAGAAGCTAAAGCAGAAGACTTGTAGTATCTTTTGATTGGACAGCATTGTCTAGAGACGATGTTATCTATTTAGGTGCTGTTCTGGGAGAATCCCAGAGCCAAAGGACATGGAGCATGGTCTGCCAGTAATTAGGTTTCATGCCGCGAGTGGACTTGACTAAATGCATTTCCATGCATGATCTCCTTAGACCTTTGCAACATCCCATTTTACATAATCATTATTAGCCTCATTTTTAAGGTATTGAATGAGAGACGAATCATGCTTAGAATTACCCTAGGCGTTTCATTTCAACAAAATGTAAAGGAATCACTACTGTGCTAGGCAAGAAAACATTCAATCCTGCCATTTGTCTAATCAAATGTTTCCTTTTTTTTTTCTTTTTTTAAGACAGAGTCTTGCTCTTGTTGCCTAGGGTGGAGTGCAATGTTGCGATCTTGGCTCACTGCAACCTCCGCTTCCCGGGTTCAAGGGATTCTCCTGCCTCAGCCTCTCGAGTAGCTGGGATTACAGGCATCCACCACCACACCCAGCTAATTTATTATTATTATTATTATTATTGTTATTATTATTATTTTGTATTTTTAGTAGTGACAGGGTATCACCATGTTGGCCAGGCAGGTCTTAAACTTCTGATCTCAGGTGATCTACCCGCCTCAGCCTCCCAAAGTGCTGAGATTACAGGCGTGAGCCACCACGCCCAGCCTATCAAATATTTCTTAATGAAATAAAACACAGGCTTCTGAGTTGAGAAAGCCTCAGTGACTTAAAGGGTAAAGTATCTGATTCCTAGTTCCTGTACAGTCAATGTCCCCACCCTGAGGTTGGTCTCTCATTTGGTACCAATTTTCCTTTCACAATTTGATGCAGTTCTGATGTTGGAGTACTGTAGTTTATTGTCTCCTCACACAGTATGCAGGTGTTAGGGGAAAATAACACTGAAAATGAAACACCAATTTGAAAGAAGAAAAGATATTAAAAATGACCAAAAAAAATCAGACAAAAAAAAAAAAAAAAAAAAACAGGACAAAAAAGGCCCATTATCCCAACACAAAATTTCAAGAGAGGAGTTGAAGTAAAAAAAAGGAAAATGGGGCACATCCACCTGAGTCTTGACAGAATAATTAATTTAGAAATACTTATTTTTGACTGGACGCAGTGGCTCACATCTATAATCCCAGCACTTTGGGAGGCCGAGGCAGGTAGATCACGAGGTCAGGAGTTGGAGACCAGGCTGGCCAACATGGTGAAATCCCGTCTTTACTAAAAATACAAAAATTAGTCAGGCATGGTGGTGGACGCCTGTAATCCCAGCTGCTTGGGAGGCTGCAGCAGGAGAATTGCTTGTGCCGGGGAGGCGGAGGTTGCAGTGAGCTGAGATCGTTCCACTGCACTCTAGCATGGGTAACATAGCAAGATTCTGTCTCAAAAAAAAAAAAAAAAAGAAAAAAGAAAGAAAGACTTATTTTTGTTCTTTCCTGGATACCAATGAGGAAATAACTTAAGATTTGGAAATTCTAGGCAAGGTTTCCAGGCTAAAGAAATGTCCTGTCAGTAAGAAACTTAAAAATATTCCTGTAATTAGGACTGGTGCGGTGGTTCCCACCTGTAATCCCAGCACGTAGGGAGGCAGAAGCGGGCAGGTTGCTTGAGCCCAGGATTTCAAGAACAGCTGGGGGAACATGGTGAAACCCAGTTTCTACAAAAAAAAAGTACAAAAGAGAGAGAGAGAAAGCCAGGCTTGTTGTTGCATTTCTGTAGTCTCAGCTACCCAGGAGGCTGACATGGGAGGATCGCTTGAGTCCAGGGAGGCTGAGGCTGCAGTGAGCTGTGATCATACCACTGCACTCCAGCATGGGTGACAGAGTGAGACCCTGCCTCAAAAAAACAAAACAGGGCCGGGCGCGGTGGTTCACACTGTAATCCCAGCACTTTGGGAGGCCGAGGTGGGTGGATCACGAGGTCAGTAGATCGAGACCATCCCAGCTAACATGGTGAAACCCCGTCTCTACTAAAAATACAAAAAATTAGCTGGGCGTGGTGGTGGGCGCCTGTAGTCCCAGCTACTCGGGAGCCTGAGGCAGGAGAATGGCGTGGACCCGGGAGGCGGCGCTTGCAGTAAGCCGAGATCGTGCCACTGCACTACAGCCTGGGCGACAGAGCGAGACTCCGTCTCAAAAAAAAGAAAGTTATTTTCCCAGCAGTTTAACTGCAGAGCTATGGAGTTGACTCAAGATACAAACCGAGGTGTTTCTTTCTTTTTTTTTTTTTGAGACGGAGTGTCGCTCTGTCACCCAGGCTGGATTGCAGTGGTGCGATCTCAGCTCACTGCAAGCTCCGCCTCCCGGGTTCACGCCATTCTCCTGCCTCAGCCTCCTGAGTAGCTGAGACTACAGGCGCCCGCCACCGCGCCCCACTAATTTTTTTGTACTTTTAGTAGAGACGGGGGTTTCACCGTGGTCTCGATCTCCTGACCTCGTGATCCACCCGCTTCGGCCTCCCAAAGTGCTGGGATTACAGGCCTGAGCCACTGCGCCCGGCCAAACCGAGGTTTTTGGAATTGCAAAATGTTTCTTGAATATACCACTACCACATATATACACTCATACAGCATAATAGTTCTTCTACAGGTTTCTTCATAGTTCTTGTGATTTAAAACACCCCTGCCCAACACACATAAATAACATCAAATCAGAAATGAATTGTAATTGCCACAGTCTATAGCATATTGGAATTTCTTAGGTTTTAAAATTAGTAACTTTCTAGATTTAAGATTTTAAATAATTTACATACCATCAGTTAACACTTCATGGAAGACTTCAGTGGAGAGAGTGATACAAATATACATACATATATATATACATTACCTTTATGGAATTTTCAAAAAGCAAAAAATGGGAGTTATATATAGACCTCTGGGATTGGTGTGCAAGTGTTGTATAAAGGAAAGACAATTATGCAACAACCAAAAGGTATCTGCCGAAACCCGGGATTGAACCAGGGACCTTTAAGATCTTCGGTCTAACGCTCTCCCAACTGAGCTATTTCGGCTACTCTGGAGCTGTCCCGTTGGTCATTTCTTCAAAATATAAAAACTGCAATTTGTAAGGTCAGTGTATCTTCCAACGCCTAATTCGGTTGTCTTCAATATCACCCGTCATTCACTCACCTCCTCCCAATCCAAAAATATAAATTCTGCTGTAATTTATGTATGAAAATAGGATCCAATTTTCCCCGGCAAAAGACGGGAAAGAAAAGACGAGACGGCCGGGCACGGTGGCTCACGCCTGTAATCTCAGCATTTTGCGAAGCCGTGGAGGGTGGATCACTTGAGGTCAGGAGTTCAAGACCAGCCTGGCCAACATGGTGAAATCCCTTCTTTACAAGAAATATAAAAATTAGCCAGGAGAGGTGGCGCACGCCTGTAGTTTCAGCTACTTCGGAGGCTGAGGCAGGAGAATCGCTTGAACCAGGGAGTTCGAGGCTGCAGTGAGCCGAGATCGCGCCACTGCACTCCAGCCTGGGCGACAGCGAGACTCTGTCTCTAAAAAAAAAAAAAAAAAAAAAAAGGCGAGGAATAGGTCAAATCAGCAAGATAGATGCTCCCATGCTTGGTCACCTTGGAAACACCACTCAGAAAACTAAAGGAAACTATCTAAAACTAAAATGAAATTATCTAGACTTTTCCTTTTCTCTCCTTTTGGCTCTTTTTTGTTTTGTTTTCTGTCTTGCTCTTCAATGACATGGCAAAAAGGAACAGAAGATTATTGAACACGTTAACCTGGTAGTAGGTTTATAGCTTCCGACTGAAGAAATCCTGAGCGAGCCAATTCTTTTTCTCTGTTTCCTTCCTTTTACTGATCTAGTGCTAACACATCCACCTTAGGTGGTACAGAGAGCCAGGGGTGGAAAAGGCAAGCATATGTTTATTTTAGTGTGACCACGCTATATATATATATATATATATATATATATATATATATATATATACACACACATATAAATATGAAATATATATAAATTAAAAATGTAAATATATTGTTGATATAGATATTATATATAATATAAAATATACATGTATCTCTCTCTCTATATATATATATAGAGAGAGAGAGAGAGAGAAGATTCCAGCGAGTGAGAGAGAGAGAGAGAGAGACAGGGTCCCACTCTGCCAGCCTGGAGTGCAGTGGCAATCTCCTCTCATTGCAACTTTCGCCTCCAGGCTCAATCCGTTCTCCCACCTCAGCCTAGAAATTCTTATATCACTTCAAAAGTGTGAAAACATTGGACTCCTCTTGTTAAATAACTTAGAAACAATTTCAGAGTTTACCGAATTTCAGAAACAATCCTCTCTGGAATGAGGAAATAGCTACAGCCAACAACGACTTGCAAATTGAATTTTAATAAAACCGTCCCTATGTCTGGACAGTTTTCAAACTCAGTCTCCTATTCCGAGAGAGTCCAGGCTTTCTGTTTTTAGCCAAAATTTGTTGGGAGGGTCAATTAAAATATTTTTTGAATAATTTCCTCAAAAATTTTAGATTCTCTTACAGGCTTTTTTCTTTTTTTCTCTCCCTCTTGTAAGGCCCGAACCTCCCCAGACAGGAAACAACATTCCTCCAGGTTTATCCCCGCCGCCTGACGTCTCTCCCCATCTGGACGCAGCCTCAGCCTATGCTGCAGAAAACGTTTGAAGTTGAGCATATAGAGAAGGAAAAAAAAAGAAAGGAAAGTGATGTGGAAATTAAAACAGTGGCTACATATAAATCTCAGCACAGTGCTTAGAATGTGTGTAAATGGTTCTAGGAGTGCACTGCACTATTGTGAAAAGTTCATTCAGAAGTAAACGGGAGGGAAGGTGGAGAGGAGCCGAGGGCCAGCTGGCGGAGAGAGGGAAGAGGCGGGGTGCGGTGAAGTGGAGAAAGAAACATAAAAAGGGAGAGGGGTAGAGGACAAGGAAAAGCATCCTCAAGATTATTAGGATTTGGATGGACGGGATGTTAGAGTGAGTCTAAGCACTCACCTCTCCGTCGCTTCTTCTGGATATGAGGGAAGAGAGGTAGGGAGGTAGGCTAGACCAGGAAAGGGACCTGGTTCTTTTCGTCCAGACTGCCACGGCTGCGAGAGCGCCTCGCCGCTCTTTCCATCGCTCGATAGACAGGCTAGGCTCTTTGGAGGAGCACGTGATGTTGCGTTTTTTGTTTGCGGGTTCGGGAACCGCTGATACTGATAGCTTCTGAGGGAGCTGCAGGGATTTCCCGATTTCCTGAGTGTCTGTGTTGAGAGTTAAAAGCGGAATCTGCCGACAGCTTCGAGACTGAGCAGGACAGTGGAAACGTCTAATTTTATTAGGCTTGAAATGCAGAAGATGAGAAAGAAAGTTCCCGTTTGTTTGCTCCACATGTTTCCTTTAGAATGAAGCCGATTGGAAGTCAACTTCACCCTGAAGAAATTCCTCCTGGCGTTTACAATGAGCTTCTTTACTCCCCAAGTCCAGCTCTTGGCTCAAAAGGGCTCTGCAGGTTGGTACAAAGGCTGCGGAAAGGCGAAGTCGCGGTACAATCGGTGTTAACTACATGTGCAGCCACCGTCTTCTTAGTCTTATTACAGGTGCAGAGGTAATATAGGTGAATCCCTCACAAGTTGAGTGGGTTGACCTCAAAATTGACTTTAGCGATGGCTTGTGACCACCTGGTAGGTGGTGGACCATTACAGCGTTTGGAAAATGAGTAAAACAAAGGATGCATACGGAAGCCCCACTAGCTTGCTTGGCTTCTGCAGATGCAGAGAGAGGTCGTTTTTCTGCCTTCTGGGTGTTGAGTAACTTAATTTTTTATCTTTTGTTTAAATGAAATAGAGCTGAAAATAGAAGGCGATTTCCTTTTAACGAGATAGTATTGAGATGCTTGCAGAGTATCCCCGCGTGGATTCTGCTTAGCTCTGTGATACCAGCATCAGAAACTGTGCAAAGAGCTCTAATCTGGAGGTGTGGGTTGTTCAGTAGCTTAGAAAGAGGTTATTCCTGGAGAATAAGTGCAGCAGGTAGAAAAGGATCCATTGGGATTGGGAGAATAAAAGTTCATTCATTATTTTTATTGATGGAAAACAAAGAAATGAGCTTTACCCTATACTGATCTTGGTTCCTGGAGTTCCGAGTGCTTGCATCTCAGGGCAGAAACTTCCTTAGAGGACCCAGAGAAATATGTTCCCCCTACCAAATGTCAGCTGAAGTGACTGTGATCTTTTTCTCATTTGTCATTATATTTGCCATTTATTGTATTCTTGTAGTTAAATAGTTTACATTAAGTTTTAGAGTTTGTGGGTTTCTAATGGAAAAAGTGACCACCAGCACATCAGGTCCTCAGCCACTGGCAGTGAAATCTTTTAGTGAAAGCTTGTAGGGCTTCTGCAACCTGGGTTAGAAGAAGAAATACAAGGCCAAGCATGGTAGCACACGCCTGTAATCCCAGCACTTTGGAAGTCTGAGGTGGGCAGATCACCTGAGGTCGGGAGTTCTAGACTAGCCTGACCAACAGGGAGAAACCCCCATCTCTACTAAAAATACAAAATTAGCCAGGCATGGTGGTGCATGGTTGTAATCCCAGCTACTCAGGAGGCTGAGGCAGGAGAATCACTTGAATCCGGGAGGCAGAGGTTGTGGTGAGCCAAGATTGTGCTATTGCACTCCAGCCTGGGCAACAAGAGTGAAACTCTGTCTCAAACAAACAAACAAACAAACAAACAAACACCACACGCAGGAAAGGACTTGCGCCACGTGGTTCTATGGTTTCTGATTATTTCATTTACAACTAGAAATAGGCTGGAGGGCCAGGAGTAGTACTTGCTTCCATAGTGCGTGGTTCACCTTAGTGACTGCTGGGACTGCTTAGAAAGAATAGGTGGATAATCGTAAGCAGCAAATAACCTTAAGTGAATGAACACGAATTACCTCTCTGTATGAGAGAGAGATGTAGAGGTCAACCCAAATATCTTGACAAGGCAGGACATTCTGGACAGCTGGGGAAGGTCATGGAGCTCTTCTTACAGTGCCACAGGGAAGAAAATGGACCTCTGGAGGTACTGGGGAATCAGCCCAAGACCTCGTGCATGATAAGTACACTCTCTACCACTGAGCTATACCCCCTCATACCTCCTGTGTATTTGGAAAACTGGTGACCACCATTATCTGAGTATGTGCTCTATGTCATAAAGACAATTACCATGTGTTTCCAATTCCACTGTTTATGATTTCCCTATATCTAAGTGCCCCCTCTCTTAGGCACGGTTACATCAAGAAAAGGTACGTTAACAGTAAAAAGAAAAACACTGTTCCTGATTTGGGATCAGCAAATCTATTTCCAAATAGAGCATTTCAAAAGTATAACATAACCACATTGAAAATTCAGGAAAGAATTGACCTAAGAAAATGGTTTATACATTGTTCTCATTGTAAAAAGAAAAAGAACAGCAAGCATATCTTAAACTCTATGTATCAGGAATATTTTCTGTAATGCTAAGGCAATAGCAATTCTGATATTTTGTGTGAATTTTAGGATTGGAAAAATGAGCATGTGTGCGCCTGTATGTTGTTGGAACCAGGCTCTCACTGTGGGAAAGGAGGAAGGTAAAGAATAGTCCTATTGGTGATGATGGGAATTAGAGGCATCAGTATGAAATTATACACTTAATTGTAAAATTTCTCCACAGATCTCTCTGCTAATTGGGCCTAGAAGAAATGATACCTCAGATGCAATGAGCAAAGATAATTCTATATATTGATTTTCAAATACCACTCCCTACTAAAAGGAACCAGCGATACTGATAGAAAGTAGCTACTGGTGTCAACTACACTGACTCCGGGACTGTGCCAGGGAAACTACAAGATGAACCTAAGATATCTTGCTGTGCCAGAATGTAGGTGCTCAGAATTGATGGGTATGATTTGAAAGGACAGAGAAGCCAGCTTGAAAGGGATCTCAATGGCCAAATCTGACACATTTTGAGCATTAATGATGACAATAAGTGATTATCAATCTTGGGAACTTAAACACATAAATATGGAAGATGGGAAGATTTTCCTTACAGTTGTGTGCCAAGTGATAAATGTGGAAGTAAGGATAAAATTAGAAAATCCTCATTTGGGCTGGGCGTGGTGGCTCACGTCTGTAATTCCAGCACTTTGGGAGGCCGAGGCAGGGGGATCACCTGAGGTTGGGAGTTCGAGACCAGCCTGACCAACATGGAGAAACCCCGTCTCTACTAAAAATACAAAACTGTGGTGAGCCGAGATCACACCATTGCACTCCAGCCTGGGCAAGAAGAGCGAAATTCTATCTCAAAAAAAATAATAATAATAATAATAAATAATGAGAAAAACTGACATCACATGCCTCTTGGTGTGATAGAGGGTAACATGATTTCTGTGACATTTCCATGACCTGAATGTAACCATGACTACACAAATTAAGAAACATTCAACAAAACCACTGGCATATGCTCTTCAAAAACATATTCATGAAAGACAAGAAGATTAAGAATCTGTTCCAAAGTGAAGGAGACTGAAAAGTCAAGACAACTAGATTCATATGTGATTCTGAAATGGCACCTAGTTTGGGAGAGAAATTCCTATAAAAGATTTTATTGATACAATTAAAATTTTTATAGACTGTATATTAGAGAATACTATTTTATCAATGTTAAGTTCTCTAAATTTGATAATTGTGCTGTGGTAAGAAATTGACCTTGTTCTTAGGAAATACACATTGAAGTATTTAGGAATAAAAAGATATAATGTCTGAAAATCATTATCAAATAGTTTAGAGAAATAATTTTTGTCATATGTACATATACATATATATACACACACACATACACACACACACATATATATTCCACTGTTGCTGATTGGTTGTTGAGGTGAGGAAGAGGCAAGACCGTGTTCTGAAATAATGTCAAGATTTGGACGATATGTGTTTCTCAAATGGTTCCCATTCCATTTTAAATGTTGCTAGGCTGAGACAAAGATACAAATTCCCCAATTTATATTAGAATTTAGCAGGTAGTTTATTTTGTTTTGTTTTGAGACAGAGTTTTGCTCTTGTTGCCCAGGCTGGAGTGCGATGGGAGGATCTTGGCTCACTGCAAACTCTGCCACCTGGGTTCAAGCAATTCTCCTGCCTCAGACTCCCAAGTACCTGGGATTACAGGTGTGTGCCACCACTCCCGACTAATTTTGTATTTTTAGTAGAGATGGGGGTTTCACCATGTTGGTCAGGATGGTCTCAAACCCCCAACCTGAGGTGATCTGCCCGCCTCGGCCTCCCAAAGTGTTGGGATTACAGGCGTGAGCCACTGTGCGCAGCCAACTCCTTTATAATCTTATAAGACCACCGTAGGATATGTGGTCTGTGGTTTACTAAAATGTCAACATGTAGCACATTACTGCACTCATATCAGATTTTTGGCCTCCAGAAGTGTGAAAGAATAAATTTCTGTTGTTATAAGCCATCTAATTTGAGATAATTTGTTACAGCAGCCATAGGAAACTAATCAATGACAAGCTTATTCTACTCTGCCAACTGCCTTGAGTGGTTTTGAGGCTCATGAAGTCTAAATAACGTAATATTGAAATTAACATCTTGGCAAAATTCAACAGCCCTTCATGCTAAAAACTCTCAATAAACTAGGTATTGATGTGATGTATCTCAAAATAATAAGAGCTATTTATGAAAAACCCACAGCCAATATCATATTGAATGGGCAAAAACTGGAAGCATTCCCTTTGAAAACTGGCACAAGACAGGGATGCCCTCTCTCATCACTCCTATTCAACATAGTGTTGGAAGTTCTGGCCAGGGCAATCAGGCAAGAGAAACAAATAAAGGGTATTCAGTTAGGAAAAGAGGAAGTCAAATTGTCCCTGTTTGCAGATGACATGATTGTATATTTAGAAAACCTCATCATCTCAGCCCAAAATCTCCTTAAGCTGATAAGCAACTTCAGCAAAGTCTCAGGATACAAAATCAATGTGCAAAAATCACAAGCATTCCTATACACCAGTAACAGACAGAGAGCCAAATCATGAGGGAACTCCCATTCACAATTGCTACAAAGAGAATAAAATACCTGGGAATCCAACTTACAAGGGATGTGAAGGACCTCCTCAAGGAGAATTACAAACCACTGCTTAACAAAATAAATGAGGACACAAACAAATGGAAGAACATTTCATGCTCATGGATAGGAAGAATCAATATCATGAAAATGGCCCTACTGCCCAAGGTAATTTAAAGATTCGGTGCGATCCCCATCAAGCTACCAATGACTTTCTTCACAGAATTGGAGAAAAACTATTTTAAAGTTCATATGGAACCAAAAAAGAGCCTGCATTGCCAAGACAATCCTAAGCCAAAAGAACAAAGCTGGAGGCATCATGCTACCTGACTTCAAACTATACTATATGGCTACAGTAACTGAAACAGCATGGTACTGGTACCAAAACAGAGATATAGACCAATGGAACAGAATAGAGCCCTCAGAAATAATACCACACGTCTACAACCATTTGATCTTTGACAAACCTGACAAAAACAAGAAATGGGGAAAGGATTCCCTATTTAATAAATGGTGCTGAGAAAACTGGCTAGCCATATGTAGAAAGCTGAAACTGGATCCCTTCCTTACACCTTATACAAAAATTAATTCAAGATGGATGAAAGACTTAAATGTTAGACCTAAAACCATAAAAACCCTAGAACAAAACCTAGGCAATACCATTCAGGACATAGGCATGGGCAAGGACTTCATGTCTAAAACACCAAAAGCAATGGCAACAAAAGCCAAAATAGACAAATGGGATCTAATTAAACCAAAGAGCTTCTGCACAGCAAAAGAAACCACCATCAGAGCGAACAGGCAACCTACAGAATGGGAGAAAATTTTTGCAACCTACCCATCTGACAAAGGGCTAATATCTAGAATCTACAAAGAACTTAAACAAATTTACAAGAAAAAATCAAACAACCCCATCAAACCCCAACAAAAAGTGGGCAAAGGATATGAACAGACACTTCTCAAAAGAAGACATTTATGCAGCCAATGGACACATGAAAAAATGCTCATCATCACTGGCCATCAGAGAAATGCAAATCAAAACCACAATGAGATTCCATCTCACACCAGTTAGGATGGCAATCATTAAAAAGTCAGGAAACAACAGGTGCTGGAGAGGATGTGGAGAAATAGGAACACTTTTACACTGTTGGTGGGACTGTAAACTAGTTCAACCATTGTGGAAGACAGTGTGGCGATTCCTCAAGGATCTAGAACTAGAAATACCATTTGACCCAGCCATCCCATTACTGGGTATATACCCAAAGGATTATAAATCATGCTGCTATAAAGACACATGCACACGTATGTTTATTGTGGCACTATTCACAATAGCAAAGACTTGGAACCAACCCAAATGTGCCTTCTATATGTAAGGCACATGTCCATCAATGATAGACTGAATTTAACAAACGTGGCACATATACACCATGGAATACTATGCAGCCATAAAAAAGGATGAGTTCATGTCCTTTGTAGGGACATGGATGAAGCTGGGAACCATCATTCTGAACAAACTATCACAAGGACAGAAAACCAAACACTGCACGTTCTCACTCATAGGTGGGAATTGAACAATGAGAACATTTGGACACAGGGTGGGGAACATCACACACCGGGGCCTGTCGCGGGGTGGGGTGATAGGGGAGGGATAGCATTAGGAGAAATACCTAATGTAAATGAGGAGTTAATGGGTGCAGCACACCAACATGGCACATGTATACATATGTAACAAACCTGCACGTTGTGCACAGGTACCCTAGAACTTAAAGTATAATGATTAAAAAAAAAAATCTTAAAAAAAAAAGAGGCCGGGCGCGGTGGCTCAAGCCTGTAATCCCAGCACTTTGGGAGGTCAAGACAGGCGGATCACGAGGTCAGGAGATCGAGACCATCCTGGCTAACACGGTGAAACCCGGTCTCTACTAAAAATACAAAAAAAAAAAAAAAAATTAGCCAGGCATAGTGGCAGGCGCCTGTAGTCCCAGCTACTCAGGAGGCTGAGGCTGGAGAATGGTGTGAACCCAGGAGGCGGAGCTTGCAGTGAGCCGAGATCACGCCACTGCACTCCAGCCTGGGCGACTGAGTGAGACTCCATCTCTAAAAAAAAAAAAAAAAAAACAGAAATTAACGTCTTGGGGTCACGTGTTTACTTCTCATGTGACAGGCAACGAAAAGAGAGTAGGACACCTGAATGTGCTTTGTACTAAGGAGTGGTATTAAGAACTCGGAAACTGACCGTTGAAGGTTCTCGGGAGCTGAACCTGAGGCCTCCTATATGTAAGGCACACGTTCTATCACTGAACTACATCTCCTCATGCCAAGAGATATTTGTGTCGTCCTCCAAGTACTATTGCAGTATATGAAAACAATAAAAATATGGAAATAAAAAATAACTTAAAAATTAAAAAGGTGGCCGGGCACGGTAGCTCACGCTTGTAATCGCAGCAGTTTGGAAGT
Organism: Homo sapiens; assembly: GCF_000001405.40. Lineage (NCBI taxonomy): Eukaryota > Metazoa > Chordata > Mammalia > Primates > Hominidae > Homo > Homo sapiens. The sequence goes on from NT_167248.2 coordinate 98,492, forward strand.
TGGAGGCGGTCAGATCATTTAAGGTCAGAAGTTCGAGGCCAGCCGAGCCAACAAGGTGAAACCCTGTCTCTACTAAAAATACAAAAATTAGCCGGGCGTGATGGCACGTGCCTGTAACCCCAGCTGCTCAGAGGTTGAGGCAGGAGAATCTCTTGAACCTGGGAGGTGGAGGCTGCAGTGAGCGGAGATGGCGCCACTGCACTCCAGCCTTGGGGACAGAGTGAGACTCTGTCTCAAAAAACAAACAAACAAAAACCCAAAAACCCTAAAAAGGTATTTCTCCAATCTAAAGATGTAAAAAATTAAATAAAATGAAAAATAAAGGAATATCTCGTTATATTCTGTGGGTCTCCATTCCTGTGTTCATTGTTTTAGCACTAAGTGTTGGGTTTAGAAGCAGGATTTGTGACCATTTTAAGTTGGAAGACCCCCAGCTGTGGGGGATATTGAAGTTTTGGCAAATAAAGCTTGAAATGGAACGCAGAATACTGGAAACTTGCGTTAGAAAACTGACCAGCTTTTTCCTGAATAAAGCACTTCTGCTATTGCTGTTTGCTTCACAGGAATGGTAAGAGCAAAACTTTGATGAGAAAACCCCAGGTGAGAATGAAAACCACATGCAACCTGTTATTCATTGCCAAGGGGTTCTTGATTGTACTACAGCATGAAGGCAACTGAGGAGGTTCATGGAGTAGCCCAGAATAATGTTCAAGACATGAAATAAATAGCAGATTCAAGGATGGAGAAAAACTTTGAAATTTTGAAAGCACATTCATAGGTAGCTAGACACAGGATTCAAAGACTTATTGGATTTATAGAGCAAGCCAGAAAGTGGGGAATCCATAAAAGAGAGCCTCAACAAACAGGAGGAAAAAAAGCAGAATAGAGATGCTTATTGTTCTTTGAAGGAATGGACAAGATATTAGGAGGAGGAGGTGAGTTTGTTTGGGAACGTGTTGAACTTACCATATTCTTCCGTAGGATCCTGCCCATTGGTGAAACACAGTGAACTTAGCCCAGTGCTCTGATCTGAATACGTGGAGGTGGGAGTGAGTAGAAGGCACCAATACAGTGTGAGTACAATGAGAACTCAAAGTGTCCTTTGAGATATGAAGATCAGAAACTTACTTACTGATAGTTGTGAAAAGCAAAAAAATGAACTTCTTCCTAGCTGATCTTCAACCCTGGAATTCACACTGGTTGTCACCATGGCCTTGAAACTTTCACAAAAGACCCAGAAAGTCTCATTTCCTGGCTAGTTTCCCAGTAGGTGTTATCTTTTCTCATTCATCTTCATTCTCATTCTCCTTATGTATGACTTTACCTATATTGGTAAGCATATTGCTGAGCCCCTTTCGAGGTTGGGAACACCTTATGGTTTGGCAGAATTTCTCTCTGTTGGCTCATAGGGATAGCGGAATAGGTAAGAGGAAACATAATGGCAGGTTTCACTGAAATTGGGTATTTAAGTGTCACCCACAAAACTCTACAAGCTCTGGTGTGTGTGTGTTTGTGCGCGCGCGCGCGCGTGAAAGTGCTGGGAGGATGTGAGAAAAATTATCTAGGCTGTTTTGGCCGGGCGCGGTGGCTCATGGCTGTAATCCCAACACTTTGGGAGGCCGAGGCGGGCGGATCACGAGGTCAGGAGACCGAGACCATCCTGGCTAACACGGTGAAACCCCGTCTCTACTTAAAAAAAAAAACAAAAAACAAAAAATTAGCCAGGTGTAGTGGAGGGCGCCTGTAGTCCCAGCTACTCGGGAGGCTGAGGCAGGAGAATGGCGTGAACCCAGGAGGCGGTGCTTGCAGTGAGCCGAGATCGCGCTACTGCACTCCAGCCTGGGCGACAGAGCAAGACTCTGTCTCAAAAAAAAAAAAAAAAAGAAAGAAAGAAAGAAAGAAAGAAAATTATCTAGACTGTTTGATGGTGTGAAAGTTGTTTCCAGAGTCATCATGTAATTATTCTCTAACTTGCACCTGAAGAAACCAAGATACCAGTTAGATTACCAGAAGTTCCCCACAAGGAGGTGTTTCTTTTTTTTTTTTTTTCTGTTTGCCCCAAAGTACAGAGAACACTGTGAGAATTGTTTAAGTTTCTGTAAGCATTCAGAAATATCTATGCATGGGGAGACATAGGATGAGTTCCAAATATATGAGATTTTTCTGATGAACCAACCATTTATCTCAGGAGATAGAACTCATTCATACTCAATTACTCTGCTCAGGGAGCCTGCAGACATGCGAATGACATCTCTAGACAATCTACAACCAGAGAGAAGATTGTAACTGGTTGAGTACTGTTTTCTTAAAGTTGACAAAAAGGTGGAGTAATAGTTTTCATGTAAGGAGCTCTTATATGATAATCTAGAAATTGAATTCACTCTATATTCTTTGGGATTTACATCTTGATTTGTTGACAGGGAGAGGGAGGTTTGATTACACTGTTGTAAGTCTCCCACCTTGATTGAATATTAAAAAAGAATTCCTGAACTAGACAGTAAAGGGTTAAATAATCTTTTTTCTTCAATTAAATATGTCTTTGAAAAGAATAAAACTCTACCTTTTGAGTCAGATTGACTACATGGCCTGATGGATTGTGTCTGCTTCCATATCACTGTGCAGCCAATGGTCCTGCCCACCTGCCGCTTCCCACACATTCACCCAGGGTCTCACGCATGGCCACGTCCTCATTCCTCTCAGAAGTCCTTAATTTTTTTTTTTTTTTTTTGAGATGGAGTCTCATTGTGTCACCCAGGCTGGAGTGCAGTGGCATGATCTTGGCTCACTGCAACCTCCGCCTCCGAGGTTCAAGCAATTCTCCTGCCTCAGCCTCCCAAGTAGCAGTGATTACAGGTGGTCGCCACCATGCCCAGCTGATTTTTGAAAGAGGTCCTTAATTTCTCTGTGGAGAAAAATTTTTTTAAAATATGATCTCATTGAAGTATACAACCCCAAAATAAAATATAGTTGAATTTCCAAAATTCATCTACAATGTACCTTAAAATGATTCACTATTGTCCTAGGCCAAAGATAGGCACTGTTTGCTCTCAAAGAAGTACTTCTATCTGTCATATGTCATTTGTTTTCATTGTCCCAAGATGTTTTTGAAATCTCCATCCTATATTTTCTATAGCTTTCTTATATTAAACTCTTGGTTTTTGCATCCTATCCATTTCTACCCTAAATTACAGAGGTGGACTTCCTTAAAGAAGTCTATTGTGGGGAGCAGAAAAAAATATTTCCATTTGGGCCTGAGCCCTAGCATAAAGCAATGGTAATAATTCATGATAATTTTCCTCATGCTTTTACTATATTCCTTTGCAAATTGATTCCCATGATTGAAGCCTGTGAATAATTTTTTTCTGCCACAGTGAGTATAAGTGGCAAAGAGACATTGTGGAACTGTACTTTGAAAATGAGAGAAGAGAGAGAAAAAATGTCAACAGAACAGAAAATTATCTATTTCCCACATCAAGAAAGTCTGGGTCCTCAGTACTAACTCTGAATCTTTCTTTAAAGAAGTAAACTGAAACCCAAGACATCTTAATCTGAGAAAGAATGACTTTTGGAACTTATTTTCTCCATTGAAAATTTCCTAATCACTTCACAGGGACAGAGGTGGCCTGATATTATATCGGAAACCAAGGATTTCCCAATTCTTGAGATATCCTTCAGCTCACACTTTCATTAGGGTTAGCAAAGGGTTTTGGATCTTTAAAATCTATCACAGGGCTTAGAATACAAAGTGGTGTTAATACAAAAGTTCTTGAAGATTTGGTGGTAGCTGATGAGAAGAGGGCTGTGTATTCTGGAATGATTACAAGGTCTTATTCTATTTAAAATGTTTCAGAGCAAGGATACAAACTTCCCAGTTTACATTAGAAGTTAGCACAGCCTTTATTGCAAAACTTGCGAAAAAGAAAATAAAGGCCGGGAGTGGTGGCTCATGCCTGTAATCCCAGCACTTTGCGAGGCGGGCGGATCATGAGGTCAGGAGTTCGAGACCAGCCTGGCCAATATGGTGAAACCCCGTCCCTAAAAAAAATATAAAAAATTAGCCGGGCGCGGTGGCGCGCGCTTGTTGTCCCAGTTACTCGGGATGCTGAGGCAGGAGAATCGCTTGAACCCGGGAGGCGGAGGTTGCAGTGAGTCGAGATCGCGCCACTGCACTCCAACCTGGACGACAGAGTGAGACTCCGTCTCAAGAAAAAAAAAAAAGAAAATGAAAACTTCACATCATATTCAATCATGAATAGTGATTCAAAAAATATTACTAAGTACAATATTGCCAGAGAGGCAAGGAACAGAGTCAATGATTAGAACACAAAAATGATTCAGCAATAGAAATATATATTTTTTGCAATTATGTTTTCTGTTAGAATAGAAAATTGGGGGAAAAAACACAGCCGCGTATTTATACTATACACCCTTACTCCATCCACGTCAAAGCACGTCATATTGCTTCTTAAATGTGCAAAAGAATCTCTTGTGGATCTTGTTAAATTGCTACTTCTGGTTCAGTACGTCTGAGGTGAAGCTGAGATTTCGCTCTTCTAACAAGCTCTCCGGTGCCACCAACTCTTGTGTGGACCAAGAGTCTGAAAGATATCCTTACGATAGAGGGCGCACCTGTCTTAGGTAAAATTACTTCTGTAACGTCATCTAAGGGAAGTCAAATTATCCGGCAGGAGTGAAGACAGAATAAAACTGGAAATCAGTCCGTGAACTTTGAGATCTTCAGCAGAGCATGCTTCCCAGTGGAGCTATTTCGGCAGAAGTGTGACGCCTCTACATTCATTGATGAAAATAACTTTCTCAATTTCCCAGTTTGGAAGGCTTTGCGTTTGTCAGGGCTCAGCCTGCGATGGATCATGGCTAAACAAGGACCAGAAAAAAAATAAAGGAAATCGGCTGGGAGCGGTGGTGGCTTACTCCTGTAATCCCAGCACTGTGGGAGGCCGAGGCGGGAGGATCACGAGGTCAGGAGATCGCGACCATCCTGGCTAACACGGTGAAACCCTGTCTCTACCAAAAAAATAGAAAAAATTAGCCGGGCGTGGTGACGGGCGCCTGTAGTCCCGGCTACTCGGGAGGCTGAGGCAGAAGAATGGCGTAAACCCGGGAGGCGGAGCTTGCAGTGAGCCAAGATCGTGCCACTGGGCGACAGAGCGAGAGACTCCGTCTCAAAAAAAAAAAAGTAATAAAGAAAATTGAGAGCTTACGTTTTTCTTTTATTAAATATTTCCACATTTATCTTTTATTTCCTACTTTTTAAATAACAATACTCCAAAGGTTAATGAGCTCGTCAATTTGGCGACGCCATTGAAGTTTTGGAATCCGGAGCCGTCTTTGTCTTCCAGCTCCATCTTTTCCACCTTTTGCTTAGGCAGTCCCCCGAGTCGTGTCAAGGCTGAGGAGTAGAAATGGAACAGCACTAATATTAATGGCAAAACCGTTGTGAAATAGGGTTACTTTCTGTTTAAGCAAGGAAAATAAAGTAAAGCAATGGGAAAAAAATTAAAAGCAAAAGGAATGGAGGTGCCGGGGATTGAACCCGGGGCCTCGTGCATGCTAAGCACGCGCTCTACCACTGAGCTACACCCCCGTACTGAAACGGTTCTCTCGAGAGTATATTCAAGATCAGAATCTGACCCTTTTGCTAGGTTTCAGAACCATTAGTTGTAATCAGCCAAGGTCTATTTTATTTAGTTATTTCTGATATCTCAAATTTAGGTTTTGCGTCCCTCTTTGCTGACAGCTGAGCAAACCGCATTCTACACCGAAGGCCCTCTATTGATGGCCCTGGGATTTTTCTGCTCGTCAGTCCGGAGTCACTTACCGGGCACCACTAGAAGAACCCGGGATGAAACATTTTCTCCCGTGTCTTGACTCTCTCCTTTCTTTCACCGCTGCTTTAAAGGGCTGCCAGAAAGCCACAAAGTACAAAGCGAGGCATTTAGAGACCATAGTAGATGCAGGTGGCGAGGGAAGACAGGTGGAGAAACGCAGACGGGTTCGTGTCGGTGCAGCCACTGCTTTGGACCCGAGCCTCCGTCCCGCCGGGGGCCGGGGTGCTGAGCCCAGCGAGGCGCGGACTGGGGAGCGAGGAAGAGGAGCACCCGCCAGATCGCGCCCCCTTTCGGGCAGAATCCGCTCCCGGTCCGGTCCCGATTGGCAGAAAACGATACGAGGGCGGTATACACTCAACACGCGCATGAACGATTCATCAAGCCCTCCGTGTGCCGGGTCTGGCTCACCAACCTCATCCTCTGAGCTCCGGGCTTCTGCCTCCCAGCCCAAGGAACCCACAGGGTCTCAGCCAACACTGGGAGAGTAGCTTAAATGGGCAGAAAGACAAGATAAGGGGATGTGGTGAATAACAGAATTATCCAATCCTATTATCAGCCCATCTGAGATTAAAGGGACGTCAATCATACTTGAATACTTTATTTAAAAAAAACAGTTTGCAGAGGGTCGCATACAAGAAGAATAAAGTGGTTTTTTTTTTTTCATAAAAATGTGGATTCAGGAGCATTACCGGAAATAATCAAGGAACGAGGAAGAGTGTGGCGAGAGAGTTCGGGTCCGGTATACCTCTCTCTCCGCACCACATTCTTTTGTAGTACCTGTGAAACATTCATGAAAACGGACCACAGAAGAAAACCTCAGTAAGTTCCAAAGTATAGAAATAACACAAACATCATTCTCTGACCATCATGCAATAAAACTAGAAATTGATAAAATAAAAAATAAAAGTCACTTCCACCTGAAAATTTTAAAGCATGCTATAATACAACTCGAGTCAAGAAGGAAATACAAATTTTAATTACATAATTTCTTGAAAGGGACAAAAGTGCAAATGTGACATAGAATCTGTGAGATAGAGCTAAAGCATTTATCAGAAGGAAATTTATTTCCTCACATACCTATATCGATAACAAAAAATAACAAATGAATCAAACACAGCTCAAGATGCTACTAAATGAACAACAAAATAAACCAAAAGAATGAGGAAGGAAGGGTTGTAAGGACAAATTCAGAGAATGAGTTAGAAACAAAGTATAACTAATAAAGACACAAAAAAGGTGGATATTTGAAAGTCAACAAAATAGACAAACCTCTAGCCAACAAAGAGAAAATTAGTGCAAATACACAAAATTAGAACTGGAGGAAATAATCATCAACACAGAAGACCTTTTTTGAAATCATCAGAGATAACATAACACAACTAGCAAATAACTGGCAAACTTAGTGGATTTTTTAGACAAATGTAGCATACTCAAACTAACCCTTGTAGAGACAGAAAGTCTAAACAGACCAGTTAAGAAAAATAGTTTAACAGGCATACTCAATAAAAAGGGCACCAAGCTCAAATACTTTCATAAAGAAATCCTACCAAACTGTCAAATATCAAAAAATCATGATGCTACTTAAATTATTCGAAGCATAGACACTAGCACTTTATAAAGTTAGTATAACATTTCAGTTTGCACTAAAAATGAAAACTACAGGTCAATTTCACATATGAAATATATGAAATGTAATGCCTAAATCTTAAATAAAATTTATAGCAAACAGAATACAATAGCACATTTAAAACAGTAATACAGGATGTCCAAGTAGGGTTTATTCCAGGAGTGTAAAGATCACTCATTATTAGGAAAGATATTAATATAATCCATTGTAATTGGAACTGGAGGTCATTATGTTAAATAAAGTAAGCGAGAAACAGAAAGACAAATTTCACATCTTTTCAGTCATATGTGGGAGTTTAAAAAGTTGATCTCATGGAGGTAGAGAGTAGAATCATAGATACCAGGGTCAGGGAAGGGTGTGTGCATTGGAGCTGCGTACAAAGGCAGGTTGGTCAATGTGTACAAACATATAATTAGATAGAAGGTATAGGTTCTTTTTTTTTTTTTTTTTTTTGAGTTGGAGTCTGGCTGTCTTGCCCAGGCTGGAGTGCAGTGGCACCATCCCAGCTCACTGCAACCTCCACCTCCCAGGTTCAAGTGATTCTCCTGCCTCAGTCTCCTGAGCAGCTGGGATTACAGGTGCCTGCCACCACAGCCAGCCTCTAATGTTGATAGTAGAGTAGGGTGACTATAGTTAGCAACAATGTATTGTATATTTCAAAGTAGCTATAAGAGATAACCTGAAACCAACACATAGAAATGATAAATACTCAAAGTGATGGATACCCCAAATACCCTGACTTTACTCATAATAAGTGAAAGACATACTAAATTAGATTGGATAGCATACTTTGTTGTCAAGGTTGCCGAGAAATTAGTCTTTTCATAGAGTACTGGTGGGAATGGAAAATGGTATAATTCCAAGGGCAGAAAATTTGCAGTATCTAGAAAAAATGTATAATTATTTACCCTTTAACCCACAAATTCCACTTCTAAAAAGCTATCCCTAATATATACTATCAAAATAAAAAGGGCCAGGCACAGTGGCTTACGCCTGTAATCTCAACACTTTGGAAGGCCAAGGCCGGCAAATCACTTGAGGCCAAAAGTTTGAGACCAGCCTGGTCAACACAGTGAAACCCTGCCTCTACTAAAAATACAAAAAGTAGTCAGGTGTAGTGGCGGGCACTTGTAATTGCAGCTCCTCAAGAGGCTGAGGCAGGAGAATTGCTTGAATCCCAGGAGGCAGAGGTTGCAGTGAGCCAAGATGTCACCACAGCACTCCAGCCTGGGTGAGAGAGCAAAACTCCATCTCAAATAATAATAATAATAATAAATACTAAATAAATAAAAAGGAAAACAGATGCATGACTATTCATCACAACTCTATTTGTAAAGCAAAAGAAGGAAACAATCCAGGCCGGGTGCGGTGGCTCATGCCTGTAATCCCAGCACTTTGGGAGGCTGAGGCAGGTGGATCACCAGGTCAGGAGATTGAGACCATCCTGGCTAACATGATGAAACCCCGTCTCTATTAAAATACAAAAAATTAGCTGGGTGTGGCGGCACGTGCCTGTAGCCCCAGCTACTAGGGAGGCTGGGGCCAAGATCATGCCACTGCACTCTAGCCTGGGAGACAGAGCGAGACTCCATCTCAAAAAAAAAAAAACAAAAAAAAGGAAACAATCCAAATGTCTGACAAAAGGGTCAATTTGAGAAAACTATGGTACATCAATATAATGTCACTGTAAAAAGGAATACTAAATGATCAGCTTCAATCTCTCCTTCCCCTATGAAGAAGGGCATATATGTATTTGAACTTCACTGGGACACTGGGTAATCACTCTCCTACAATTACCCCATGCTTATGTATGTTAAATAAATTTTGTATGTCTTTTTCTTTTATTAATCTGCCTTTGTCACTTCATTTTCAGCAAATTTCAGTGGGCAGAGAGGAAGCTTTTCCGCCACCCCTACATAGTTAATACTCTACCTTGAGCATGGCACACAGAGAATACTAAGGTGCTAATAGCTCTTACTGCGGCTTGTGAGGCAGTGGCTTCAAAACAGGAAATACAAGCCAAGAGGATTTCAGACTACTGCACTTCATCCACTGAGTGTTCAGCATCTAGAACTTTTCTTCCACAAAGAGAAACATGCAATTGTTACCACCTCTAGCTCCAGAGTCCTAGCTCAGAGATTTTTCCTATAGAAAGAAATGAGCCAGCCGGGCATGGTGGCTCATGTCTGTAATCCCAGCACTTTGGGAGGCCAAGGCGGGCAGATCACCTGAGGTCAGGAGTTTGAGACCAGCCTGGCCAACATGGCGAAAACCCATCTCTACTAAAAATACAAAAAAAATAGCTGGGCCTGGTGGTGTGTGCCTATAATTCCAGCTACTATGGAGGCTGAGGAAGGAGAATCGCTTGAACCCAGGAGGTGGAGGTTGCAGTGAGCTGAGATTGTACCACTGCACTCCAGCCTGGGCGACAGAGCAAGACTCCATCTCAAAAAAAAAAAAAAAAAAAAGAAGAAGAAGAAATAAATGAGCCAAAAAGTAGATAGCTTCCAATCCTTTCCCAAAATAACTGATTTAATTTGTAACATAGAATAGAGAAGTGGAAAGCTAAGGGCATTCTCAAGAATGGTGGAGATTTTGATGAAAGGTAATTGGGAGGAAATTTGTGAATCTAAGAAAGATAGATCTTAAACTGCAGTCTGGCTAGTATGCAGGAGAGAATCAGGAAATAAGACAGGTAGGAGGAACCCTTTTGGAGTCAGGACAAATATCAAATACTTACATCAGAAACTATTCCATTTAAGGAGCTACATTTTGATTGGATTTGTTCATAGAGGAATTTATACCTCAAGGCATTGTTGAAAACAATACAACAACTGGTCAGCAATAACTGAAACACAACAGTAGGGTGTGGTCAGAAAAAGAGTGAAAAAGAACATTGCCAGCACCACTGTCATCCCAGGGTGACTGGGGGCATACCAAAAACTGCATCACCACGAAGACTAATGTCAGAGGATTAGCACTCTTGGGAGTGAAATATCCAGGGTTATATAATACTCCATGTTAATAAAATGAATGGCAATAATCAAATATCATCTCAATTGAGATACAGAAAGGATTCAACAAAATTCAACACACTTTTATGAAAAAAGCACTCAGCGGCCAGGCGCGATGGCTCACGCCTGTAATCCCAGCACTTTGGGAGGCCGAGGCGGGCGGATCACGAGTTCAGGAGATCGAGACCATCGTGGCTAACACGGTGAAACCCCGTCTCTACTAAAAAAAATGAAAAAAATTAGCCGGGCATGGTGGCAGACGCCTGTAGTCCCAGCTACTCGGGAGACTGAGGCAGGAGAATGGCGTGAACCCGGGAGGCAGACTTTGCAGTGAGCAGAGATGGCGCCACTGCACTGCAGCCTGGTCAAGGGAGCAAAACTCCGACTCAAAAAAAGAAAAAAGAAAAGAAAAAAGAAAAAAGTACTCAGCAAACTAGGAATAGAATGAAACTACCTCAACTTAATAAAAGCCATACATGAAAAGCCCACAGGTAATATATTCAGTGGCCTTAGCTTTTCCTCTAAGATCTAGAACAAGGCAAGGATGCTTACTCTCACCACTACTGTTCAACATAGCACTAGAAGTCCTACTCAGAGCAATTAGACAAGAAAAAAAGCCCCAGTGCGCTGGCTACAGCCTGTAATCCCAGCACTTTGGGAGGCCGAGAGGGTGCACTGCTTGAGCCCAGGTGTTCAAGACCAGCCTAGGCAACATGGTGAAACCCCATAACCATAAAAATCTACAAAAACTAGCCGGGCATGATGGCATGCACCTGTAATCCCAGCTACTTGGGAGGCTGAGGCAGGGTTCACTTGAACCCGGGAGGTGGAGGTTGCAATGAGCCGAGATCACACCATTGTACTCCAGCATGGGGACAAAGCCAGACCCCGTCTTGAAAGAAAAGAAAAGGAAGGAAAGAACGAAAGAAAGAAACAAAAGTCATCCAAACTGGAAAAGAAAACTAAAATTATCTGTTTACAGATGACATGATCTTATATGTGGAAACCCTGAAGACCTTCCCACACACACACAAAAAAACCTGTTACAACTAATAAACAACTTTAGAAAAGTAGCAGGGTATAAAATGAACACACAAAAATCAGTTGCATTTCTACAAACTAGCAATGACCAACCTGAAAAGAAAATTAAGAAAACAATCCCATTTACTATAGCACCAAAAAGAATAAAATATTTAGGCATAAACTGAACCAAGGAGGTAAAAGACTTGTGCGGGAAAAACTACAAAACATTGCTAAAAGAAATCAGACAAGATACAAATAAATGGAAAGGCATCCTGTGCTTGTGGAGTGGAAGACTTTAATACTGTGAATAAGTACATATTATCCAACGTGATCTACAGATTCAATGGCATTCTTATCAAAAACTCAATGGCAATTTTGCAGAAATAGGAAAATATAGAAAAAAATCATCCTAAGACTCATATGGAATCTCCAGGGAACCTGAACAGCCAAAACAATCTTGAAAAAGAACAAAGCTGTAGAACTCATTCTTCCTGATTTTGAACCATACTAGAAAGCAACGCTAATGAAGATGGTTGTAGGGGCCAGGCGCAGTGGCTCATGCCTGTAATCCCAGCACTTTGGGAGACCAAGGTGGGTGGATGACGAGGTCAGGAGTTCAAGGCCAGCCTGGCCAGCATGGTAAAACCCCGTCTCTACTAAAAATACAAAAGATTAGCTGGGCATGGTGGCACGTGCCTATAGTCCCAGCTACTTGGGAGGCTGAGGCAGGAGAATTGCTTGAACCCGGCAGGCAGAGGTTGCAGTGAGCTGAGATCATGCCAATGCACCCTAGCCTGGGTGACAGGTGACAGAGCAAGACTCTGTCTCAAACAAAAAAGATGGTTGTATTACTGACATAAAGACAGGTATACAGACTAATGGAACAGAGAGCCCAGAAATAAATCCTTGCATATATGGATGAATAATTTTGACAATGATGCCAAGACTACACAATGGAGAAAGGACAGAGCCTTCAGTAAACAGTATTGGAAAAAGTGGTTATCTACATGCAAAATAATGAATTGGACCTTATCTTTATACATATACAAAAAAAATTCAAAATGGGTTAAAGACCTAAACATAAGACCAAAAACTATACAACTCCTCGAAGAAAACATGGAGGAAAAGCTTCAGGACATTGGATTTGACAGTGATTTCTTGGACAAGCCACCAAGAACACAGACAACAAAAGCAAAAATAGACAAATGGGACCACACCAAACTTAAAAATTTCCGCACATCAAAGGAAACAATCAAAAAAGTGAAAACACAACCTATGGAACAGGAGGAAAATGTTTGCAACTGATAAAGGGTTAATATCCAGCGTATATAAGGAACTTGTACAACTCAACAACAACAAAAAACAAATAACCTGATTTTAAAATGGGCAACAGACTTTAATAAACATTTCTTGAAAAAAGATATACAAATAGCCAATAAGCATATGAAAAAATGTTCAACATTACTAATCATTAGAGAAATACAAATCAAAATCATAATGAAATATAATCTCACATCTGTTAGGATGGCCCTATGAAAAGAATAGAAAATAACAAGTGTTGGAGAGGATATGCAGAAATTGGAAATGTGTGCACTGTTGGCGGGAATGTAAAATGGTGCAGCCATTATGAAAAACAGTGTGGAGTTCGTGGTCTATATACATATATATATACATGTATATATATAAGTTATAGGTTTTCATCCACAGTTACTGGTTCATAACTTCCATCTCCCTTGTTACAGTCTTTTGTTATAATGTTGTGTGTGTTAGGCCTCAGGGGCAGGCCTCAAGGAACAGAATCTACCTCCTGCCTTCCTTTCACCTGCCCCAAGGCAGAACTCTAATATTACCCCATCTTTTTCATTATGGGTCTTAAGACCCTCCCCTGGGAGGGTCCAGTCTCATACCCTGGAGGAAGGAATGCTTCCATACAAACCCAAGAAGACTGGGTTCAAAGACCTCCAGATAGCTGAACCCGTGAAGGTTGCTGGAGGGTGGCATGCCCAGGGAGGGCATGGAAGCTCCATACCCCTTCCACCATACCTTGCCCTGCCAGTCTATTCATCTGTGTCCTTTATAATAAACTGGTGAATGTAAATGTTTCCCTGAGTTCTGTGAGCCACTCCAGCAAATTAACTTAACCCAAAGAGGAGGTTGTAGGAACCCCAAATTGAAACCAGTCAGTCAAGAAGTCCCAGAGACCCAGACTTGCAACTGGTATCTGAGGCTATAGGGGGAAGTCTTGTGGACTGAGCCCCCAACCTGCAGGAACTGACATTACCTTCAGGTAGACAGTGTCAGAACTGAATTGGAGGACACCTAGCTGGTGTCTGCTGCTTGATGTGTGGGGAAAAACCTTCACACATTTGGCCACAGTAGTCTTCTATGTTGATGATTATTGTGGTGTAAGACTAGAGGAAAATGGTTGGTGAGAGTTTTCCCAACACAGGGTTTCTTCACAAAATTAAAATTATGATTCCCATATAATCCAGCAAACCTACTTCTGCAGGGGTTTCAAAAGAATTCAAAAGCATTCAAAGTAGGATCCTAAAGAGATAACTGTAGCATTATTCACACTAGCCAAGAGGTAAAAGCAAAACAAATGTCAATTGACAGATGAATGGATATACCAAATGTGGTATATACATACAACAGAATATTATGTAGCCTTAAAAAAGGAAATCCTATCACATACTACAATAATAGATAAATCTTGAGGACATTATGGCAAGTGAAGTAAGCCAGTCACAAAAGAACAGACACTGTATGATTCCACTAATAAGAAGTATCTAAAGTAGACACAATTATAGAAACAGAAGGTAGAAAGGTGGTTGCCAAGGACTGGCTGGAAGGGAGAGGAGAATTAGCGTTTGTTGGGCATAGAGTTTCAGTGTTGAAAGATGAAAGTGTTCCAGAGATCTGTTGCATAACAATGTGAATATACTTAATACTACTAAACTGTATACTTAAAAATGGTTAGGATGATAAATTTAATGTTATGTGTTTTACTTTTATTTAAAACAATTTAAATACGTTCAGATAAATAAAAATGAGTTCAGTCAGGCGCGGTGGCTCATGCCTGTAATCCCAGCACTTTGAGAGGCCAAGGCGGGCGAATCACTTGACGCTAGGAGTTGGAGGCCAGCCTAGTCACAAAACCATGTCTCTACAAGAAAATATAAAAAATTAGCTGGGTGTGGTGGCACATGTCTGTAATCCCAGCTACTGGGGAGGCTGAGGCATGAGAATCGTTTGAACCTGGGAAGGTGAGGTTGCAGTGAGCTGAGAATGTGCCACTGCACTCCAGCCTGGGTGACAGGGTGAGACTAGGTCTCAAAAAAAAAAAAAAGTACACAACAGCACAACATATCAAAATGTACTGGATACAGCTAAAACAGTGCTAAGAAGTAAATTTATAGCTGGGAATGTTTATGTTAGGAAAGACAAAAGATCTTAAATCAATAGCCCTTACATTGTAAGACACTGAAAAAAGACGAGCAAACTAAAGCTAACACAACAGGAAGGAAAGAAATAAAGATTAGAGTGGAAACTAATGAAATAGAAAAACAATAAATAAATAAATAAAATAAAATATTTATTTCTTAAAAAGGTAAACAAAATTGTCAAACCCTAAACTAGATTGACCAAGATAAGGGAGAGATGATTCAAGTCACTAAAATCAGAATTGAAATGGAAACATTACTGTGGGGCGCAGTGGCTCACACCTGAAATCCCAGCACTTTCGGAGACCGAGGTGTGTGCATCACGAGGTCAGGAGTTTGGGACCAGCCTGGCCAACATGGTGAAACCCCATTTCTACTAAAAATACAAAAATTAGGTAGGTATGGTGGTACCCACCTGTAGTCCCAACTACTCAGGAAGCTGAGGCAGAAGAATCACTTGAACCTGGGAGCCGAGATTGTGCCACTGCACTCCAGCCTGAGGGACAGAGTGAGACTGCATCTCGGAAAAAAAAACAAAAAACAAAAAAGAAATCCCCTGTTAGAAGAGAATAAAATAGAGTGAAAACAAGATGGCCAAATAGGAACAGCTCTGGTCTGCAGCTCCCAGCGTGATTGCCACAGAAGATAGGTGATTTCTGCATTTCCAACTAAGGTAACTGGTTCATCTCACTGGGACTGGTTGGACAGTGGGTACAGCCCATGGAGGGTGAGCTGAAGCAGGGCGGAGCATCGCCTCACCTGGGAAGTGCAAGGTTCAGGGGATTTCCCTTTCCCAGCCAAGGGAAACTGTGACAGAGTGTACCTGGAAAATCGGGACACTCCTGCCCTAATACTGCACTTTTCCAATGGTCTTAGCAAATGGCACACCAGGAGATTATACCCAGAGCCTGGCTCAGAGGGTCCTACGCCCACGGAGCCTTGCTCACTGCTAGAGCAGCAGTCCGAGATCGAACAGCGAGGTGGCAGCCTGGCTGGGGGAGGGGGTCCTCCATTGCTGAGGCTTGAGTAGGCAAACAAAGTGGCCCAGAAGCTCTTATTGGGTGGAGTCCACCACAGCTCAAGGAGGCCTGCCTGCCTTTGTAGACTCCACCTCTGGGGGGCAGGGCATAGCTGAACAAAAGGCAGCAGAAACTTCTGCAGACTTAAACGTCCCTGTCTGACAGCTCTGAAGAGAGCAGTGGTTCTCCCAGCACGGAGTTTGAGTCCTAAGAAGGGACAGACTGCCTCCTCAAGTGGGTCCCTGACCCCTGTGTAGCCTAACTGGGAGACACCTCCCAGTAGGGGCCGACTAACACCTCATACAGCCAGGTGCCCCTCTGAGACGAAGCTTCCAGAAGAAGGATCAGGCAGTAATATTTGCTGTTCTGCAATATCTGCTGTTCTGCAGCCTCTGCTGGTGATACCCAGGCAAACAGGGTCTGGAGTGGACCTCTAGCAAACTCCAACAGACCTGCAGCTCAGAGACCTGTTAGGAGGAAAACTAACAAACAGAAAGAAATAGCATCAACATCAACAACAAGGACATCCACACCAAAAGCCCATCTGTAGGTCACCATCATCAAAGACCAAAGGCAGATAAAACCACAAAGATGGAGAGAAACCAGAGCAGAAAAGCTGAAAATCCTAAACACCAGAACACCTCTTCTCCTCCAAAGGATCGCAGCTCCTCACCAGCAATGGAACAAAGCTGGATGGAGAATCACTTTGATGAATTGACAGAAGTAGGCTTCAGAAGGTCAGTAATAACAAACTTCTCCGAGCTAAAGGAGGCGGTTTGAACCCATCATAAGGAAGCTAAAAACCTTGAAAAAAGATTAGACAAATGGCTAACTAGAATAAACAGTGTAGAGAAGACCTCAAAGGACCTGATGGAGCTGAAAACCATGGCACGAGAACTACGTGACACATGTAAAAGCTTCAGTAGCCGATTCCATCAAGTGGAAGAAAGGGTATCAGTGATTGAAGATCAAATTAATGAAACGAAGCAAGAAGAGAATTTAGAGAAAAAAGGGTAAAAAGAAGCCGGGCGCGGTGGCTCACGCCTGTAATCCCAGCATTTTGGGAGGCCGAGGCGGGCGGATCACAACGTCAGGAGATCGAGACCATCCTGGCTAACACGGTGAAACCCCGTCTCTACTAAAAATACAAAACATTAGCTGGGCATGGTGGCGGGCGCCTGTAGTCCCAGCCACTCGGGAGGCTGAGGCAGGAGAATGGCGTGAACCCGGGAGGTGGAGCTTGCAGTGAGCCAAGATGGCACCACTGCCCTCCAGCCTCGGTGACACAGTGAGACTCTGTCTCAAAAAAAAATAAATAAATAAAAGAAAAAAGGCTAAAAAGAAACAAACAAAGCCTCCAAGAAATATGGGACTATGTGAAAAGACCAAATCTACGTCTGATTGGTGTACCTGACACTGACAGGGAGAATGGAACCAAGTTGGAAAACACTCTTCAGGATATTATCCAGGAGAACTTCCCCAACCTAGTAAGGCAGGCCAACATTCAAATTCAGGAAATACAGAGAACACCACAAAGATACTCCTCGAGAAAAACAATCCCAAGACACATAATTGTCAGATTCACCAAGGTTGAAATGAAGGAAAAAATGTTAAGGGCAGCCAGAGAGAAAGGTCGGGTTACCCGCAAAGGGAATCCCATCAGACTAACAGCAGATCTCTTGGCAGAAACTCTACAAGCCAGAAGAGAGTGGGGGCCAATATTTATCATTCTTAAAGAAAAGAATTTTCAACCTAGAATTTCATATCCAGCCAAACTAAGCTTCATAATTGAAGGAGAAATAAAATCCTTTGCAGACAAGCAAATGCTGAGAGATTTTGTCACCACCAGGCCTGCCTTACAAGAGCTCCTGAAGGAAGCGCTAAACATGGAAAGGAACAACTGGTACCAGCCACTGCAAAATCATGCCAAATTGTAAAGACCATCGATGCTAGGAAGAAACTGCATCAACTAATGGGCAAAATAACCAGCTAACATCATGACAGGATCAAATTCACACATAACAATATTAACCTTAAATGTAAATGGGCTAAATGCCCCAATTAAATTAGACACAGACTGGCAAATTGGATAAAGAGTCAAGACCCATCAAGTGTGCTGTATTCAGGAGACCAATCTCACATGCAGAGACGCACACAGGCTCAAAATAAAGGGATGGAGGAAGATCTACCAAGCAAATGTAAAGCAAAAAAAAAAGCAGCAGTTGCAATCCTAGTCTCTGATAAAACAGACTTTAAACCAACAAAGATCAACAAAGACAAAGAAGGCCATTACATAATGGTAAAGGGGTCAATTCAACAAGAAGAGCTAACTATCCTAAATATATATGCACCCAATACAGGAGCACCCAGATTCATAAAGCAAGTCCTTAGAGACCTACAAAGAGACTTAGACTCCCACACAATAATAATGGGAGACTTTAACACCCCACTGTCAATATTAGACAGATCAATGAGACAGAAGGTTAACAAGGATATTCAGGACTTGAACTCAGCTCTGGACCAAGCAGACCTAATAGACATCTACAGAACTCTCCACCCCAAATAAACAGAATATACATTCTTCTCAGCACCACATCACACTTATTCCAAAATTGACCACAAAGTTGGAAGTAAAGCACTCCTCAGCAAATGTAAAAGAACAGAAATCACAACAAACTGTCTCTCAGACCACAGTGCAATCAAATTAGAACTCAGGATTAAGAACCTCATTCAAAACTGCACAACTACATGGAAACTGAACAACTTACTCCTGAATGACTACTGGGTAAATAACAAAATGAAGGCAGAAATAAAGATGTTCTTTGAAACCAATGAGAACAAAGACACAACATACCAGAATCTCTGGGACGCATTTAAAGCAGTGTGTAGAGGGAAATTTATAGCACTAAATGCCCACAAGGGAAAGCAGGAAAGATCTAAAATCGACATCCTAACATCACAATGAAAAGAACTAGAGAAGCAAGAGCAAACACATTCAAAAGCTAGCAGAAGGCAAGAAATAACTAAGATCAGAGCAGAACTGAAGGAGACAGAAACACAAAAAACCATTCAAAAAATCAATGAATCCAGGCGCTGGCTTTTTTGAAAAGATCAACAAAATTGATACATCACCAGCAAGACTAATAAAGAAGAAAATAGAGACTAATCAAACAGATGCAATGAAAAATGATAAAGGGGATATCACCACCGATCCCACAGAAATGCAAACTACCATCAGAGAATACTATAAACACCTCTATGCAAATAAACTAGAAAATCTAGAAGAAATGGATAAATTCCTGGACACATACACTCTCCTAAGATTAAACTGGGAAGAAGTTGAATCCCTGAATAGACCAATAACAGGCTCTGAAATTGAGGCAATAATTAATAGCCTACCAACCAAAAAAAGTCCAGGACCAGACGGATTCACAGCAGAATTCTACCACAGGTACAAAGAGGAGCTAGTCCGATTTCTTCTGAAACTATTCCAAACAATAGAAAAAGAGGGACTCATCCCTAACTCATTTTATGAGGCAAGCATTATCCTGATACCAAAGCCTGGCAGAGACATGACAAAAAAAGAGAATTTTAGACCAATATCCCTGATGAACATCGATGCGAAAATCCTCAATAAAATACAGGCAAACCAAATCGAGCAGCACATCAAAAAGCTTATCCACCAAGAACAAGTTGGCTTCATCCCTGGGATACAAGGCTTGTTCAACATATGAAAATCAATAAATGTAATCCATCACATAAACAGAACCAAAGCCAAAAACCATGTGATTATCTCAATAGATGCAGAAAAGGCCTTCGACAAAATTCAACAGCCCTTCATGCTAAAAACTCTCAATAAACTAGGTATTGATGGGACGTATCTCAAAATAATAAGAGCTGTTTATGCCAAACCCACAGCCAATATCATATTGAATGGGCAAAAACTGGAAGCATTCCCTTTTAAAGCTGGCACAAGACAGGGATGCCCTCTCTCACCACTTCTATTCAACATAGTGTTGGAAGTTCTGGCCAGGGCAATCAGGCAAGAGAAACAAATAAAGGGTATTCAATTAGGAAAAGAGGAAGTCAAATTGTCCCTGCTTGCAGATGACATGATTGTATATTTAGAAAACCCCATCGTCTCAGTCCAAAATCTCCTTAAGCTGATAAGCAACTTCAGCAAAGTCTCAGGATACAAAATCAATGTGCAAAAATCACAAGCATTCCTATACATCAGTAACAGACAGAGAGCCAAATCATGAGGGAACTCCCATTCACAATTGCTACAAAGAGAATAAAATACCTAGGAATCCAACTTACAAGGGATGTGAAGGACCTCCTCAAGAAGAACTACAAACCACTGCTCAACAAAATAAAAGAGGACACAAACAAATGGAAGAACATTCCATGCTCATGGATAGGAAGAATCAATATCATGAAAATGGCCCTACTGCCCAAGGTAATTTATAGATTCAATGCCATCTCCCTCAAGCTACCAATGACTTTCTTCACAGAATTGGAAAAGACTACTTTAAAGTTCATATGGAACCAAAAAAGAGCCTGCATTGCCAAGACAATCCTAAGCCAAAAGAACAAAGCTGGAGGCATCACGCTACCTGACTTCAAACTATACTACGTGGTTACAGTAACCAAAACAGATGGTACTGGTACCAAAATAGATATATAGACCAATGGAACAGAATAGAGCCCTCAGAAATAATACCACACGTCTACAACCATTTGATCTTTGACAAACCTGACAAAAACAAGAAATGGGGAAAGGATTCCCTATTTAATAAATGGTGCTGAGAAAACTGGCTAGCCATATGTAGAAAGCTGAAACTGGATCCCTCCCTTAAACCTTATACAAAAATTAATTCAAGATGGATGAAAGACTTAAATGTTAGACCTAAAACCATAAAAACCCTAGAACAAAACCTAGGCAATACCATTCAGGACATAGGTATGGACAAGGACTTCATGACTAAAACACCAAAAGCAATGACAACAAAAGCCAAAATAAACAAATGGGATCTAATTAAACTAAAGAGCTTCTGCACAGCAAAAGAAACTACCATCAGAGTGAACAGGCAACCTACAGAATGGGAGTAAATTTTTGCAATCTACCCATCTGACAAAGGGCTAATATCCAGAATCTACAAAGAACTCAAACAAATTTACAAGAAAAAATCAAACAACCCCATCAAAAAGTGGGCAAAGGATATGAACAGACACTTCTCAAAAGAAGACATTTATGCAGCCAAAAGACACATGAAAAAATGCTCATCATCACTGGCCATCAGAGAAATGCAAATCAAAACCACAATGAGATACCATCTCACACCAGTTAGAATGGTGATCATTAAAAAGTCAGGAAACAACAGGTGCTGGAGAGGATGTGGAGAAATAGGAATGCTTTTACACTGTTGGTGGGACTGTAAACTAGTTCAGCCATCGTGGAAGACAGTGTGATAATTCCTCAAGGATCTAGAACTAGAAATACTATTTGACTCAGCAATCCCATTACTGGGTATATACCCAAAGGATTATAAATTATGCTACTATAAAGACACATGCACACATATGTTTATTGCGGCACTATTCACAATAGCAAAGACTTGGAACAACCCAAATATCCATCAATGATAGACTGGATTAGGAAAATGTGGCACATATACACCATGGAATACTATGCAGCCATAAAAAAGGATGAGTTCATGTCCTTTGTAGGGACATGGATGAAGCTGGAAACCATCATTCTCAGCAAACCATAACAAGGACAGAAAACAAAACACCTCATGTTCTCACTCATGGGGGGAATTGAACAATAAGAACACTTGGACACAGGAAGGGGAATGTCACACACCAGGGCCTGTCGTGGAGTGGGTTAGTGGGGAGGGATAGCATTAGGAGAAATACCTAATGTAAATAACAAGTTAATGGGTGCAGGATACCAACATGGCACGTGTATACATATGTAACAAACCTGCACATTGTGCACATGTACCCTAGAACTTAAAGTACAAAAAATAAGAGAATAAAATATTTCCCCCCTTAGACCTGAGCCCTGATAGTATTTATTTATATTTCTGACCCCCTACTACAGCTTCTTACTTTTGACAATTGTCCTTTTTTTTTTTTTGAGATTGAGGCTCGCTCTGTCACCCAGGCTGGATTGCAACAGCGCAATCTCAGCTCACTGCAACCTCCACCTCCCAGGTTCCAGTGATTATCCTGTCTCAGACTCTCAAGTAGCTGGGATTACAGGCGGCTGTCACTATGCCTGGCTAATTTTTTGTATTTTTAGTAGAGAAGGGGTTTTGCCATATTGGCCAGGCTGGTCTCAAACTCCTGACCTCAAGTGATCCTCCCACCTCGGCCTCCCAAAGTGCTGGGATTACAGGCATGAGCCACCATGCCCAGCCAATTGTCCTTTTTCTAACACAAAATACTTCCATGGTCTGAGCACCGTGAATGAGGCTGTCAAACTGGAAAAGTGAGTTAAGCTGAGATGCAGACCTGCCAAAGTCTCAACCAACACCATAGGGAGCACTGGATTACATATGGCCTATACTCCTGTGGTGCCAAAACGACAAATCTTTTTACTCCACTGCAATCAATTGTTGAAGGTGCATCATCCCAGGAAGGGTGTGCTTTTGGGAGAATCAACTCTCTGCACCTGAGATAAACCCTAGAACATTGGCAGCACTCCAAACAACTAAGGGAAATGAGTCCTTCTTTGAGAGGGAATGTAGGTGGCATTTCTCCATGTCTTATATATCTCAGTTATTATTTATTCAAATATTGCCTCTGCTCTATTGTCTTTCATCCATTAAAAATTCTAATTAAATATATATTAGATCTCCTTATCCTCTCTTCTATTAATACCATTATTTTGCATCTCCATACTTTGTTCTGAATAATTACTTTTTGTTTTTTTATGAGACAGAGTATCGCTCTGTTGCCCAGGCTGGAGTAAAGTGGCACAATCTCGGCTCACTGCAAGCTCCGCTTTCTGGGTTCATGCCATTTTCCTGCCTCAGACTCCCAAGTAGCTGGGACTACAGGTGCCTGCCACCACACCTGGCTAATTTTTTGTATTTTTAGTAGAGATGGGGTTTCACCGAGTTATCATGATGGTCTCGATCTCCTGACCTCGTGAACCACCTGCCTCAGCCTCCCAAAGTGCTGGGTTTACAGATGTGAGCCACCACGCCCAGCGTGTTCTGAATAATTTCTTCTAAATTATTTTCCACTTTACTAATACTCTTTTCAGTTGTGTCAAGTTTGTTGTTAATTTATCCTTCAAGTTCTTAATTTTGGTTATTATATATTTCAATTACAAATAAATTTTGGTTTTTATTTTTAAATCTACTTCGTCAGTTTTTATATTTTTCAATTTGCTCCTTAAATTTTTTAGATTAGCTTTTGTTTCTTTGAATATAGTAAGCAGTTTTGTTACACCCTTATCTGATAATTTCCAAATCTGAAGTTTAGTAGATTCTATTTCTGGTATCTGTCATTTCTTTTTCTTTCTTTCCTTTCTTTTCTCTTTTTCTTTTTTCTTTCTTTCTCTCTTTCTTTCTCTCTCTTTTCTTTCTTTTCTTTTTTTGAGTCTGTTGTTTCTGTTGATTTTCACGGAGACTTGTTTGTTCATGTGTATGCACGTTTGTATGCTGGGTTTTGTATTTGAAAAAAATATTTCTAGAAATAATGTGAAGTCTAGGTTAAAGTTTTATTCCTTCAGAGAGGATTTTCTTTTGCTTCTTCAGAAACCTAGATGTGCTGAAATACAGCCCACCTTAAACCAGTGTCAAGGTTTGGGGTCTTATGGGCTACCAGATGATGGTAAGCCAAGCTGCAGTTTATGGGTGAGCAGGTTTACTTACAGTTCCCCTTTACTCCTAGAAAGCAGCCTCAGGGGGAGTGCATGATCACCAATGTCGCCACTTTGGGCAGCCCTAGGTTTCTGTTTTTGTTCCTCTAACCCTATGAGGCTATCAGAAACATAGATAAGTCTCTTGGCTTCTACATCCAGATTACAAATGTTGCCAGGGCAAAAGGGGTCCCAACTGCTAGATTCACTTCTCTGGGTTTGTTTCTTTTACTGACACTCAGCAGGTAATTGATTACTAGTTTATTATATTTTTAATGCTTTAAGAAAGAATTATTTTTATATATCACCCGGCTTTATTGTTGTCTTTACCAGGGGGATTATCTGAATTACCTAGACATCCATTATCTGGAACAGAGTTCTGTCTCTCTTCACTTGTCTTAATTGAAAACTAGAGTCAGCACCCCTGAATATCAGCGGAATCCACTGCACCATAATCTGTGGATTATGCTGTTAAAGCAAACTAAATATGGCCTGAGAAAGATTCCATACTTTTATATTTGGGTCCTTGTGGAGGAATTGCAACCTAGTTTAATGGGTAGACAAGATTGAAAACCTAACTTAGGAATATGTGCCTATAACAATAGCTGAGTCTTGGCCAATCCCAGTGGCTGTAATTCAACCATTCATACACTGCTGAGTGTTCAAATTGTGTTCAAATAAGGCAAAAACTGAGCTGTAACCCATCCAGCCATTCTGTACCTCACTTCCAATTTCCATATGTCATTCCTTTTTTTTTTTTTTTTAAGAAGGAGTTTTGCTGTTTTGCTCTGTTGCCCAGGCTGGAGTGCAGTGGCTCGATCTCAGCTCACTGAAACCTCTGCCTCCCGGGTTCAAGCAATTCTCCTGGCTCAGCCTCCTGAGTAGCTGGGATTACAGGAGCATGCCACCACAGCCGGCTAATTTTTTTGTATTTTTAGTAGAGACGGGGTTTCACCATGTTGGTCAGGCTTGTCTTGAACTCCTGACCTCGTGAGCCACACACCTCGGCCTCCCAAAGTGCTGGGACTATAGGCGTGGGCCACTGCGCTCGGCCCTCCCTTTTTTTTTTTTTTTTTTTTTGGTCTATAAATCTTCTTCCACCATGTGACTGCGCTGAGTCTCTGTGAATCTGTTGTGATTCTGGGGGCTGCCCGATTCGCAAACCGTTCATTGCTCAATTAAACTCCTTTAAATTTAATTCAGCTGAATTTTTTCTTTCATCAATGCCCATATTCTGAAGGTGTGAGTGAGCCTATACCAACAAGGTCAGGCTCAAACCTAGCCATTTTCTTCCAAAGTGTTAACCACAGTATTAAATAGCACCAAGGTTTTTAAAATAACTGAGACATTTACACACAAATATATTTTTAAAAAATAGAGATGGCCGGGCACGGTGGCTCAGGCCTGTAATCCCAGCACTTGGTAGGCTGAGGCAGGCGGATCACCTGAGGTCGGGAGTTTGAGACAAGCCTGACCAACATGGAGAAACCCCGTCTCTACTAAAAATACAAAATTAGCCATGCATGGTGGCGCATGCCTGTAATCCCAGGTACTTGGGAGGCTGAGGCAGGAGTATTGCTTGAACCTGGGAGGCGGAGGTTGCAGTGAGCCGAGATCGCGACATTGCACTCCAGCCTGGGCAACAAGAGTGAAACTCCATCTCAAAAAAAAAAAAAAAAAGAGATATAATCCAGTACCTTATATCTGTGCTACACCCTCATACTGTAGACTTTGTATGACTGTACGATGCTCTTCTTTGCATGACTATACAAGGCCCTTCAAAACCCGAGAAAAGTGTTCCTATTCTCATGTCAAAACTTCCTAGCACTATTAATGGAATGAACTGTTGGGGGAAAATGAAATAAAAAAGCAATGTTATTTCCCCTAAATCTTTAGCAAGCACTTGTTGGATTAGTGAATCTTTGCCCTTGCGTGCAAGTCAGAGGATGGCAGCTCAAACTCACTAGAATCCATCTGGTTGTCTCCTCTTTTCTTTTGTCTCACATGCTTTGTTATGTGTCAGTTTAACTATACATATTTTAAAATAAGGACTTTCAGGGCAAAACATCTTACCATATACTATCACCGTAACTTGATGTAAACTTGAACTTAGTATACAGTAAGGCTGAGCTTATAAAATGTTCATTCAGGCTTACGTCAAGTTATGGTGGTAGAATATGGTAAATGAACTTATGTGATCTTATAAACTTAAAAACTGCTTATAAACTGCTCTAAAACTTTTTTTAAAAATTAAAAATAAAACAAATTCAAGGTATGCTCTTCTACTGGATATGCCATCTTAATTTTCTGTAACGGAAACTATCCTTTTGCCAACATCTACTCAGATGACTGGACTAATACAGTCATGCCTAGATCAACCTCAGGGATATGATCTGAAAAATTAGTCATTAGGGCATTTCATCACTGTGCAAACATTTTAGAGAGTATTTAACACAAACCTAGATGGTATAGCCTACTCCACACCTAGGTTATACGGTGTAGTCCATTGCTGCTGGGCTACAAACCACTACAGCATGTTACTGTATTGAATACTGTAGGGCAATGGAACACACAGATACGTATTTGTGTACTTAAACACAGGAAAGATACAGTAAAAATATGGTATTATAGTCTTATAAAACCATGGTCGTACATGTAGTCAGTCATTGACGGAAAGGTCTTTGTGTGAAGCACAAATGTAGTTCCAATTTGAGCATGACATCTTGTT
Organism: Homo sapiens; assembly: GCF_000001405.40. Lineage (NCBI taxonomy): Eukaryota > Metazoa > Chordata > Mammalia > Primates > Hominidae > Homo > Homo sapiens. The sequence goes on from NT_167248.2 coordinate 125,071, forward strand.
GAAGGTTTAAGAATTAACCTGTATACTGAGAGTACATGTGGCTTCAGGTTGTTCACATACATATATTTTCAGGTTGTTCATACATATTATATGCTATTATAAGGTATTTTAAACTACCATGAACACCACAATAAAACATGGGAAAATGTTAATGATTTATTAGAGGAAAATAACTCAGTTATGAATATTGAAGCCCATTCTAAAGATAGAATTTTTGAAGCTAAAGAATATGCCCTAGATAACTACTATAGGTATTGTAAAAACAATTTGTTTTGAAAACCCAGAGGGCATATTCAAAAACAAGAATCTACCATACAGAAAGGTAGTCGCCATCTCAAAACTCTCATATATAGCAAAGGACTTTGGTCTTCCCAAGATAGCCATTTGGTTGTGCCTAAGTCATTCCCCAGAACTTTGATGTGCCTCGCACATGAAAGCACCCATAAATAATGGCAAGAACAAATTCACTACAAATTTTCAAAATTATTGTTAGAAAATTTTTCTCAAGAAGCTCTATGGGTAGATGAATCTTTTCTTCTCTGTGTTGATCATAACCCTCCAAAAAACTAAAACTATAGCAAGGCTTCAGTTTTCCACCTCCAGTACCATTTGCGCATTTACAAATGGATTTCATTCAGTTTTCCAAAATTTTAAAAAATTGAACGTTGTTTCAACAATATTTTCAAAAGTAAAATTGTGTAATTTGGGTTGGACTGAAGCTTTCTCTTCTAAAAGATTAATACTTTAAGTTAGTGTTGTCAAATAGGGCTTTTTACAATGATGAAAATGTTCTATATCTGTGCTGTCCACCTGGTAGGTATGACATGCCACGTGTGGCTATTGAGCATTGAAATGGGAATAGTACAACAGCTGTTACCAAAACCTAATAACAAGTATCATTCAAAGCTTGCAGATTTTGTTTTTCCAACTGGGAAATACAAAACATTTAGCACTGTTAATGGACAGAGAAATCCACTTCAGTAGTGAAATTCTTAAGATTCTCCCATTAAAACATACACTTTTTGTCCTTATTCTCAAAATCTGAGAAAGCAACACAAATTTATGGTCTTCTTTAAATCAACATTTGAAAACACCATCGCAAAATTACAACTGAGACAGTGAGAGATCTAACCTAACCAATTCCATCTTGCTTCTAACCTCCAAGCTGTCCTTGTTCATTCCTGGTCGTAGGCTGACCTAACTTTGGGAGGAACTTAGTTTATAGTTTAGCTTTGAAACAAAGACAATAGCAGCCCTTTCCAAAACAAACCCGCTTCCTGCCTGGGGACTAGACTGCTTTCGCAGGACTAACAAATTAGCCACAAGATTATAAATTATGGTTTAGGAGTCATGCAGCTGGAGGCTGCAAGATTCTAAACCTCCCCCAATTGCTCCTCAGGATAACATCACTATTGTAAAACCGAAGATCAGTTCTTGAGATATTTTGCAGCCCCTGTACTCTATGGATCAGCTAGCACCACCCATAACGATAAACTGGCTCATCTGGTCTTGTGGCCCCCATCCAGAAATTAAGCCAACACAAGAGGACAGCTTCGACTCCCTCTGATTTCATCTCCGACCCGACTAATCAACTTTCCCAACTCACTGGTCCCCTACCCACCAAATTATCCTTAAAAACTGCAATCCACTTGGGGAGACTGATTTGAATAATAATAAAACGGGTCTCCCACACAGCCGGCTTTGCATGCCCGTCTTGATAAATGGTTCTGTCTAGGCAGTGGGCAAGCTGAACTCATTGGGTGGTTACACATTTTCAAATTTTCAGAGCTTTCCTTAGACTAAAACTTTACCATCAGTCCTAAGGTAGTATGATCCATGCTACAAAACTCGCCATAAAACCTTACTATGTAACACTGCTATAGAAATCTATAAAGTGTTTCCTTCGTAGGAGGGCCGTAGGCAGCCATGGCGCCCAGCAGGAATGGCATGATGTTGAAGCCCCACTTCCACAAGGACTGGCAGCAGCGTGTGGCCACGTGGTTCAACCAGAAGATCCGCAGAATCAAGGCCCGGCAAGCCAAAGGGCGCTGCATCGCCCCGCGCCCGGAGAGTCGGGACCCATCTGGCCCATTGTGCTGTGCCCTGCTGTGCGTTATCACATCAAGGTGCGCGCCGGCAGAGGCTTCAGCCTGGAGCTCAGGGTGGCGGGCATTCACAAGAAGGTGACCCGGACCACTGGCATCTCTGTGGATCCGAGGAGGCAGAACAAGTCCACCGATTCCCTGCAGGCCAATGTGCAGCGTCTGAATGAGTATTGCTCCAAACTCATCCTCTTCCCCAGAAAGCCCTCGGCCCCCAAGAAGGGAGACAGTTCTGCTGAAGAACAGAAATTGGCCACCCAGCTGACAGGACCGGTCATGCCCATCAAGAATGTAAGGAGAAAGCCCGAGTCATCACTGAGAAGTAGAGGAATTGCAAAGCTTTCGCTAGTCTCCGCATGGCCGGTGCCAATGCTTGGCGGCAATGCTCGGCTCTTCGGCATATGGGCAAAAAGAGCCAAGGAAGCTGAAAAACAGGATGTGTGAAAGCAAAAATAAAGCCCTCTTGGGGACTTGTAATAAATACGTTTTAAAAGAAATCTATAAAGTTTAAACTGATTCTTCCTCTGACAGAGAAAGGCAGTTTCTTAACAGATAGAAAACACGTGAAACTGGTGGTCGGTCACTTCCCAATAAGATCTCAGGAGTGGGGAGAAATAACACAAGATTTAGGAACTATGCCAACGTTTACGACCCCAGGTCTAGAGGTCAAGCCGTGCACTTGGTCTCTCAAGTCGCCTGCTTGGCCCTCTTCCAAGTGTACTTTCCTTCATTAGTGCTCTAAATATTTTCAATAATTTTTCACCCCTGCTCTAAGACTTGCCTCGGTCTCTCCTTCGGCATTATGCTCCTCAATCGAATTCTTTCCTTCTCCTGAGGAGGCAAGAATTAATGTTGCTGCAGACTCCTTACAGATAACTGCCACCGCTAATATGTTGAGATGTTCACACATGCATGTGTGAGGCCCTTCAAAATGTGAGCTGCGGTTAGAATTGGGAAGAGAAGGGAGTGGGGATATGTATCTTTGTTTTCTGATTGCCTTCCATATCTTTTAAAACTAGCTAAGTGCTGCTTCAAGTCAGCCAGATACGAAGGCTTCAATTTATTTAACACAATAAAGAACTTCTATTTGGATCCAAAGCTTACATTATGCTTTAATAAAAGTTACCCTAATAAAGTCAGAAACAATAACAATGAGTCAAAGAAATGCATACAAAGTAGGCCAGGCGTGGTGGCTCACGCCTGGAATCCCGGCACTTTAGGAGGCAGAGGCGGGTGGATCGTGGATCACTTGAGTTCAGGAGTTCGAGACCAGCCTGGCCAACATGGTGAAACCCCCGTTTCCACTAAAAAAAAAAAAATTAGCCGGGCATGGTGGTGCATCATGCCTGTAATTCCAGCTACTCGGGAGGCTAAGGCAGGAGAATCACTTGCATCTGGGAGGCACAGCTTGCACGTGAACCGAGATGGTGCCATTGCACTCTGCACTCCAGCCTGGGAGACAGAGTGAGACTCTTGTCTCCAAAAAAAAAAAAAAAAAAAAGCCTACAAAAAGCTTACAAAGTCTAAAATCGGACGAACAAGAGGACACCTGATGGGGGAAAAGAAAAGAGATTGCGATGGGAAGAGAGTGGTGGGGAAATCCGTGGGACAGTTTTCCTATTTTCTGGGTCTGTCCCTTGACCAAGGAACAGCTCAAAAAAGAAAGGATCTAAAATAAATTGTAAAAAATTACCTGTGGTTTCGCATTTGTTTTCTGTCTTTTTCTTTCTTGCTTGATCTTCGATAATACTGGGAAATGTAACCAATGTGATTGGGCTTGTTAATTTGGTGCCTTGCTTGTTTTTCGGGTTTTGGAATTCTGCCAGTCTGTGCTTCCGCGGCCTCTTTCATTTTGTCTTTCATCTCTTGACACAGCCACCCAGGGTGGTGTCAAAGCCTTAGAGCAGAAATGCATCAATATTGAAAGCAAAACGGAGCTTGTTTTCCTTGGTTTCCATGTGAATTTGAAGAATTGAGAGAGAATGAAAGTGCCACAAAAACAAAAGAAAAAAAATTGAGGCGAGTCGTGGACATGATAGACATGATTTTGCAAACAAGGCACATCTAGGAGAAAAGGCGGGAGAAAAATGAAGCTGGAGGTGCCGGGGATTGAACCCGGGGCCTCGTGCATGCTAAGCACGCGCTCTACCACTGAGCTACACCCCCCAACGCTCAACGTGGGCCAAAATATTTCTATGACCTGTTACTATTATCGGTCGTGCCAAGAAGCATATTTTGTCGAACTTAATTTTGAATTCGCTATACTGGATATTGTTTCCTGACTGCGCTGAGAGAAGGAAAACTGAATGTTATATCGAAAGTCCCGTGCTGGGCCTGGGATCTCCCGCTGCAGGTCACCCTCTCGGACGGCCGCTCGACAACCACCTATCGGGGTTTATAAGGGAGCCGTCCTGCCTGGCCGCCCCCCAGAGAAAGGTCTGTGATGGGGTGATTCTGCTTGGAAAGGTTGCCAGGAAACCGCGAGCATAACGCAGAAAGATAAAACGAAAGCCCTAAACGCCGCCGTGGGAATTTAAGTCCAAGGGGCAGAGAAAACAGGAGGGGAATTGCAGATCGGCTTGTCCCGGTCGTAGTTACTGCCCCTGCAGGTTCCCGCGCCCAGCCTCGGGATGGAGAACCTGGCACGCTACGTTTCGCGGGCTCTGAGACTCGGGTGGTGAGAGTCGCCGAGATGCGCACTGGGAAGAGAAAAGAGCCAGGACGCACCTGCATTTATGGCGCCATCGCCCGGGCGGAATCCTCCACGGAATAAAAAGTATGCAGAAGCAAGGCGATTTATGACTGCATAAACCCTCCGTGCTCCTGGAGAGTTCTTAGACCTCTCCACTCCTTGGCACAACTGACCTCTCCACTCTTCGACAAACTGGCAAGCGCTTGCCGCCGTTCGCCAAACCTTGGTACGACAGTCAATCCAGAAATGAGCTTCTGGAACAAATCCTAAATCCTTTTTTGTCTGTCTTCTTCTGATTCGCTCTCATCCTTAAGGGACCTGTTTCTCCTTCAAAACCTGAAAACATCTAACCTATAGTACCAACCCCAGATCCAGGCCTGGCCTTCCTGACCAGTCAAAGCCAGTTGGACTGTGCGCCTAGAAGTGGACAGACATGCGAAATGCCATACTGTATACGTACAATGCATAGGCCAAAGGCGACCCTATGACCCAGAGATTAGAAAGACTCGGACGTCTTTTGACTGGGTTCAGGTCACACTACTCCCAAAATACGACACCTCGGCATTTGAGAAAACAGCAGAAGCAGAAACGTTTTTCTCTGGGCCCTTGTTCCGTGAAGCGGGCCATGAAAGCTACCTGATCTTCCAATTAAAGTAGGTGATAAGACCGTCAATTCAGAGGGGAGAAAATGTACTTGGAGGAAATAAACGAAGACACAGAGATGCCAAAGAGAACCTGAATAAACAGGCTTTGCTAAGTTCACCCCAGTTTATAACCATTAGATCATACCCCCTTTTATCCAATTATACTGCTATGGGACTATCCACTTCATCAAACCTAAGCATAAAAATATAGGAAGTCCTCACTTATTGTCAGTTGGTTTTTGGAAACTATTACTTTAAGCAAAATAAAACTAATTCTACCATAGACTAGACTAATTGATTTAAGAGTTAATTTTCTTGGCAAATGTCTGATCACAAAAACACCAAATTTCTAAATAAGGACTCCAAACACTTCTAACACTAAATATTGAAAAAAATATGAGCTGCACCTCAAGTTAAGATCAGCAAAAACGACATGATTGATTTATTTTTGGTGAATCAGTGACTGCAATTCTAGTGGTGGCAGGTTATATCAAGGAATAAATGTTTGTGAAATAGCAGTTGTAAGGAGCAACTCCTACTAACACACAATTCGTAAAACATTGTGTCCGGAATTGGCGGGTTCTTGATCTCACTGATTTCAAGAAAGCCACAAGTCCTCCGGATGAGTGTTACAATCGTTAGATGCGGTGTAGCCAGAGTTCATTCCCTCTGACGTTCGGATGTGTTATAGAGTTTCTTCCTTCTGGTGGTTTGGTCTTCTACTGGCTCAGGAGTGAAACTGCAAACCTTGGCAGTCAGTGTTACATCTTCTAAGGCGGCGCCTCCGGAGTTGTTTGTTCTTGCCCGAGAATTCATGTTTTTCCTAACTTCAAAAGATAAGCTGCAGACCATCAACAAATTACAGCTCATAAACGTAGTGTAAACCCAAAGAACAATCAAGATCCATCGCAGAGAGCGAAAAATCACTTCCGCACCGTGGGAAAAAGCCCGAACACGTTGTCGCAGTTGGTTCCGGCAGCCTGCTTTTATTATCTTGTCTGGCCCCACCCACATCCTGCTGATTGGTCCATTTTACAGAGAACTGACTGGTCTGTTTTACAGAGAGCTGATTGGTCCATCTTCACAGAGTGCTCATTGGCGCGTTTACAATCCCTGAGCTAGACACAAAAGTTCTCCAAGTCCCCACCAGAGTAGCTAGATACAGAGTGTCCATTAGTGAATTCACAAACCCTGAGCTAGACACAGGGTGCTGATTGGTGTGTTTACAAACCTTGAGCTAGATACAGAGTGCCGATTGGTGTATTTACAATCCCTTCGCTAGACATAAAGGTTCTCCAAGTCCCCACCAGAGTAGCTAAATACAGAGTGTCCATTGGTGCATTCACAAACCCTGAGCTAGACACAGGGTGCCGATTGGTGTGTTTACAAACCTTGAGCTAGATACAGAGTGCCGATTGGTGTATTTATAATCCCTTAGGTAGACGTAAACGTTCTCCAAGTCCCTACCAGACTCAGGAGCCCAGCTGGCTTCACCCAGTGGATTTTCCACCGGTGCCGCAGGTGGAGCTGCCTGCCAGTCCCGTGCTTTGCGCCCGCACTTCTCAGCCGTTGGGTGGCCGATGGGATTGGGCGCCGTGGAGCAGGGGGCGGCGCTCGTCGGGGAGGCTCGGGCCGCGCAGGAGCCCATGGCGGGGAGGGGCGTCTCAGGCATGGCGGGCTGTAGGTCCCGAGCCTTACCCCGCGGGGAGACAGCTAAGGCCCGGCGAGAAGTCGAGAACAGCAGCTGCTGGCACAGGTGCTAAGCCTCTTACTGCTCGGGGCTTGCGGATTAGGGGGCCGCTCCGAGTGCGGAGCCCGCCGAGCCCACGCCCACCCGGAACTCGCGCTGGGCCCGCAAGCGCCGCGCGCAGCCTCGGTTCCCGCCTGCGCTTCTCCCTCCACACATCCCTGCAAGCTGAGGGAGCCGGCTCCGGCCTTGGCCAGCCCAGCAAGGGGCTCCCACAGTGCAGCGGCGGGCTGAAGTTCTCCTCAAGCGCGGCCAGAGTGGGCGCCAAGGCCGAGGAGGCGCCTAGAGCAAGCGAAGGCTGTGAGGGCTGCCAGCAAGCTGTCACCTCTCAGTATGGCGGCTGGCTGTTTTAGCACCATGTCGTTTATTGTCATGCATTTGTAGGATTATGAAATGCTTCCTGAATTTTGCTTTTACAGTAACTTGTATTCATTCATGCATTTTTCAACCTGCTCACTCCAGTTCAAGGTCTTTGGTGGCTGAAGCCTAATTCAACTCCTCATAGTGTCAGGAGGGAACCCACCGTGGACAGGTGGCCATTCCATCACAGGGCGGGCTCATACACACACACACACACTCACACATATGCTCGCGTGCTCTTTCACTCAGACTGATGACGCTAGACTCAGACTAGATATGCTAATGAACCTAATGTGCACATTTTTGGGATGTGGGAGGAAACTCAGACAGTGGCTTCCAGGAGAAATAGACTTTTTTCTCATCAACATTATAACAAAATGATGTTGAATGAAACAACGTTATTCAAGGGTCTGCTGTACGCAGATTTTCCTATTTCTTTAGGTCTTCATTTTTGAAGGCTCTTGTGTCAATAAAATTTGTTTGATTTGTATGCTTTTCCTTTTTTTTTTTTTTTTTTTTTGTTGTTGAGACAGAATTTCACTTTTGTTGCCCAGGCTAGAGTGTAATGGCGCGATCTTGGCTCACCACAACCTCCGCCTCCCGGGTTCAAGCGATTCTTCTGCTTCAGCCTCCCGAGTAGCTGGGATTACAGGCGTGTGCCACTATGCCCAGCTAATTTCGTATTTTTAGTGGAAATGGGGGTTTCTCCATGTTGGCCAGGCTGGTCTCAAACTCCTGACCTCAGGTGATCCACCAGCTTCAGCCCCCCAAAGTGCTGGGATTACAGGCATGAGCCACCCCACCCGGCCTGCTTTTCCCTTGTTAATCTATCTTTTATTATGAAGTGTCAGCCATGAACCTGGCACTGGGTGGGAAAAGATGTTTTTCTGCCCTAGACCTTCCTATAAGTGCTTTTGGGACAACACTGCAGGAGTCCCCAAAGGTGAAAATTTACCTGCGGGAGTTAATAAAAACAGGAATCCCCAGGCCTTACCCCAGAGACTGAGATGCTGAGTGCTTTCAGAGTCTCCAGAAAAGGGCCCAGGAATTATTATGGGGTGACAGATGTCACAGCTAGATCGTCCTCACATCTATGGAATATTGTGTTATTTAATATTTCCCAGTTGAATTTGATATTCAGGCAAGTTTGAAAACCACTGGGCCTGAAAATCTAGCCACAACAGAAACTGAAACTAGGATCTGGGGAAAGTTAACAAGGGGAGGAGAAAGATTGGAAAGTATTACAAGAAAAACTTGGGATTGTAACGTTCCCCCCAAACTGGGAAGGTCCCGGAAGACCAAAGACAGTCCAGCTTAATAAGCAGGTGAGTTTAGTAGGACTTAGATACAGGGTACTCCTGGGTGCAGCAGGATAGCTCTAGAGATCCATGCCGCCTCCTGTCTTTAAACTGTTTCTAAGTTAATTTTCTGGCTTTTTGCCTACTGTGTTTGAGCAATGAGACTGTTTTTCTTGGTAGGTTCTCAGATACTCTCTGGGATGTTTGTGTTCTCAAGGACACCTGCTCCTCTGCTGGGCATCGTGGCCTTGGCTCACCACTGGGCCTTCAGGGTTCAGGCAGTAGACATACACTCTTAAGTGACATGGTGGGTGATCTGTCATGCTGCAATCCACCCTGCCTCCCATTTCTTACATTCTTTCTGCCAATCTTGTGTGAGACTCCTTGAGTAGGGTGGAAGGAAAGAACTATACAGGTCTATAACGTCTAGCCATGGCTTGCGCATACAGGTCACATCTACAGTATACGTAGGAGCACAAAAAGCAGAAGTTAACTACAATTATAATGTCTATTAGCAAAACCTAATTCCCATGACTAGAGAAGCTGTGTAACCAATTTGAGAATGAGTAAAAGAAACCTAATTAGGTTATATCATGGATCTGAGTTGACAAATGGTTTAAAGTACCTCTGACATTACTCTCTTCATCAGGGAAATAGGTGCAACAGTTAGCACCTAGAAAGGCACATTTTGGGTCTTTGTCACGTTGGTGATTGAGCCTCTAGGTGGAGGCAATCCTTAGTGAGCCCGGGTTGCATTATCAGTGCTATTGTACAAGTCACTCCAGTTCTGTCAGGAGAAAGGCAGAGTATTTTAAGGCATATCATTATTATTTTATAGGGAGAGGTATCTGACTGGTTGTTGACTGCTTCTGGAGTTGCAGCTCAGTCTAGAAAGACATTACCAGCTGCCATGAGTAGCAGGAACAACCTATGGGTATAAACACAGGTGGTTAGTAGGAACTCTCACAGGCGTATTCACTCCTTGCAACATTTTTTTTTTTAATTTTTTTGAGACAGAGTCTTGCTCTGTTGCCCAGGCTGGAGTGCAGTGGCACGATCTCGGCTCACTGCAAGTTCCGCCTCCTGGGTTCACGCCATTCTCCTGCCTCAGCTTCCTGAGTAGCTGGGACTACAGGCGCCCGCCACCACATCTGGCTAATTTTTTGTATTTTTAGTGGAGACGGGGTTTCACCGTGTTAGCCAGGATGGTCTCGATCTCCTGGCCTCATACTCCACCCGCCTTGGCCTCCCAAAGTGTTGGGATTACAGGCGTGAGCCACCGCGCCTGGCCACACCTTGCAACATTATTATCATTGTGTTTTCTCCCACTGGCACTATTAGGGATGCCACTGTGGGCTTCAGGCCTGGATTACAAAACCACCCATGTCTTCTTTTCCTAGAAGCAGCCACAATAGCCAATTGATAAGTTTCCAGCCTTGCCCATGCTATCCATACTATAATTATTCCAGCAGGTATGGGTGCTGCCATCTGTTGATAAAGTAAGTCTCTCGGAACTCTATCAAGGAGCACAGCTGGGACCACTGCCCCTATGGCAGTTATCATGGCACCACCCTCCAGTACTATAAAACTAATCCAGTATGGAGGCATATTCCAGCTCAGCTTCAGGTCCCTGTAGCCATCACTGCTTGGCAGATCCACTGGTGTTCTCAGGAGCATGTCTCACCATCTGCCTCAGGAGCATGGCTCAGTGTCTTTGAGGTAACCCCGAGAGTTTGTGGGACATGTCTTACAGGCCTTGCCAACCATTTATAAGGAGTGATGCCATGTGTGCTAGTGGGTGACTCATTTAAAGTTTGTATGGCTTTATGGAGATTCTTAGTCCAGGAACTTAAAGAGCCAACCTGAAACAGTGCACACATCTGGGTCTTTAACAGGCCATTATTTCTTTCTGTAAGTCCTGCCTCTGTTGGATTGTGGTGGTAAGTGGAACCTCCAGTCTATATTTTCTTCTTTTTTATTTTGAGACAGAGTCTCGCTCTGTTGCCCAGGCTGGAATGCAATGGTGCGATCTCGGCTCACTGCAACCTCCGCCTCCCGGATTAAAGCAATTCTCCCACCTCAGTCTCCCAAGTAGCTGGGACTACACGCATGCGCCACCACGCCTGGCTAATTTTTGTATTTTTAGTAGAGATGGGGTTTCACCATGTTGGCCAGACTGCTCTCAAACTCCTGACCTCAAGTGATCTGCCTGTCTCAGCCTCCCAAAGTGCTGGGATTACAGGCATGACCCACCGCACCTGGTCCAGTCTATATTTTCTTCTGATGCCCAGTGTTGGATATCTTTGCTATGCCCATCAATGTACCAGGGCCTAGCAGATATTGGCGGGGTACCCTTATATATGGTGGTTGGCCTGATGGGTGGCTCCACTGCCATGTTGGCTCCCTCCCATAACTGAGACCAAAACCCTATAGGTACCATTCCCATTAGTTGCTTTTGCCCCAAACCTAAATTCATCCCTGTGACATCTCTGGTGATTACTAATACAGCAGTAGAGTCTGTATGCTTGGGCTTGTTTCACCAATATTTTTGTTTTGTCAAATGCCTCTTGTTCTATTTATGTCATCTCATTTTTTACCTGTCTTTATTAGGGTGTATAATGGGTGGAGTATTTGTGCCAGATGAGGAATGAATATCCTCCAGTAGCCCAGTAAACCTAGGAAAACCTGGAGTTGCTCTACTGTCTGGAGAGTAGACTACTATGCTATCTTATCAATGACGGCTTTGGGTATGTTTCACATCTTACCCAACCAGGTAACTCTCAGGAATTTGACAGGCATGCCAAGCCTCTGTATATTTTTGGGGTTGATTTTCTATCCCTCCTTCAGGCTGTCCAAAACAGTTTGTAGGATAGTCTCCAAATCTGTAAGAGACTCTAGGGTAGCATGTTATCATTAATATAGTGAAACAGGGAGACCAAGGCAGGCAAAGAGATTATAGACAGCTCCTGTGTAACCATACTGTGAGAGATGGCGGGGCTTTGCAGATGCCCCTGTGGTGACACCTGGAAAGTCCATTCTTGGTCCTCCTAAGTGTAGACCAACTGGTCTTGTGAATCTTCAGCTGAAAGAATACTGGAAAAGGTATTAATGCAGTCAGTCACAGAATGGATACTTCCCAGCTTCGGTACTGCTTGCTCTAGCAGTTGAGCAATATTGGATACAGCTGCATGTACAGGGCGTACCACTTTGTTCAGCTAGCGGTAATCCACCATCATCTTCCAGGCATCACCTGGCTTCTTCACAGGCCAAACAAGGCTGCTGTAGGGGCTCTGGGCCAGTCTGACTATTTGTACCTTATGTACTTTCTGGATTGTTTGGGTGATTTCAGAGTGCCCCCCCAATAGCAGGAAGTATTGTTTCATGTTCATTACCTGCAAGGATACAGGTGCATATTTGGCCTATCCCCTTTTTGCTTTCTCTGTGGACCTGATCGTTATTTTTATCCAGCTCACTGAGGTCTGCCAATGCTTCCCCCCATCACAGATTTCATTTCCCACTAAGAGGCTCAGAAGTGTTGTCTGAAATTGGTGGGTTCTATGGTCTCACTGACTTCAACAATGAAACCGCAAACCCTCACAGAGAGTGTCACAGCTCTAAAGTTCGCGGGCGTGGAGTCTGTCCCTTCTGATGTTCAGATGTGTCCGCAGTTTCTTTTTTCTGGTGGGGTCGTGGTCTTGCTAGCTCAGGAGTGAAGCTGCAAACCTTTGCAGTGAGTGTTATACCTCATAAAAACAGCGTGGACCCAAAGAATGACCAGTTGGAAAATTTATTGCGCATAGTGAAAAAAACAACGCTTTCACAGTGCAGAAGAGACAACCCAGCGGGTTGCTAATGCTGGTTCGGGCAGCCTGCTTTTATTCTTTTATCTGGCCCCACCCACATCCTGCTGATTGGTAGAGCCGAGTGGCCTGTTTTGTCAGGGCGCTGACTGGTGCGTTTACAATCCCTGGGCTAGATACAAAGGTTCTCCTCGTCCCCATTAGATTAGTTAGATACAGAGTTTCCACATACAGGTTCTCCAAGGCCCCACCAGAGCAGCTAGATACAGAGTGTCGATTGGTGCACTCACAAACCTTGAGCTAAACACAGGGTGCTGATTGGTGTGTTTACAATCCCTGAGCTAGATAAAAAGACTCTCCACGTCCCCACCAGACTCAGGAGCCCAGCTGGCTTCACCTAGTGGATTCCGCACTGGGGCTGCAGGTGGAGCTGCCTGCCAGTCCTGCGCCCTGCACTCGCATTCCTCAGCCCTTAGGTGGTCGATGGGACTGGGTGCCGTGGAGCAGGGGGTGGCGCTCGTCCGGGAGGCTCGGGCCGCACAGGAGCCCACGGAGGGGGGTGGGAGGCTCAGGCATGGCGGGCTGCAGGTCCCGAGCCCTGCCCCGTGGGAAGGCAGCCAAGGCCCGGCGAGAAATCGAGCACAGCGCCGGTGGGCCGGCACTGCTGGGGGACCCAGTACACCCTTCGCAGCCACTGGCCCGGGTGCTAAGTCCCCCATTGCCCGGGGCCAGCAGGGCTGGCTGGCTGCTCCGAGTGCGGGGCCCACCAAGCCCACGCCCACCCGGAACTCCAGCTGGCCCGCAAGTGCGGCACACAGCCCTGGTTCCCGCTCGTGTCTCTCCCTCCACACCTCCCTGCAAGCTGAAGGAGTGGGCTCCGGCCTTGGCCAGCCCAGAAAGGGGCTCCCACAGTGCAGTGGGGGACTGAAGGGCTCCTCAAATGCCACCAAAGTGGGAGCCCAGGCAGCGGAGGTGCTGAGAGCAAGCGAGGGCTCTGAGGACTGCCAGCACGCTGTCACCTCAGTGTGACCAATGCCCTATATTATAAATGCCATTTTTTGAATTGGAAATGATCCAGACATTCAACAAGTACTTAAAACAATTTTAAGGTTTTAAACTACACAAAAAGTTCACCCGTAAGCATTTATCTCTTACATTTACTCAATTTATTCATTTTTAGCAGTTTACCTAGATTACTCATTGGAACGAAGACATTAGACAAAGTTACTCATCATTCTGAATTATTTTTTCTGTTAAACTGTGAATGTCAGGTGTTCACCTAGGCAAGAACTTTAAAGTTAAACACATGGGCATTTTTGCCAATAACTCAGGAATTTTAGCTGTTTTCACTGACCTAACAATATTAAATTAGTCATACTTACCAAAAAATCACACAAATAAAGATCATTCTGTTTTTGGCTGGGTTTACAGACTTATGATCTTTAGGTCAAACCCTGACACCTTAAAATATCTAGCAGAGGCAAATGTAAAACTAATTGGTAAACTGAGACAAAAACGTATGCTGACAATTCAAGGACATTTCTATTTTTATTTTACCAATAATTTTAAAGCCAGATTATTTATTAAAGATTACTAAATTCATATGAACTTGAAAAGCATTTGGACTTTATGAGTACTCATTTATGTATAAGCCATTTGGTAGTATGCTAGGCATAACACATAATATATATACATACACATAAACACATTTAAGCATGTATCTATACACACAAACCAATATCCAACAGCTTTTACTTGGAACTCTAGCCATGAGACAACATCATAAATTTACTATTTTACAAAAGATAGTTGGATCAGGCCGGGTGCAGTGGCTCAAACCTGTAATCCCAGCACTTTGGGAGGCCGAGGCAGGAGGATCACCTGAGTTCAGGAGTTGGAGACCAGGCTGGCTAACATGGTGAAACCCCGTTTCTACTAAAAATACAAAAAAGTAGCTGGGAGTGGTGGCGCACCCCTGTAATCCCAGCTTCTCAAGAGGCTCAGGCAGGAGAATCACTTGAACTTGGGAGATGGAGGTTGCACTGAGCCGAGATCTCACCGTTGCACTCCAGCTTGGGCAACAAGAGTGAAACTCCATCTCAAAAAAAAAAAAAAGGAAAAAAAAAAAAGAAAAGCTAGATCCAAATTATTTTTCACAAAATTGAGACCTGTCCACAAGACTAGACTTTGTTTGCACTGATAGGTAATCCAATAAAGACTGTGGAACACAATTTTGGGTAAAGCAGTTTCTATACCAGTTTGATTTTTAAAATCCTCATTTATCCACATCCCCTTTTTTCTGTGCTTCAAATGAGTTTCATTGTTTACATTTTAGTAAGAACTGGCTGTACTGTAGAGAAAAGTAAAATCTCCGAGTGGCTTTGAATTAGTGAGTTTTATTTCAACACCAATAGCTTAATAATGGCATATTTGAGTGTTGGGGTGATCAGACCCAACACCAGGTCGTGGGGGCGACAAAGTCCTGCAGAGTCACAGAAATGAGAAAAAGACAGTTTGAGAGAGAAAGTGGGACTAAGTGGCCATCACGAGTGTGGAGGCTGCGAAGGCCCTGAGCTCTGGGAGCCCACGCTATTTATTGGTGCTCAAACAAACAGGTAGTGAAGATGTGGGGGTTGAAAGGAAATGGTGTATCAAGTGAAAGAGAAACATATGGCTACTTTAGATAATGGGAGTGCTAAAAGCAAGGAGCCAGCAAGTCTAGCAGACATACAAGTCCTGTTGTCTCCCAACACTCAGCTTCTCTCCCAACATTCGAGGCTGGGCGCAGTGGCTCACACCTGTAATCTCAGCACTTTGGGAGGCCGAGGTGGGTGGATCACAAGGTCAGGAGTTCGAGACCAGCCTGGCCAATATGGTGAAACCCCATCTCTACTAAAAATACCTGGGCGTGGTGGTGGGTTCCTGTAATCCCAGCTACTCGGGAGGCTGAGGCAGGAAAAGAGCTTGAACCCGGGAGGCGGAGGCTGTAGTGAGCTGCACTCCAGCCTGGGTGACAGAGTGAGAATCTGTCTCTAAATAAATAAATAGCATATTCAAAATAAGCAGAAACAAAAATAAAGAGAGAAATAGCTTTAGGAGACTCTACTTAACTCTATAGTTGCAGCTTAACCATTTAAAATCCGCATTTTTTTTGTTGTAATTTCCCCATCAGTTAAAAAATGTGCACAAGAAAGGGCCATACATAATAGGTAACCAGCTGGAGTCCTAAAAAAGCTGGCATGCTTTGAACTTCTGCAGGTGTTTCTATCCTTTCTCTGTTTCCTGCTCTAATGATTTCTCAGGGGCCAGCCTTATTGCAACAATAGCACATTTGCTATCCTTATCCTACTTTGATATCTTAGCCTCTTGCAATATGCGCTTAGTCCCCGCCACATTTTCTGAATATCCCTATACTTCCTCAGCAGTCCACAAAGGTTGAGCGATGGAGCAATTCCACCCCACCTGCATGTTGCCGACCACCCCAGGATTCCCCCTGCAGATGCCCTTTCCTGACTCATTGTTTGGTCTCTCAGATCCTGTTTGTGATGCCAATTGTTATGAGCAAAACTTGGGACTGTAACGTCCCCCTAAATTGGGAAGCAGCCAACAGACCAAAGAATGACTTGGACACGTACAGCTTGACAAGTAAGATGAATTTATTAGGACTTACACACAGGGTACTCCTGGATGTAGCAGGACAGCTCCAGAGATCCATGCAGCCTCCTGTCTCTAAATGGCTTTTTTTTTTTTTTTTTTTTACCAAGTCTCGCTCTGTCTCCTAGGCTCGAGTATAGTGCTGCCATCTCGGCTCACTGCAGCCTCCGCCTCCTGGGTTCAAGTGATTCTCCTGCCTCAGCCTCCCGGGTAGCTGGGATTACAGGCACCCGCCACCCCATCCTGCTAATATTTGTATTTTTAGAAGAGACTGGGTTTCACTATGTTGGCCAGGCTGGTCTCGAACTCCTGGGCTCAAGCAATCCACCCACCTCGGCCTCCCAGAGTGTGGGATTACAGGCATGTGCCACCGCACCCAGCCTCTAAACTGCTTTTAAGCTTATTTTCTGGCTATTTGTCTACTGTGTTTGAGTGATGAGACTGTTTTTCTTAGTAGGTTCCTAGATACTCTCCCGGATGTTTGGGTTCTTAGGGACACCTACTCTTTGGCTGGGCACCATGGCCTTGGCTCACCACCTGGCTTTCAGGATTCAGGCAGTGGACATACATCCTTACCTAATCTGGTGGGGGATTCATCACACTACGGAAGGGAAAAGAGGAAACCCATGAGGTGAGAGGCAGCGTGCTGGGTAGTGGAGCCTCAAGGATGCTCAGGATTTGGATGCTCAGATCTGGATGTGTCCCAGGTCCCCAATGCATCTGTGCTTCCTCCAGGTACTAGAGAAGAATGAATGCCCCTTACTCTAAAGTGAGGCAACAGAAGGTGTCAATCCTTCGAGTTCAGTTGTTCACAAAGCATAGGTCCATCAGAATCATCTGGATGACTTGTTGAAACATATTGGAACATCCTTTGGGAATTTCTGATTTAGTGGACCTGGGGTAGGGCCCAAGAATTTGCAGTTCTAACAGGTTTCCAGATTATACTGATGGTGATCCATGGACCAAATTCCAGAACCTCTTACAAGAGACCCAGCTTGTCTTGTCTGAGACTTTTGTGACTCACTGAGTCTCTGAATGGGCTCAGCATTTTCTCAGGTGCATCTCTTAAACTGTATGTTTGAAGTTCGTTAGTCACATACAGCTGCTCTTTGAAACTGTCATAAGGAAGCCAACCCATCTGGTTGTCAGAGAGCAGTGTTAAATGCTCACACAAGAGGCAAGGCTGCATAGGGTTGGGCAGCTCCAGTTGCAGAAGGAAACACCAATTTAGCATGTTTGCTTTCTTGCTTTTTTTGCCTGCTTATTTTTAGCATATCTAGTTGAGAATCCAAAACAACAACAAAAAAAGACAAGACAGACCACAGACAAATGTGTACACTTTACAAGATTCTCAAGACAACAACAGCAACAAAGTTTCTGAGTTTATGAATCTAAGTAGCATTTTACTCCCAGGATCTGAAGTTCAAGTTCTGATCCCTGTGCACCCAAATTACGTCTTTCTCCTCCAGGTAGAAAGCTATCAAAATCCAGCTTTTTCCTGGGCACGCTCTTTATAGCATATGCAGCTGACTCTTCTGCTACTGGCACACTGCTATTGGATAAAAAGAAGTCTTGGCTGGGCACAGTGGCTCACACCTGTAATCCCAGCATTTTGGGAGACCAAGGCAGGTGGATCTCCTGAGGTCAGGAGTTGGAGACCAGCCTGGCCAACATGGTGAAACCCTGTCTCTACTAAAAATACAAAAATTAGCCTCGTGTGGTGTGGCAGGCGCCTGTAATCCCAGCTGCTAGGGAGGCTGAGGCAGGAGAATCGCTTGAACCTGGGAGATGGAGGTTGCTGTGAGCCGAGATTGCACCATTGCACTCCAGCCTCAGCGATAAGAGCTAGACTCCAAAGAGCGAAACTCCGTCTTTAAAAAAAAAAAAAAAAAAAAAAAAAGTCTCAAGCGCAGAACCGTGAAAAAGCTAAAGTTGTTATACAATTGGAGAGCGAATGATTCAACATTTTGTTAATCATTGACCTTATTCTCTGTCCTACTCTAAGGAGGGCATAATGTGTGTCTCCTGCAATCGGTCATAGGAATAATGCTTAAGGTCTAAACTAGCAGAGACTTGAGTGACAAAAAACAAAGAAGGAACCTATTTGAACTGGAGAAAGAAGGTGGATGCTGCAGGATTGAGAGACTTTATGGATTTTAAAAGAAACAAAGATGGAGAGTGTCCTCAGGAAACACACACACACACACACACAGGTAGTGTAAGAGATGGATGTTGCCTTTCACCAAACTATTAAGTAGAGAAGGAGAAGCAGGAATTATGCTTGTTTGTTTGTTTTTATTTGTGGGAAGTAGGATGGTATCCAGAAGGGGATGAAGCTGTTTGGTTTTGGACAAGAATTTAAAATACTTAAAGGCAACTTCATGGAAATGTCTGATAAACATGATCTGTGGATCGGCCATTGCACTCCAGCCTTGGTGACAGAGCGAGACTCCGTCTCAAAAAAACAAACAAAAAAATAAGTTGGTAAGGATATATTTTTTTGTCCATGTTCTGTTTCAACTTATGTAGATTATTATAAATTGATGTAACCCACGTGAGAGGAAAATGTGAATATAAAAATGCAAAGCCCTAACATTTACTCACACACATACACACACATACACAAATCTTCTGAAATTTCATTATTTTCCCCTTTTCTCCCATTAAAGACAGACCTATTATTATCCAGGGACAGTGAAAATGAGAAAAGGAGAATAAAAGGGAACAAAATGGAAGAGAGGAAGCTAAGCACATATTTCTGGGTATATTTTGCAGAAGACACAGGATGCAAAGTACAAGTGGAAGAGAAAGTGGGGATGGAGCCAAAGTTGAGACAAAAAAGGGGGCAGAAATAAAAGAAGGAAAATGGAGCCAGTCAGAAATTGCCCTTCTCTGAGCAAAAGAAACTGTAGAGAATAGTTCTGAATGATAACCAGGTAAAGGAGATCAGAAATAGAGTGGGAAGCAGGTTAGGAGGCTTAACATTTTCAGGTTAGCAAGGTGAGATTTAAAAGGAGAGGAAAAAACATCTCCATGAACTCTCAGTACTTATTTTTATTTTAGAATTAGAACCCTGTGAGAAAGCTGACAATTGTATTTTAGCTCACAAAGATCTCAAACCCTAATATTGTCACTATCCAGGATCTAAACCTTTTAGCTCTGTTGTGGCCTCTCTGGAGGAAGGATTAGGACCATGAATCATGGTATCATCCACATCTGTCCTTGGGCAGTTCTAGAAGATGTCCTAAGCCCCAGGTGACCTGATTCCAATTCATTAAAAAGGTGAGCCACATATATTCTTTCAACAGTAAGTGTCCCAATGCTGATGATGAAGATGAGAAAATATCTTCCAGTAGCTTAACTTTTTTTCAGTTTCAATACTTTCAATATATCCAGTTTCAATAGTTGCATATAACTTCAAATATTTGGCTTTAATTGAAAATGTTCACCAAACTTTGAAAATGGGGAGAGAGAGTTGCACATATTATACACAATATGTATGTGTATTGCATCAAACACTTATAATGTGTCTTGTACAGGTTCCAGTTTCCAGTTATTTAAAGGGATTAAGAACTTCAAGACTGAATCTGAGTGGAGACTCTGACATATAAATACAGACTTATCCAATTGGGATCATACTGCATATGTTTTTATTATTTGCTTTATTCTCAACATTGTATTCAGAACATCTTCCCATGTTATCAAAAATTATTTTAGAACAGAGAATCCTCTTCAGTTTTTACATTTGTCCTTGTACTTGTTCATCATGGCGATATTATGTTTTGTTAATGGTTGCTGCATAGATAGGGCGCAGTGGCTGGCTCTTGTAATCCCAGCACTTTGGAAGAGACGGGTGGGTCTCTTGAGTCCAGGAGTTCCAGAGCAGCTTGGGCAGCATGGCGAGACCCCAGCTATACAAATACAAAAAAATTAGCTGGGCGTGGTGGCGCGCGCCTGTAGTCCCAGCTACTCAGGAGGCTGAGGTGGGAGGATCCCTTTAGCCCAGGAGGTCGAGGCTGCAGTGAGCCGTTATAGCGTCACTGCACTCCAGCCTGGGTGACAGAGTGAGACCCTGTCTCAAAAATAATAATAGGCTGGGCGCAGTGGCTCACGCGGTAATCCCAGCACTTTGGGAAGCCGAGGAGGGCGGATCACTTGCAGTCAGGAGTTCCAGACCAGCCATGGCCCAACATGGTGAAATCCCGTCTTTACTAAAAATGCAAAAATTAGCCGGGTGTGGTGGCGCATGCCTGTAGTCTCAGCCATTCGTGAGGTTGAGGCAAGAGAATTGCTTCCTGGAGGCGGAGGTTGCAGTGAGCCCAGATCGTGCCACTGTGCACTCCAGCTTGGGTGACAGAGCAAGACTCTGTCTCAAAAACAAAACAACAACAACAACAAAATAATAATAATAATTGCTGTATCTTTAGGCAATCTTTGCAGTTTTTGCAGTAGATGTTAAGCTACCTTTCTAAAATGCAGTGGGACATTTTGTTGTTTTTGTGTTCTGCAACAGTTTATGTAAACCTGTATTGGAATGACAAGAAGTACGATATTATTCCAAATCTTGTACTCATGCTAGTTCATATCCTATGCCACTCTGTGGTCTCTTCCTCATCAATGTCCCTTCCTCATCGATGTCCCTGGGTTCCTGAGCAAAGCCTAAAGTAAGACACTCTAAAAATTTTGACTGAATATTCGGCAATAATTTGAGCTTGGTCTTAACCCCAAAGAAAATACTATAGAAGAAAACACTAGGAAAAATAGAAGTTGATGGGATTCTTTGTTGACGAGTGTAGTGTTCAGGAAGGGAGAGATTTTGCTCGGATTTCATTGTGTTAGAATAACATGTCATTTTCAAGGAACCAAAATCATACTGTGTAATGGACAGACCGGTGTTATAGTTCTACTTAAGGGTTGGACGTTTCACATCTTTCCTATCCCATCCACACTTTTGGTGACTGTGGGGTTCCCCCCAAACACCCTATTGTTCTGTGCATTAATCCACAGCGAGCTGGTGACGCGTTTTTGTCAAGACCAAATCAAACTTGGGAAGTCTTCAAGTCAGGAATGGAAGTCACTAAGCTCCATGTAAATAAACAGTATATGTGAACTGAATAACCTACTTTGTTCCGGCCTTACGCCAACCCTGCACTTCCAACAGAACCATCTTTGAAGTTTCCTGGCCATCACTGCCCCGCTTCCAGCGTCGCCATCATTCCTTTCACACACCCCACTTGCCGAAAGTACGTTCTGTGCGCTCTCTCACCCTCCTCTTGATTGTTTTCCCTAAGGGGTGCAGCATCAGTTCAGAACTGAAAATCTCCCTATCCCACTTCTCGAAGCCATTAATCAGAGATTTCAACAGGGTTCACCGCTGATGACCCATCTAACTGCTCGTCCTCTCACAGTTTCTGACAACTGTGTATTAGTATTTGCAAGTTTTGGAAGGTGTTGTAAATAGTTTTTAACTGTTAGTGAATTTTAATTTCAAACGAGGAACTTTTTATTAAGCTGGATCTTTGAAGTCAGCACTTAAAAAGCCCCCTTCCCCACCATGTTACATTCCCTTTGTGTGCTATATAAGCATCTGTCTTTGGTGGTTGGCCGCGTGGCCTAATGGATAAGGCGTCTGATTCCGGATCAGAAGATTGAGGGTTCGAGTCCCTTCGTGGTCGTCGTTTTGCGTTCTCTGGTTCGAAAGATATTTGTTGATTCAGAGCATTTTCCCTTTTCTTGCTCCGGTCTGGCTGCCAATTAACAACTAAAGGTAGAAGTCTTATTTAACGAGTATATACGGTGTGCCTGCCCTGTGACAACTGCTTTATAAAAGAACAAAGCAGAAATAGCACTTGGCCTCAAAGAGCTTACTTTCTACTGGATCTAACAGTTGAAATCAAGCAAACGCTGGGAAGAAAAAAAAATTGTTTCCACTCCTGTGAAAAAAAGAAGTACGAGGATAAAATAAAAAAATAAGGGATGGGGACTTCTTTAGGAAGCATCCACCCTCCTGGAGGTCCTGAAGAAATGCTATTTAGCTGAAAAATGAGTATTTTTCAGGCAGAAGGAATAGCATTTGTTAATTCACTGAGAATCTGAAATCACTAAGTATTTTCAAAGTTCAGGTTGCTGAACTCTTGTGTGTATGTGTTTGGAGCTGGGGGTGGGTGGGGGCGGGGGAAGGAGTGGAAATCACTACAGAGAAAAATCAACAAAAAGGGATAAAGGGAGTTAAATTTCTGGGAACAAGATCTCTCACAGAGATTCTCTATGGCTGAGACTCTGAACATGGTTTAAAATTAGTGTTCTCCAGATTTTCACTAACTACCAAAAAAGGTAACTGTCATCACCTGGCAAATCGTCATCACTTAAGCCTAAAGGCAGAAACCACCAAAAGCTTTAATCCAAACTGAGCTGTCCTCTAGTGCAACCTGTATTAGAGTAGTCATGATAGGTTGAATTTTTGCAAGTGGGCCAATGCCATAAATTGATCTGAACATTACTGCAAAGAAAGCACAGTGAGAGCAGGATCAAGCAAGTTTTCATCATTTTTAATTGAGCTCCAGTCGCTTCTTGAGGAAAAGAAAGCTAAAATTGATTCTCAAGAACATTTGTTTCTGTGAGAATATGTGGTAACTGAATAAGAATTCTTTAAAAAGAAACAACGCAATTCCCAGATTTAACACCAACGCCAGTTAACATTTACCGAATGCATACACTGTAGCTGCACTATTCCAACTATGAGAAATATATTAATAGTCTTCTTTTACAGATGTAGAAACTGACACCTAAAAGGGTATAACACATTGCCCAACACAACTAATAAAGGGTAAAGCTGGAAACTTAACCAAAATATTAAGTTATTTCTGGAGCACAAGTCTCAATGTTTAGAACAAATTTTTATTGTTTAATGGCACGATGCAGTGTGGTAAAATATATATAACATAAAATGTCACTTTAACTTTTTTTTTTTTTTTGAGACAGAGTTTTGCTTTGTCGCCAGGCTGGAGTGCAGTGGCGCGATCTGGGCTATCTCGGCTCATTGCAACCTCTGCCTCCCGGGTTCAAGCGATTCTCCTGCCTCAGTCTCCCGAGTAGCTGCGAGTACAGGCGCATGCCACCACGCCCAGCTAATTTTTTCTACTTTTAGTAGAGACGGGGTTTCACTGTGTTAGCCAGGATGGTCTCCATCTCCTGACCTCGTGATCCACCCGCCTCGGCCTCCCAAAGTGCTGGGATTACAGGCGTGAGCCACCGCACCCAGCCCTTGTTTTGGCATTTTAAAGAGACAGGGTCTCATTCTCACTGCAGTCTTGAACTCCTGGGCTCAAAGAATCCTCCTGCCTCAGCCTCCCGTGTAACTTAAACTACAGTCATGTGTCACAACACCTGGCTAATTTTTAATTTTTTGTAGAGATGTGGGGGGCAGCATGGACTCACCATGTTACTCAAGCTGGTTTTGAACTCCTGGTCTCAAGCAATCCTCCCGCCTTGACTTCCCAAAGTCCTTGGATTACAGGCATGAGCCTCAGCCCCTCACCTTTTGTCTTTTTGAAATCGCCTATTCTAGATATTTCATATAAGTGGAGTTATACAGTACTTGTGTCCTTTCATACCTAGCCTATTTCATCACTAAGCAAAATGTTTTCAAGTTTCATCCATCTCACAGCATATACCAGCATATATCCCATATTGTATGTATATTCATTTTTTAAAATTTCTTATATTTTGATGCCTATTCTGCTTACGCAGTTTTATTTTTGTTATTTTGCTTATCTGCTCATCTGTTGATGGCTGGATTCTCCTTTTAGCTATTATGAATGATGCTGCAAAGAACATTGGATTACAAGGATCTGTTTGAGTCTCTGCTTTCAATTCTTTTGGGTATACACCTAGAATTGCTAAGTCATATGCTACACCCATGTTTAGCTTTTTAAGGGAACCACCAAACCGGTTTCCACAGTGGCTTTATCATTTTACATTCTCACCAACAATGCATGAAAGTTCCAGTTTATCCACATCTTCACCAACACTTTTTCATTGGCCATTTTCCTGATTATAGCCATCCAAGAAAGTTTGAAATGGTACCCTACTTTGGTTTTGATTTGCATTTCCCCTAGTGAATAAAGACAGAGTACTTTCCAAGTGCTTATTGCCTATTTACATATTTTGTTTGGAGAGGTGTCTATTTGAGTTCTTTGTGCATTTAAACTGAGTTGCCTTGTTGATTTTCAGTTCTAAGGTTTGGTTTTTGTTTTTTTGGATATATCTGGATGTTAGACCCTTATCAAACATGTAATTTCCAAGACATTTTCACCAATTCTATGTGCTCTTTTAACACTGCCTAATGTCCTTTGATGCACAAAAGTTTCTTTTGATTAAATTCCATTTATCATCTATTTGTTGTCTTTCAGATGGAGCTGTCACCCAGGCTGGAATGCAGTGGCATGATCTAAGCTCACTGCAGCCTCTACCTCCAGGTTCAAATAATTTTTCTGCCTCAGCCTGGTGTCCAGAATTGGTGGGTTCTTGGTTTCACTGACTTCAAACATGAAGCTGCAGACCCTCGTGATGTTATTTTTTAAAGACAGTGTGGCTGGAGTTTGTTCTTTCTGATGTTCACCCATGTTCTGAGTTTCTTCCCGCTGGTGGGTTCCTGGTCTGGCTGGCTTACAAGGAGCGAAACATGCAGACCTTCAGCATAAGTGTTGCAACTCTTAAGATGGTATGTCTGAAGTTGTTCATTTCTCCTGATGCGCTCATGGTTCTTGCCGGTCTCAGGAGTGAAACCGCAAATCTTCACAGTAAGTGTTACAGCTCACACAGGAAATACAAACCTCAAAAAGCAAGCAGCAGTAAAATTTATTACAAAGAACATAAAGAACAAGGTTTCCACAACAGAGAGATCGACTCCGAGTAGGTTATCGTGGCTGCTCCGCGCAGCCTGCTTTTATTGCCTTATCTGGCCCCACCCACATTCTGCTGATTGGTCCATTTTACAGAGAGCTGATTGGTCTGTTTTACAAAGAACTGATTAGTCTGTTTTGACAGGGTGCTGATTGGTGTGTTTACAGTCCCTGAGCTAGACACAGAGTGCTGATTGGTGCATTTACAATCCTTTAGCTAGACATAAAGGTCCCCACTAGAGTTGCTAGATTCAGAGTGCTGATTGGTGTATCCACAAACCCAGAGCTAGACACAGAGTGCTGACTGGCACATATACAATCCTCTAGCTAGCCATAAAAGTTGTCCAAGTCCGCACCCGCCTCAAGAGCCCAGCTGGCTTTGCCTAGTGGATCCCGCACTGGGGCCACGGGCGGAGCTGCCCGCCAGTCCCGTGCCACGCACCTGCACTCCTCAGCCCTTGGGCGGTCGATGGGACCGGGCGCCGCGGAGCAGGGGGCGGCGCCCATCAGGGAGACTTGGACCGCAAGGGAGCCCACGGGTGGGAGGGTCGGGGGCGGGCTGGGGCATGGCGAACTGCAGGTCCCGTGCCCTGCCCCATGAGGAGGCGGCTGAGGCCCGGCGAGAATTCGACCGCAGCGCGGGCGGACGGGCAGTGCTGGGGGACCTGGCGCCCCCTCCGCAGCTGCTGGCCCAGATGATAAGCTCCTCACTACCCGCGCTCAAGACACCAATCCGCACTAGCTCATGGTTTGTGGATGCACCAATCAGCACTCTATCTAGCTAACCTGGTGGGGACTTGGAGAATCTTTAGGTAAGGAGTGTGAATACACCAATCGGCACTCTGTATCTAGCTAACCTGGTGGGGACTTGGAGAATCTTTATGTCTTGTAGCTAAGGGTTTGTGAATGCACCTAATCAGCACTCTGTATCTAGCTCAAGGTTTGTAAACACACCAATCAGCACCTTGTGTCTAGTTCAGGGTTTATGAATGCACCAGTCAGCACTCTGTAACTAGTTAACCTGGTGGGGACTTGGAGAATGTTTATGTCTAGCTAAGGGATTGTAAATACACCAGTCAGTACCCTGTATTTAGCTCAAGGTTTGTAAATACACTTTGCGTCTAGCTCAGGGTTTGTAAATACACCAATCACACTCTGTATCTAGCTAATCTAGTGGGGACTTGGAGAACTTCTGCGTCTCGCTCAGGGATTGTAAACGCACCAATCAGTACCCTGCCAAAACGGACCAATCAGCTCTCTGTAAAATGGACCAATCAGCAGGATGTGGGTGGGGCCAGATAAGAGTATAAAAGCAGGCTGCCTGAACGGTGGTGGCTGTTTGGTTAATGCTTTCTCCACATTGTGGAAGGTTTGTTTTTTTTGCTGTTTGCAATGATTCCTGCTGCTGCTCGGTTTTTGCATGCGCATTGCCTTTGTGGGCTGTGATAATTGCTGTGAAAGTCTGCAGTTTCATTCCTGAAGCCAAGGAGACCATAAACTCACTGAGAGGAACCAATGACTCCAGACACACCGTCTTAAGAGCTGTAACAGTTACTGCCAAGATTGGTAGCTTTCCCGAGTCAGCGAAACCACGAACCCACCTGAATGGAATGAAACTCTGAACATATGCAAACATCAGAATGAACAAATTCCCCACACACTGCTCTTCAGAACTGCCACACTCACGGCCAGGGTCCATGGCTTCATTCTTGAAGTCAGTGAGATCAAGAACCCACCAATTCCTTGGCACATTAGGATCACAGGTGTTGAGCCACGGTTCCTGGATGCGTGGAGATTTCTAATAGTTGTACCTGTTGTATTTATGCTACATACTACAACATATATGTATACTATAATGTTTATAATGCCTGAACCCCACCCATAAAAATGAACATGCCATAACCTGGTCATTGTGAGAACCATAAGTGTACCCAAATACATCGTAGTAGGTAGCAATGCCCTGGCTAAAGACTACTGCGTGTTAGTACAGGTAAAGAATTAGCACAGATAAATTTTATTCAGTGCCCAAATAAAGTATTTTAAGGCTCAAGTGGGGCCAGGCACGGTAGCTAACACCTGTAATCCCAGCACTTTAGGAGGCCGAGGCGGGTGGATCACGGGGCCAGGAGATCATGACTATCCTGGCTAACACGGTGAAACCCCATCTCTACTAAAAATAAAAAAATTAACTGGGTGTAGTGGTGGGCGCCTGTAGTCCCAGTCCCAGCTGCTTGGGAGACTGAGGCAGGGAGGGGAAGGTTGCAATGAGCTGAAATCTCGCCATTGCACTCCAGCCTGGGCAACAGTGAGACTCCATCTCAAAAAAAAAAAAAAAAAAAAACTCAAGTGTTGTACTCCATAGTTTCCCTTTAATGAAAAGCTGATTGCTTTTTTGAAGAGAACTTCGTATTTTTTATCTCAGAGTTTCCTTTTAAAAGAAGCAGGCCAGGCGCGGTGGCTCACGCCTGTAATCCCAGCACTTAGAGGCTGAGGCAGGTGGATCACGAGGTCAGGAGTTCAAGACCAGCCTGGCCAAGATGGTGAAACCCCGTCTCTACTAAAAATACAAAAAATTAGCCTGGCATGGTGGCACGCGCCTGTAATCCCAGCTACTCCAGAGGCGGAGAATTGCTTAAACCTGGAGGGGCGGAGCTTGCAGTGAGCCGAGATCGCACCACTGCACTCCAGCCTGGGTGACAGAGCGAAACTCCGTCGCAAAATAAATAAATAAATAAAAAAGAAGCATATGTTAGTTTGTTTCCACAGTAAGTGAAGACAGGCCATGTCACAAAAAGACGGGGAACAACACTGGACTGTAGCTCGTAGACAAAGGAAACCTTGAGAAGTTTAACACTGTATCATAGTTTTAGACAGAACACAATAATTACATTGTTAGAACAAAGTACTTAAAGAACTGATGTTACTTTTTTTTTCTTTATTTAAGAGCATAACTTAACAATAGTCCCACTTGGTCAGGCCTATGATCCCCCCAGTCTATTACTGTATGATTCTGAAGCTGTGGGAGGAAGCAATGCCCTCCTACATATCAACTCATGAATTACATATACATCTTCAAAAGATCAGAGATTTCCATTTTAGCCATCTCGTCAATATTTCTACATAAGTTTAAAATACTTTTGTTTTCACTTTATGCCACTTCTTAAAACTGAATTTCAGCAAGTACACTATATAAGTCCAGGATTTAATTCTATTTATTTTAATTTAACTCATTTCAATAAACATTTATGGAATGCAAATGCCAATCACTATGCCAGCTACATGCATACAAAGATGAGGAAGAACCATCTGGTTCCCTTTCTCTCAATTTGTACCAACATCACTAGATCTGTGTGACAGTCTGGGAATAGGACTACACATAGTGGTCCAGGTTTTGAACAGAGACAAGAAAACAATTTATTTCTTTTTTAATTTTTATTTTAGTTTTAGTTTTAGTTTTTTGAGGAGGGGTCTCACTCTGTTGCCCAGGCTGGAGTGCAGTGGCATGAACACAGCTCACTGCAACCTATTCCTCCTGGGCTCAAGTGATTCTCCCACCTCAGCCTCCCAAGTAGCCAGGATTACAGGCCTGCACCACCACGCCTAGCTAATTTATTTTTTGTAGAGACAAGGGTCTCACTATGTTGCCCAGGCTGGTCTCGAACTCTTCGACTCAAGTGATCCTCCTGCCTCAGCCTCTCAAAATGCTGTGATTACAGGTGTGAACCACTGCACCCAGCCGACAATTGATGTCTTAATACCTTTCAACTGATACCCAGTATTTTATAAGCTTTATTGGATATAGTGAGCATCTTTTCCTGAAAGAGAGAGCAGGGAATCACAAATATTACAAAGCTCTGTTTTCACAAAGGAAGTCTCAGGAGTGAGTGACCATTTCGCCTACCCTCTGAATATCAAAGTTTTCAAACATCTACAGGCTCACACAAAATACTCTTCATTTCCCATCTAAGAGTCGGGAACTTAGAACTGGTCACTGGGTGAGACTGACCCTTTCCTTAAGGAGGATAATGACTGAAAACACATTTATTTCTGCTAAAACAAGTTCTAGCCAACCCATTTCCTGGGCATGCTCTTGACAAATTTACTAAAGTTAAGTGAGGCAAGAAGCTGCCATTCAAACATTTCAAAATTGTTATATTCAAAATATTTCCCTTCTATATCTACTCTCTAAAGGTCAATTACTAGAGAAACACAAAGTTTTACACACATTCATCAGAGGTATATATCTTTTTTCTCTGATATGGGTTTTCTTTTTAATGTCTAAAAAGGTTCTGATGGGAAATAAGACCTTCATTTTGAGTAAAGCATTTTCCATATTCAGGGCAATGAGGAAGTCTTTCCCCTGTATGAATGTTGGGATAGTTAATGAAGTGTGAGCTCTCAATGCAGACTTCCCCAAATACTTTACTTTTATAAGACTTCTCTCTTGTGTGCAGTCTCTCATACGATGTCAGGCCTCCATTGTGACTAAAGCTTTCTCCACATTCCTTAAAGTGATAAGGTTTCTCTCAGTGTGTACTCTATGATGCTTAAGAAAGAGTGGGCTCTGATTAAAAGCTTTCCCATGCATAAGATATTTGTAGGGTTTCTCTCCAGTATGTATTCTCTGATGTTTGAGATGGTCAGAATTCTGAAGGTCTTATTGCATACATTACGCTTGTGGATTTCCCTCCAGTATGAAGCCTCTGATGTTTACTAAGATCTGAGCTCCAAATGAAAGTCTTGCCACACTGATCACATTCATAGTGTCTGTGAAAATACAGCTTCTATAATGCAGGCTTTCACAGTGAAGGCCCTTCTATGCTCATCACACTTATAAGGGTTCTCCCCAGTGTGGATCTTCTGGAGATAGAGGCTAGTGTTCCCACTGAAGGCTTGCCACAAACTTTGTATTTACAGGGTCTCTCTTCAGTGTGGATCCTTTGCTGTTGAATAAGATTTGATTTCTTAGTGAAGAACTGTCTACATTCATCACTTTTACAACCCCTCTTTCCCATAAGTATTTTGTTCAGTACAGTTTTCATGACTTCTCTATGATCTCTTTTTCCTGGGGTGAAAATGTTCTCTGTCTCACCAACAAAGGATTTTCTTAGTGCCTCTCATACCTGCCCTCAGGGTCACAAATGTTTTCAATTGCAGGATTTAAGGGATCATCACTTTTCCATCTTCCCAGGAACAGTGAGTGAGATGCTACTTCTTCAGTACTTTTTGGAACCCTGAAGTCATGCTTAGCTTTCTAAACCTATACTCAGTCCAGGCATGGTGGCTCATACCTGTAATCCCAGCATTTTGGGAGGCTGAGGTAGGAGGATCACTTGAACCCAGGAGTTTGAGACCAAGCTAGGCAACATCATGAGACCCCATCTCTAAAAAAAAAAAAAAAAAAAAAAAAAAAAGCTGCTCATGGTGGTGTGTACCTGTAGTCCCAGCTACTCAGGAGGCTGAGATGGGAGGATTGCTTGAACCAAGAGGTCAAGGCTGCAGTGATTGTGCTATTGCACTCCAGCCTGTGCAACAGAGCAAGACTCTGTCTCAAAAATAATAAATAAACCTACACTCACCTTCTGAAATAAAACAACAAAAAATTATTTAAATTTCACTGCTAAATAAGAGCAGTAAGTTCTATTTCCCTTTCCTTCAACAGATTTGCAAATTTAGCTGTAAATGAAGGATTTGAACACAAACAAATTCACACTAAACTCTAGTTTCAGTGTTTCCTATCTTGTTGGCTATATGACCTTAGGCAAGTCACATAACTTTGTGCATCTGTATCTTTGCCTACAAAACATGGACAACAGTTGCAACCTCAAAGGGTTATGAAAGCACACAAAACTGTGTCTGACACACTGTAAGCATTATTAAGTGTGAGTTGCTATTGTTACCATTGTTGTCACATCTCAGTATCCCAACATGTTGCTTATCTTAAATTGAAAAGGATTAAGAAATGTTACTTGCTATTTCTACAAATTCTTTCTTGGTTATTAAAATGTCATGTAAGTAGCTTTGTAGCAAGTCTTGTGTATAGTAGTTCCTTGCTATATACCTGGTATAAAGACGAATAAGATGCCCTCTTGAAGGCCACAACCTAGAGATGTCCTTCAGTTACAAGGCAGTGTGGTAAATACTATAAGAGTGAAGCATAAGAGCTTTGGGAGTGCAAAGAAGGAAACATCTAACTGCCTGAGAGAATCAAACAGAAAGTTTTGCAGCGGAATGGTTGATTGGCGTATCTTAAAACATAAATACAAATAGTCAGAAAAAGGGAAGGCAGTAAAAGCTTTCTAGATGGAAAGTATATACATACAAAGTTATTAAGGCACTTTTAAAATGGTACTTTCAGACAGTTGAGAACAGTTTGGTCTAGCTGGAACACAGATTGAATATGAAGGCGAAAGGAGATAAAGCTGAAAATGTAAGCTACATCATGAACAGTCTTGTTGCCAGGATAATGAATTGAACCATTAACAGATGCTAAGAATGTGTGTAGGCCAGGCACGGTGGCTCACGCCTGTAATCCCACCACTTTGGGAGGCTGACGCTGGTGGATCACGAGGTCAGGAGATCTAGACCATCCTGGCTAACACAGTGAAACCCTGTCTCTACTAAAAATACAAAAAATTAGCCGGGCGTGGTGGCAGGCGCCTGTAGTCCCAGCTACTCAGGAGGCTGAGGCAGGAGAATGGCGTGAACCCAGGAGGCGGAGCTTGCAGTGAGCCGAGATCGCCTCACTGCACTCCAGCCTGGTGACAGAGCGAGAATCCGTCTCAAAAAAAAAAAAGAAGGTGTGTGTAATATTAGCTTTCAGTTTTATGCAAGTCACTATAGTGACAGTGTGAAAGATGGTCTTCAAGGAGAAAATGGACAAGACTGGCCGGGCACGGTGGCTCACGCCTGTAATCCCAGCCCTTTGGAGGCCAAGGCAGACAAATCTCTTGCGGTCAGGAGCTCAAGACAGGCCTGGCCAACATTGTGAAAACCCGTCTCTACTAAAAATACAAAAATTAGCCGGGCGTGGTGGCACGGGCCTCCCAGCTACTCGGAAGACTTAGGCAGGAGAATCGTTTGAACCGGGGAGGCAGAGGTTGCAGAAAGCCGAGATCGCGCCACTGCACTCCTGGGATTGATTGATTGATTGATTGATTGATTGATTTAGACAAAAGGTCTCTGTTGCCTAGGCTGGAGTGCACTGGTGTGATCTCGGCTCACAGCAACTTACACCTCCCGGGTTTAAGTGATTCTCCCACCTTCGCCCCCTCGAGTAGCTGGGACTACAGGCACGCACCGCCACACCCAGCTAATTTTTGTATTTTCTGGTAGAGACAGGGTTTCACCATGTTGGCCAGGCTGGTCTCGAACTCCTGAGCTCAAGTGATTCGCCCACCTCAGCCTCCCAAAGTGGTGATCCTGGGTTTTAACCAGAATAGAGGACATACCACTACCCACTTATTGAACATATTCTAAATAAGTTTTCTTATCCTAAAATATTTTATATTCCAATATTGGAATCGCCTGAGTCCAGGGTGGTCAAGGCTGCAGTGAGCTATGATTGTGCTACTGCACTCCAGCCTGAGTGACAGAGTGAGACCCTGTATAAAAAGGAAGGAAGGAAGGAAGGAAGGAAGGAAAAGAAAAAAAATTATAGAAAATAGATTGTCGGTTGCCTGCAGGTTGGGGGAGGCTGAGAGATGGGGAGTGACTGCTAAGGAGTATTTTTTTTTACCTTGAGGTGATAAAAATGTTCTAACACTGATGGTGATAATGTTTGCACAACTCTGAATATTCTAAAAGTGATTGAATTGAATTGAATGGTGTGTAAATTATATCTCAATAAAGCTGGTAAAAATTTAGTGATTCAATAAAATCCTTTATTTGGTCAATGTACGGTATTCTGTCAGTTGAGACAAAAGTTAACATTCGAATTTAGATTTAGATTTTATATCTTCAGCTTCTTCTATCTAGAAAAGGCATTCACTAGTAATTATTAGGATGATTGTGCATTGTTATGTACAGATAACCGCAGTGACTTATCTGATAGTCCTTTAACAGACAGGAGTACTAGTGTAGTTACTTTGTTTTTATGTGACTAGGTAGGTCTTATGTAATGTCTTATTTGTCTGAATGAAAGATTATTGTGTCTTTAGCAGAGGAAAAGAGATAATCTCTCCGCACTGAAGATTATTTTAATGAGTAGTATAAGTAATGATATACACAAAATGGGAAATTATCTTGGCCTTAATGAACCATGTATTCTACATATAGAGTATAGAATACATGGCTTCTGTAAATAAAAGTTTCCAGTATTGGAATATAAAAAAATTTAGGATAAGAAAACTTATTTAGAATACATTCGATAAGTGGGTAGTGGTATGTCCCCTATTCTGCTTAAAACCCAGGATCACCACTTTGGGAGGCTGAGGTGGGCGAATCACTCAAGGTCAGGAGTTCGAGACCAGCCTCGTCAACATGGTGAAACCCTGTCTCTACTAAAAAATATAAAAATTAGCCAGGTGTGGTGGTGCACGCTTGTAGTCCCAGCTACTCGGGAGTCTGAGGCAGGAGAATCCTTTGAACCTGCGAGGCAGTGGTTGCAGTGAGCCAAGACAGCGCCATTGAACTTTAGCCTGGGTGATACAGCAAGACTCTGTCTCAAGAAAGAAAGAGAGAGAGAGAGAGAGAGAAAGAGAGACAGAAGGAAGAAAGGAGAGAAGGAAGGGAGGGAAAGAGAGAGAGAAAGAAGGAAGAAAGGAAGGAAAGAAGGAAGGAAGGAAGGAAAGAAACGCAATTTAATTCAGTTCAACTGCAGTTGAGCATTTGTGGGGGTGGGGGCGGGGTTGGGATGAGGGGTTGGAGACAAGCCCAGGCTGGTCTTGAACTCCTCGCCTCATGTGATCCTCCCTCCTCAGCCTCACCCAAGTGCTGGGATTATAGGTGTAAACCACCGTGCCCAGCAGGACAGTCAAGAAAATTGAAACTGGAAAGTACCTTGGCCTTTTACCCCAAATCTACACAATTTTACACAGTGGCAGTGCTTTTTCCTCTAACGCTATAATAGAATTCTGCAGGAGAATTCTTTCAGGGAGTTCACCTTTTGTTTTATTAGAGAGCTAAGTAACCTTGGGAGGTTGGGCTGACTTTGGAAGCTTCTGGAAATAAATGGGGGTTTAACAGATATTAACTTCATCCCGCCTTACAGATAAATGCCATTTTACTTTGAAAAGCAGTAGGTGGGGGTAGGGGGCGAGAAATAGAAAATTCCATCAGTTTGGTGAAAGCTTTTAGAGGATAACGTACTCTGTTCCATGAAAGAATCAGAAATGTGAGCAATGCAGGGAGAAGTAAGGTAAATCCAGACAAGCAGGATGGATTCCAGATGAGAAACCATATCTTCCATAGTGAATTTTGAAATGAATTTAAAATCTCCTATTATATAATCTGCAGTTTACTTTGTTTTCTTGTTGGAGAAAGTGGTTTTTGGAGTCCAAGTATGCAGAGGGCACCTAGGATTCCAGAGTTAATGGGACTGAAGAGAAAAAAGCGTAACCTGACCCAGATTCTGCTGCTCACCGCTCCAAAGCCAAATGCTAGAGGGGAGGTTTGGTGGGAGGAAAAGCTGCTTTTAATCCGAAAGCCAGCAAACTGAGAAGATGGAACACTAGTGTTCTAAAGTACCACCTTAAAATTTAAATTTTACCATACGGTTTTTGTGTTTTTGTTTTTTTGTTTTTTGTTTTTTCCTGTGACAGAGTCTCACTCTGTTGCCCAGGCTGGAGTGCAGTGGTGCAATCTTGGCTCACTGCAACCTCCACCTCCCGGGTTCAAGTGATTTTCCTGCCTCAGCCTCCTGAGTAGCTGGGATTACAGGCATCTGCCACCACACTCAGCTAATTTTTGTGTTTTTAGTAGAGACAGGGTTTCACCATGTTGGCCAGGCTGGTCTCGAACTCCTGACCTCAAGTGATCCACCTGCCTCGGCCTCCCAAAGTGCTGGGATTACAGGCGTGAGCCACCACTCCGGGCCTACCATAGGGTTTTATTTATTTATTTATTTATTTATTTATTTATTTATTTATTAATTATTTTTTTTGAGACGGAGTCTCACTCTGTTGCCCAGGCTGGAGTGCAGCGGGCAATGTGGGCTCACTGCAAGCTCCGCCTCCCGGGTTTAGGCGATTCTTCTACCTCAGCCTCCCGAGTAGCTGGGACTACAAGCACCCACCACCACACCCGGCTAATTTTTTGTATTTTTTAATATTTTTAGTAGAGACGGGGTTTCACTGTGTTAGCCAAGATGGTCTCAATCTCCTGACCTCGTGATCCGCCCGCCTCGGCCTCCCAAAGTGCTGGGATTACAGGCCTGAGCCACTGCACCCGGCCAGCAATATTTCTTCTGTAAAAGAAAAGAATAAGTGTTCCACATGGAAAGAACCCAAGATATATTAAGTGAAAAATGTCATAGCATGACTACATTTCTGTTAAAAAAAAAAAACAAAATGTTATATATATATGCGAATGCAGAGAAAAAAGAAATGTAAAAAATACAATAAATTTTTCACGGTGATTACATTTGCGAGAGGAACGTACAGCTTTCATATTTCATTCAATGGTTAAAATGGTACTCAATTTTGACTGACAAAACGGTAATGATCAGATGCCAAAACGAGTGTGAATGTGCATAATTTACGAAAGACATTTTTGAGAACTGGTTACATGAGTTTTGAAAATAGGAGAGCAGAGGACCTGTGTAAGATTTTTAAAGAGACTGCACTGTCACGAGCCACAGCGTTGTGAGATTGGTAGGAAAGTGCTCCAGGAAATATCTAGGGGAGGGCTTGGATCTGAGACACAGAGTGTGAGCCTGGTCGAGAAGCGGGAAAAGAACCCGCCCAGAGCCCCTTCTCTCCATTCCCTCGGCGAGGCAGGAAGCTATCTGCGTTCCGAATCCCGCGACATCAGGATTATCTCGCACTGCAGCACAGAGACCAATCGCTAGTAACCTCTGCCTTTAATTAGGCGTTTTTTGGCCCAAATCTCGCGGCTTCGTAAAAATATCGCGATGCTTCCGCTTTTAATGTTTTTAGTTTGGACAAGCCCTTTGAGATAAATTTAAAAGCCAATTCTTTTTTTTTTTTTTTTTTTTTGAGACGGAGTGTCGCTCTGTCCCCAGGCTGGAGTGCAGTGGCGCGATCTTGGCTCACTGCACGCTCCGCCTCCCGGGTTCACGCCATTCTCCTGCCTCATTCCCGAGTAGCTGGGACTACAGGCGCCCGCCACCACGCCCAGCTATTTTTTTTGTATTTTTAGTAGA
This sequence comes from Homo sapiens, assembly GCF_000001405.40. Classification (NCBI taxonomy): domain Eukaryota; kingdom Metazoa; phylum Chordata; class Mammalia; order Primates; family Hominidae; genus Homo; species Homo sapiens. Next base: position 161,594 of record NT_167248.2, read on the forward strand.
GACGAGGTTTCACCGTGTTAGCCAGAATGGTCTCGATCTCCTGACCTCGTGATCCACCCGTCTCGGCCTCCCAAAGTGCTAGGATTACAGGCGTGAGCCACCGCGCCCGGTACCTAAAAGCCGATTCTTAAAAATATACGTTGGTAATTGTTTATGCCTACTGCTGAGATCAGGATATCTCTAAAGTAAGGAGAGGAAAAAGAAAAGTATGTGTCAGAAGTGGGATTCGAACCCACGCCTCCATTGGAGACCAGAATCCCCACCGCGGAGGAAGCTTAGCTTGAGTCTGGCGCCTTAGACCACTCGGCCATCCTGACACACTGCATAACAGCCCTGATTTTTGCACTAAAATAGAGATCAACAAGCAATGATTCTGTGTCGTGCACGCACGCAGAAACGCGATGACGTCAGGGTTGCTTGGTAACAGAAGGGCAGAAAGCCACTTGTGGATTGAAAAAGCAAAAGGGTTCGCAGGACTAGAAAATGTTTCTGCATAAAACTGGATCAAGTCTCTTACGGGCCTTATAACTGTTATCGCCATCTCGAAAAACGTGTGCGGGTTTTTTTTTTTTTTTTTTTTGCTCCCAGCCTGCCCAGATTTCAGGAAGGAAAGAAGATCTTTTGCTTCTTCGGTCGCTGGGTCGGCTCTCCAGTGTCTGATGTTTACTGAAATCTTGATCGTGGTTAGCCTCCCCCAGGACTTCATTGTTTGGAAGATGGTGAGGAACAAAACAAAACCCTAACAAAAGACCCCGGTTCTATAGGAAGGTCCCCTTTTAGCCCCTCTATTTTGGTTCCATTTGTCACTGCCTTGCCACTCGTCGAAGTTTGTCTTGGGCTCTAAAAGTGGTAGCCGGGAACGGCTGGGAAGGTCTCCACAGGGACCACCACATGGGCAAGGCTGGTGTCCGCGCCGAGGGATCGGCGATCCCAGGTCCGGGGAAACTCCGCGAGCGACGCGCTCGCCCGCGGCCTTCCTTGTCGCTCTCGGATGTTCCCGATTAATGGGCTCCAAGTGACCACTGCCAGGTCGGGGAACACAGCGGTAGTTTTTAAGGGGAGTGCACCACATCGCCTGATCCACTTTTCTGTTTCTCAGCCTTCGCCAAGCAATCTGAGCTCCAGGCCGGGAAGCCCCAAGGTCACAAATTTTAATGGAGCCCTGAAACTAAACAGAAATCATCCCTCCCACTAGAACAAGAGCCCCTAGAGGCCAGCGACACCGCTAAAATAACATGTGTAGACCAATGCCGTCCAGGTAACAGTGCCTGGCAAACACGGTAGAGGTTCAATAAATACATTTTAACTCAACCGTCTTAACTCTTGTATTTGGGGCTGTGAGGTTCAGATAGAGGAAATATAAAGTTGGATATTTTAATTAGATTTTGTCCTAATAGCTTACTTTTTGTATTTGTTAATATAAAAAAAATTTCCTTTTTGTAAGGCAAAGTTAGGTCTCTTTTCTGCATGGAGAAATAACTGAGTTTCAGTAGGCTCTATCTTAATTTCCACAGACTTCCTTGGTTTCATATCCTATTTTTGATAGAGAGAAAATTAGTAGTGAGAAGTACAGTGAACACTGGTTCCCCAGTCTCCCTCCAATACATGAGATTTGTATATTTTCTTTCGATTGGAAGGAAATTGTCCAGGAAGTGATTCCCAACATGGCAACTGTAATCTTACCCTAACTATAATTATTTTTTTCTAATTGCAAAGTACACACAAATTGTAGAACATACAAACATGTCAAAAATTAAAATCATCCATAATCTCACTAGTCAGAGGTAACTATTAACATTTTTATATATTTAGTCTTTCATATGGTATACATTTTCCAAAAATGGTCATGTGTAGTAAATAATTTGCTAACTTGCTTTCTAAATGAATATATTATGAATATATACTTGCTAAGTACTATATTTTGCATAAATCTTAATTCCTGCACATATTCCATATCAAAGTGGTATTCTTGAAAACTGGATTATTTCTAATTTTTTATTTTCATCAGCAATGCTGTAAAAACTATCCTTACATAAATATTTTCAAACATCCACGATTATTTCCTTAAATTTCTAAAAGTGAAACCATTACATCAAATTTTTTTTTTTTTTTTTTTTTTTTGAGACGGAGTCTCGCTCTGTCACCCAGGGTGGAGTGCAGTAGCACGACTTGGCTCACTGCAACTTCCACCTCTCGGGTTCACACCATTCTCTTGCCTCAGCCTCCCGAGTAGCTGGGACTATAGGCGCCCGTCACGACGCCCGGCTAATTTTTGTATTTTTAGTAGAGACGGGGTTTCACTATGTTGGTCAGGCTGGTCTCGAACTCCTGACCTCTTGATCCGCCCGCCTCAGCCTCCCAAAGTGCTGGGATTACAGGCGTGAGCCACCGCGCCCGGCCTACATCAATGTTTATCCAGTTTTTGTTTGTTTGTTTTGACGGAGTTTTGCTCTGTTGCCCAGGCTGGAGTGCAGTGGCATGATCTTAGCTCACAGCAACCTATCTCCCAGGTTCAAGTGATTCTCGTCTCAGCCTCCCGAGTAGCTGGAACTACACGCATGAGCCATCACACTCAGCTAATTTTTTTTTGTATTTTTAGTAGAAACAGGGTTTCACCATGTTGGTCAGGCTGGTCTCAAACTCCTGACCTCAAATGATGTGCCCGCCTCGGCCTCCCAAAGTGCTGGGATTACAGGCGTGACCCACCGCTCCTGGCACATTTTAATAGGTAACAAATGATATAGCGCCCCCCCTTTTTTTTCTGATTTGATTATTAGTGAGGTCCAATATTCATGTTTAAAGGATTTTTATACTCCTTCCTCAGTAAATTGCTTACCAAATTTTTATGAGGTGTCCATCTTTCCTTATTGATTTGTAAGACTTATTTTATGAAAAGTAAACTCTTGGGATACAGTTTCTATTTACCAAGAACCCAAGCAGAAATTCCTATCTCTTATTAACAAGAATCCCATTATGTCCCTTAAACATTTAGTTACTTCCATCTTACAGAAACTAGAAGCTATACAATTAACAATGTTCCCATGTCAATTTTTAAAACCCAACTGTGGCCCACATTTAGTGTCCTCGTAGTTTTCATACTATAGATTCACTTCTAATCCTGGTCATTTTTTGTGCCATCTTTTTTTTTAATGAGACGGAGTCTCGCACTGTCACCCGGGTTGGTGTGCAGTGGCGCAATCTCGGCTTGCTTCAAGCTCTGCCTCCCAGGTTCAAGCAATTTTCCTGCCTCAGCCTCCCAAGTAGCTGGGACTACAGGCTCGTGCCACCATGCCCAGTTAATTTTTGTATTTTTAGTAGAAATGGGGTTTTTCACTATGTTGGCCAGGCTGGTCTTGAACTCCTGACCTCGTAATCTGCGTGCCTGGGCCTCCCAAGGTGCTGGGATTACAGGCGTGAGCCACCGCGCCCGGCTGTGCCGTATTTTTTCTTTCTTCCTTTATGGCATGTTAAACTCCTGATGTCTTGATTTTATGGGTTTGTTTTGGTTTTTTTTGAGATGGAGTCTTGCTCTGCTGCCCAGGCTGGAGTGCAGTGGTGCAATCTTGGCTCACTGCAACCTCCGCCTCCTGGGTTCCAGCAATTCTCCTGTCTCAGCCTCCCGAGTCGGGATTACAGAAATGCACCACCACACCTGGCTAATTTTTGTATTTTTAGTAGAGATGGGGTTTCACCATGTTGGCCAGGCTGGTCTTGAACTCCTGACCTCAGGTGATCCGCCCGCCTCAGCCTTCCAAAGTGCTGGTGTGAGCCACCGAGCCCAGACATGATTTTATGTTTTAAATGGCTTTAAGTCCTTTTTGGAATAAGGTAAAATATAATTAAATATGTCAATATTTTAACTATTTACTAATAATATTTATTGCACAATAAGACTCCCCACAGGCCATTCTACATTTTTATGAAAACATCTGTAAGAGGAATTTTAAAAGGCCTGACAAATTATTTAAAGAGGGAAGCAGAGGGACTAAAAAGGAAAGAAGCTAACAATGGCGGTCTATGAAAATGAAATAAACAAAACAAAAAAACAGGATTTAATTTCCAACCTTGAAATGAGTCCCTTGACTGTTTTGTTTGAGGTTCATATAACTTGGTTTTCTGGTATGTCCAGGATTACGTGAGAGTAACAGAGATTGGGGTGGAAATTGAGATGATGCTGTATTCAAATGAGACTGACCATAAATTGGTAGTTGAAGTTGGGAGATGATATAGGAGGGTTCGCTGTGTATTTTCTTCATTTTTGTATATGGTTACAGGTTTCCATAGTGAAGAGTTCATTCAATACAGAAAAAAAAAAAATCACCAAGTCTCATCAAAAGCATCTATGCTAATATTTTGGCATATTTCTTCCCAGTTTTTAAAGAAATATGTAGGTTCAAATCTTTCTAATTCTCACTTTTTTCTATTATTCTTTTTGTGCATCAGAACCCTAAAATGGGTTTGGCAATCACATCCCATACAAATCCAAGTTCTTCACATCCTCTAAACAAAGAATCTGGTAGAGATGTGTGTATCTCTAAAGGTTACCTTCAAATGTCCTGCTTACATTTCAAACTTCAAATGCAAAATTAATTCAACAGATAAGCCAGATCTAAGAAATGTATCTTTTCTCCAACGGGAAAAAGGAAATGTAATGGGGCAATACTGTCAAATGGAAGTACTATTTGGCCTGGCATGGTGGCCCATGCCTGTAATCCCAACACTTTGGGAGGTTGAGGAGGAAGAATCCCTTGAGCCCAGGAGTTCGAGCCTGCAGTGAGTAATAATCTTGCCACTGCATTCCAGCCTTGGTGACAAAGTGAGACCCTTTCTCTAACGCTGGTTTGGTTGGGATTTATTATTACTCTCACAGACTTCATATAGGAGGAATTTCTGGTTTCAACAAAGTGCAGGATTTAGTAATGTGCTTATATCATTAAGTCAAAATTTAGTGCAGGACGGAGCTAGTGGGCAAGTCTCTTAGTCTCAAGAAAAAGGGCACTAAGAAACATAGCCCAGGCATTTAGGCTTCCTCTTACATTACTGTGGTCTGCAATGAGGTCTCCTGGAGCACAAGTTTCACTTCTCCCCAGATCATCTTTAGTTGTACTCTACATTTTTTCACGTTATTTTCCCCCTCTCCTAATTAACTTTTCAAAGGATAGAAGCCATGCTCTCTTGTATTCTCTTCAGGAGCAAGTTCAGCTGGGGCACCCAACACTGGCTGAATTGTCTATTTGAATAAAAGAATGTTTTTCATTTGTGAAGAAGCAACTCAACCACCATTGGTATGCTAAGAACCTTTTGAGTTTTGTTTTTTATTTTGCTGGGAGGAGATACGTGATTTCCACGTATACTCTTTGGTCTGCATCTCAGGTAACTAAAGGAATTAGCAAATGGCTCTCATTTACCATCTGACAGTTATTTGCTCTTAATTTCATAGTGCCTTTAAGTGTTAGGCTGTTACATGCATTCTCTCATCTTCTCACTTAATTGTACATGGTGGAGGGTATGGGCCATGTTCAGTTTCCCTTTATTCTTTGAACCTATCTCTTCTAGGCCTTGTCTGCTCTTGGGGAAGATGGTCTTCTTTGCATGTTGGCCTTTATCAGAAAAAACAAGAGCACCTGAAGACACACAGGCATGTGCACATACGTGCATGCACAAACACACACTTCCTGGAACAGCAAAAGAATTAAGGAAGAAGTTATTGAAACCGTAATGTATAATTAACAATTGCAGATGTTCTGAGGAAAGAGAGGGGAGTCAAAGGAATCGGAGTGGGCCCCATATGTCTTTAGTGACTCAATTCCTGACTCGGTGAACTCAAAAGTTGCTTACCTTTCTGCAGATGAGTAAACTTAGAATCACAAGTTCATTTAATCCCATTCAAAATGGCAGGCTTTTAAAACTAAAAATATAAATAAATACCTATAAACACACCACCCACAAGAACTAGAAGATAACCAATAACACATGTTGTGGGGCAGGACCTGATGTGGTCATGTGTTCCATCTCAGTTTGAATCCTGGCTCTGCTGCTTCCTAGCTGTGTACCTTGGATAAGTCATTTACCCTCTCTGCTGCAGTTTATCTGTAAAGTAAGACAACAGTACACACTTGATAAAATTATCATGAGCATTAAGGAAGCTACTGTGCATAAAACTCTTCATATGATGTGCCAAGCACTGCTCTATGTTTGTTAGTAGTATTTATGTGCCTGTATATATATTACCGTATACATTTAGATCTCAGAATATTCAGCAAAAGCTAATCTAGCCTCATGGAAGCTACTTTCTATAGCCCTGGTTCTATTATTTCCCTTAAAACCTGATGAATAAATGAAGAATTAGGACATGATATCACCAACTCATGAACCTCAGCCATGGAACCCCAATGCCTGGCACAATACTACAAAAAGGACTTGAGAAAATACTTTCCTAGTAAAATTACAGGATTAACCAATATAAGAACTGTAGGCAGGCCGGGCGCGGTTGCTCACGCCTGTAATCCCAGCACTTTAGGAGGCCAAGGCAGGTGGATCACAAGGGTCAGGAGTTCAAGACCACCCTGGCCAAGATGGTGAAACCCCGTCTCTACTAAAAATAAAAAATTAGCCGGGCGCGGTGGTAGGCGCCTGTAGTCCCAGCTACTCAGGAGGCTGAGGCAGGAAAATCGCTTGAACCTGGGAGGCAGAGGTTGCAGTGAGCCGAGATCGTGCCACTGCACTCTAGACTGGGCGACAGAGCAAGACTCCACCTCAAAAAAAAAAGAACTGTAGGCTATGAATGTCCAACACTACTTTCTTAGCACCACTAGAAAGTAGTGACATGGCACTGAGAAAGTGGTTTTATTTTCCAGTTTGAAGTAAACTATTGGCCAGAGTGGGATTTTTGCACCCATATGGGAAAGCAACACCATTAACCATTTCCTCCCCACACGCATTCCAACATCTGAACCCAATCCTACCAACACCCAGAAAGCAACAACAATGTAAACATCCATATTCAGTTTATTTTTAAACAGAGGGGCACGTACCCACAGAGAAGCAGGACTGAGAACCATCATGGGGGCTTGCTTGAAGTGATCTGCCCCAGCCTTCTGACTTCAGAGTGTCTCATGATCCAATGGCCATGGGGACGGAGCTGCCCCTTGATAGGATGCACTTAAGCATGGTCAATTCCCCCTTCCCCCAAAGGAAATGGAGAAAAGGAGCCAAGAAGTCAATGAATCCCTGGAATATTGTCCCAGAATCCTTCCAGGGATGGTATACGACTGGCCACCAGTCCACAAATGTGACTGGTAAGGGATCTAGTAACAGAGGATGGAGTTGGGCAGAATATTATCCTGGATGATATGCACCCAGCACTAGAATACACCTTTCATTAGAATGAAGAGAACAGACAAAGCCCTCAGAAAAGATACAAAGGCAGAGACATTGATTAGAACATTATCTCATAACAGAGGTGGGGCCATTACCCACCATTATTGTAAAATAACTGTAACTAACCAAAACACATACAGGCTTCTTTAATGGAGTTAATAAAACTATGGCACATTGGGAATCAGGGGCAGAGGTACTGTTCCCAGACGGAAAACTGGGATAAAGGGAGCCATGCTGACAGGGCCTTATTCCAGTCTAGGTTGTTAGAAAGGAGCCCTAGCCCAGAAATGACAGCAAATAGCCATAATCATTATGTGGGGCTGAACCAGAGGAAGCCAGGCTGAGCCAAGAAGCTGGAAGTATCTTGAACGGCTCTCCAAATCCAAAGATTATCCATACTCTTTATCCCTCCAGCGATGTGTAAAACCAGAAAGTATGAAACACTGGAGGTGGACATCTGGTTTTTATTTCTAGGATATCTTGATACATCTCATTACATTTCACAATCTGCATGGGAAGGAAAAGGATGGTAGAGAACATGGACATCCTGTCTCCCACTGCAAGGGCGTGGAACATGGTAAGGATACCCAGCTGTGACAGGACGTGGCAAGGCAACAAGATGCCTTGTGCCTGGCGTAGGATTACAGCCAACAGCCCTTTTGGCCTGAATTCACCTCCTCAAGGGGAGGTCTCCATGGAATGACCATGATTCCCAACATGGCCAGAAAACCCATCTATCCCACTCATGGGGCAGATGATCAGAGGAGCTGCACTTTTCCCTCCCGAGTAACTCAGACTGAAGTAGGGCCGGACAGGCCCACAAAAGGTAGCATGAGAGAAAGTGAAGGTGTGACACCTCTCTGTCACGTTGTAGAAGGAGACCTCACCAGCATCATAGTCCAAGAAAATCCCCACCCGCTGGAGCGGGGTCCGCAGGGGTAGGGCAGTCATTGGGGAGGTAAGAGCCCAATATTCTTTCCCATACCACAAAGACACTGCCCAGAATCCATTCTGGGGGGCTGAGGTTACTCCACCTTTTCTGCACACTGAGTCTTCACAGACACCTATGGTCCACTTGGCTTTATCTCCCACCTCTACCTCCCAATAATGTCTCCCGGCGATGAAGCATGGAGAGCCCAAGACACAGGGAAACAGATTGAACCTCTCGGGGTTGTCAGGCAGGTCCTGTTGGAGGTAACTGTACCGCACTTGCCGCAGATTATCAGAGAGGATCAGGCTGGGGTAGGCCGTGTCTGGGTCCAGAGTCACGTCCACTGTAGAGACACAAGGAAGACAGTCAGCCGTGGGCCAGGAGAGCCTATTTTAGAACACCCAGCGCCTTTCTACTACCTCCCCAATAATAAGAGGTTCCCACTGGAGGTTGCACGTATTTTATTTAGAATATATTCTAAACTTCACATTTCAAAAATTACTGCTTGGATTAGCTGGTTACCAGAATACTCTGAAAATACAGAATTTTAGCCCCGTATCTTTTCTTTCACATCTGAAGCCACAATATCCATCATGAACTGATTTTAAGAGATAGGGTCTTGCTCTGTTGCCTAGGCTGGAGCGCAGTGGTGTGGTCATAGTTCATTGTAACCCCAAACTCCTGGGCTCAGGTGATTCTCCCGCCTAAGACACCCAAGTAGCTGGGACCATAGGTGTGCACTACCACCCTAATTTTAAAAAATTTTTTGTAGAGATGAGGTCTTACTATGTTGCTCAGGATGGTCTCGAACTCTTGGCCTCAAGCAATCCTCCCACCTCAACTTCCCAAAGCAATGGGATTTCAGGCATGAGCCACTGTGCCTGGCAGATACGCTGAATTGAGGTTTTCTTACACGCTCATCATCCCTTATTCTGAAAATTCCAGGGGCCCCAAGTTTCATAGAATTCAGAATATTACAGGTTTTAGACAGGCAGCATTCTATAATGAAGTATTAATAGATCTGCTGTGAGATTCATGAATGTTTACATAATGAAGGATAAAGGCTCTAAACAGTACCACATAAATTCAGGTTTTGATGCTATAATTAATTTCCCACAAAATAATGAAAAAGGTTTTGGCTTTCAGAGATTTGGGATTTTAGAACTGTGGGTAAGGGACTGGGAACCTGTATCAGTATGCTTACTTTTTAAATCACTCTTTTAAAATTATTTTTTACTTTTTTTTATTTTTTGAGATGAGGTCTCACTCTGTCACCCAGACTGTAGTACAGTGGCATAATCATGGCTCACTGCAGACTTCCCATTTCAGCCTTCCAAAGTGTTAGGACTACAGGTGTGAGCCACTACACCCAGCCCAAATCACTCTTTTATCCATTCTATAAGATCTTTACTCTGCACATCGAAGCTCTATTCATCTTCTTCTAATGTCCAGTCCAAAACACACATCCTCCAAGTTTTTCTTAATCTGCCCAGGCCATTACACTTACTGTTCTGAAATCTAAAACTGTGTATGACCCATGTCATCTCCTCTGGCATTTAGTATTACAGCATCTTGCTATCATCAAGTGTTTTCCTGCTTCAAAAACACTGATAATGGGCTGGATATGTGGCTCATGCCTGTAATCTCAGCACTTTGGGAAGCTGAGGCAAGAGGATTGCTTGCATACAGGAGTTTGAGACCCTGTCTCTACAAAAAATAAAAGTAAAAAAATTAGGCAAGCATGGTGGTGCATGCCTGTAATTCCAGCTACTCAGGAGGCTGAGGCAGGAGGATCACTTGAGCCCAGGAGTATGAGGCTGCAGCAAGCTATCACCATGCCACTGCACACCAGCCTGGGCAACAGAGAACCTGCCTCTAAAATGAATAATAAAAAATTTAAAAAATTAAAATAATAAATAAATAAATAAAAATACTGATATGTATTCTCTCATTTGCTCCTCACATCTTGTTCAGGAGGAAGAGTCCCAAACATTACCTCTCAGAAATTTAAGCCCACAAATTTTTACTCCCACAAAAGACAGGCAACTGATAGAGGTAACCAAGAACCCCAGAACCCTTGGCTCCTGGTTCAACAATCTGTCTACAACAGCTGCCTACCTTCTTCTTGTGTCATGGGTATACCTCCAACCAGACAATGTAAACCCCAAGAGTAGGATGACTTATGCTCTTCTGTTCCTCTAAAATACCCTGCACAATGTTAGGCAGTGTAGGATACAAGCAAAGTACTCATTTAATACTTGTTGAAAATAAATATGGATCAGAGCCACTGCACACCAAGGACTGCAGATCCACTGTATGTAGAGTCCTTCTCTTCATTTAGAGGATAATTCATAACAGAAGGTGACTGTGACTATGGGACGAATACACCTTAGATTTGAATACTTCTGCAATGTTAAATTTACCCAGGCTCTATAGTAGGGTGAAAGCGGTTGTGAGGGGGAAGGGAAGTTTCAAACTTTGCTCTGAGGCACAGTGATGGGATGACACAAGACTCCTAGACTTCCTCTAGCACTCAAGAGCACTATTGTGGAGCTCAATCAGTCCTGCTTGTCACAAACCATGGTTTGACCCTGAAGCTGGGCGGGCAGAGCAGTGTACTAGTGTACCAGCTCTGTTCTACTTTTGGGGAACTGCGGTTTCCACCCTATAATCCTTCTTTAACACCTGAGATTGATTTTACCCTATGGCTTCAGCTCTGAGACATTTCAGGAGGCAAAGATACTGTTAACACATAGAAACAACTGAGGATTTTTGTGGTTGTTGTGTATCATCTTTATACATGTAACCAAAAGAATCCAAATCTAAGCAATTTCCAAATCATTCATAATAGTAGTTAGGTTCACAAGGATTTTTACTCCTTACCCTAATATGGTTTTGTCTCTCATCACCTACCTGAGTATAACTGAGCCTCTCTTAATTCTGAAAGAATAAAAGAGCAAAGTTATGGAAGTCATGAGGGTTTCCAGGAAATACATAACTAAGGGGGCTTTGGTTAGTCATCATAAAGCAGTGGTCTCCACCAGAAACCCCAGAACCTCTGTTGTTAGTCATGCACTAATTTTTTCATATGATGTATGGCTCTATCATCCAACCAAAAGCTTTAAGGGGAGAGGGATTGGGAATCTTAAGTACAGGGATAACCACATGCCTGAGACTGGTAGAATATGGGATAAAACTGAGCCAAGATCAAGAATTCCACCTTCCAGTGAGTCAGCTGATTCTGCAGAGGGAAACGCGGTTCCAACCCCACGTCATACATAACTTTTGAGTTGCATAAGTCATCTGTGTACAAGAGCTGAATGGCTCAAGTGACACTCACTGACACTCTGGGGTAAACATGACCATTCATTTATAAGGCACTTTATAGTTGAAACAGAATTTCTCACACATTATCCCACTAAGACTTTTAAGTGGCAAGAAAAGAAGAGCCAGATCAAGGAAAGTCATGCCTGAACTAACCACTTCTGGTATTATCCACTGTATTGAGTGGAGTTTCTCCCCATTTGTCTTGCTTGTAGAGGACATGTATCTGCTAGCTCTATGTTGCTAGATGCCCCAAAAAGTATATATCTGAATAGATGCAATGCATATATGAACCCAGCATATACAAAATAGAAAATTATCAAAGATTGTGGGGGTTTGTAATTTCTAATAATTAAGAGAAGGGTTTACCTACATATAAGGATTTCAGAATCCACCAGACTGCCCAGGAATTTTAGTATTCCTGGGTGGAATAATATATGGCCAACTCTTTACTGAATGTGGCTCGTGAGCAGAAAAATTTTAATTTGGAAAAGCTTCTCCAAATGCCTAGAACGATTTAATAAACATAAATATAGGACTTATTATGTGTCAGGTTCTATTCTAGAAGTGTTAGAAATGGTAACTAACCTTAATTCTTATACCTCAGGAGGTAAGAACTATTACTGTTCTGTTACAGATGAGGAAATTACTTGTTGAATCCTTACTAAGTGGTAGAGGCAGGCCCAGAACCCAGGCAGCCTGACTCCTGACTGCCCGCTCCTAACCATGTCCCTGGCGGTGCTGCCTGTCAGTGCTGCTGGATTCCTCCAGCCCGAGCTGGCACCTGTGCCCACAAGCAGTAGGAACTCAGTAAATTACAATGATAAACACTGGCTCAAGTGAAACGTATCCAAGGTAGTTTTTGTTCATTCTTTCCGAAGTAAACAATCAAATTAATTCTGGATTGATTAATTTTTGGATTGCTTATTTTTCTCCTCCATCAATGCAGACTGCGAATTGACTAAATACAGTTAACAAACTTCAAATTAGAACAAGAAGCTGTTAATTGAGAAAATTAATTAAGACCAAAGGGAAGATGTAAAATATCAGGGAAGGCTGGCCAATGGGTATCACCCTTATCCCACGTTTCCCACTTTCAGTGCAGATGTTCTTTTTTCCAAGCAACTTTACATCAAAAGCCCAGTAGGTAGATAAATTTACCTTGGATTTTCTCCATATCTGACTGCATTTTTTCTAAGAAAAGAAAACAAGAAAATATTCAGTCTGCATCCCACTATCTGGCTGGAAAATTATCCTCTTCATCAGGCAATATGCAGATACTCAGTATAAATCCATTTCCCCTCATGACACCTCTCCTCACATTACCTGTGAACTGCTTTAGACTCTCCGTCAAGAATAGACATTTTTGGGCAAAAATGTGGATTTTCTCTTGCAAATCTGGAGGTGTGATCCAAGGTTCAGGAATCCTGATTCTTTCAGCCCTAAATTTAAAAAACATGAGTAAATTTTTTTTTTTTTTGAGATGGAGTTTCGCTTGTTGCCCAGGCTGGAGTGCAATGGCGCCATCTCGGCCCACCGCAACCTCTGCCTCCCAGGTTCAAGCGATTCTCCTGCCTCAGCCTCCTGAGTAGCTGGGATTACAGGCATGCGCCACCATACCCAGCTAATTTTGTGTTTTTAGTAGAGATGGGGTTTCTCCATACTGGTCAGGCTGGTCTCGAACTCCTGACCTCAGGTGATCCTCCCGCCTCGGCCTCCCAAAGTGCTGGGATTACAGGCGTGAGCCACCACGTCCGGCCCAAGTAAATTCTTTTTCCCAATTCCATGACCTTCCAGGAACTAGGACAGGGGCTAAGTTAAACTGTCTAGCGTACACGGACAGTCTTTAAAATCAGCCACTACAGCTTTTCCCACCTTCTCTTCCTGAGCTATGATCCTCTAGACCAAAATAGGATACTGTACTCATTCTCATACCCCCCAAAGCACCTAGCTCACAGCTTTTCAAATACTAAGTACTCAAAAAGGTTTACTGAATTACATATGAGGCTGACTTTGCCAGAAAGCACTAGATTCCATGACAGTCCTTGATATTTATGGTGGGCAATTAACCCGAATTCTCAGGTTCCCAAATATGGAAAGAATGACATGTTCAGATAGAAAGGCACTGTGGGGGACATTACCCAATTCCCTAGCCCTGCAAGGATGTCTATAGCAAAGACTGCCAGTTGCCTATCCAATACCCCTTCTGCCATCTTCTGCCTTTTATGGCTCACAGCTGCCCAGTCCCTCATAGCTAGATGTGACCTTGTGACTAAGTTCTGGCCTATGAGAAGTAAGACGTATCTCATGGTGTTTTGAGAAATCTACTTAAAAATGTAACATGACAGGAAACAGTGGCTCATGCCTGCAATCCCAACACTTTTGGAGGCCAAGGTGGGATAATTACTTTGAGGCTAGGAGTTCAAGACCAGCCTGGGCAACATGGTAAGACCCTGCCTCTACAAAAAAGAAAAATGAAAAAAAAAAAAAAAAAAAAACGAAGAAAAAAAGGTAATGTGATGCGACTTATCTCCTTCTTCTTGGTTGGCATTCTACCAGCTATTGTGGACTATATGAGGACCATACCTTAGGGATGGTAGAACAGTGAATGGGAAGAAACCTGAGTCTCTGAGGATCACTGGAGTTACCACACTAGCCACAGACTACCTACCTGCACATTTCTTACTTTTTTTTTTCTTTTGAGAGGGAGTCAGGCTCTGTCGCCCAGGCTAGAGTGCAGTGGCATGATCTCAGCTCACTGCAACCTCCGCCACAAGAGTTTGAGCAATTGTCCTGCCTCAACCTCCCAAGTAGCTGGGATTACAGGCATGCACCACCACGCCCAGCTAATTTTTGTATTTTTAGTAGAAATGGGGTTTCACCATGTTGGTCAGGCTGGTCTCGAACTCCTGACCTCAGGTGATCCACCTGACTTGGCCTCCCAAAATGCTGGGATTACAGGTGTGAGCCACCGCACCCAACCTGCACATTTCTTTTATTATGTTTAAGCCTTAAGCCAATAAAATTTTGGGTTTCCTATCTTATATAGCCAAATTCAATCCTTAATGTCACAAACTGCTAGGGTCTGAGGCAGCTAACTCTGTATGTTAGGTCACAGCTAGACTGGCATCATAAAGTATCAGGTAACAGTATTATTTGCTTAGGTCATCTGGCTGGGACTGGTATGAACTCCACCTTATCTCCATCCTAGGATCCCTCAGGAACCTCAATTCCATCAACATGATTCTATCAACACAGGCCTCCCAGCCAAACTGCCCCATCTATAAGGACCTCCCCAATCTCCTTAAATGCTCCCACATAGTCAAGCTGCATTTTGCTTTAGAAGGTTTTCACCATTCAGGATCTTAATCACCTTCACAGTACAGCTTCCTCAAAGTCAGTTTCCACCCCTGAAGGCATTCTTACACCAAACATGAGCTTCCCAAGGCCCATCCCACTTGCCTCGTCATCCATCCTGCAAAACAACTTTGCCCTGGCTTACTGCCCCCTCCAAGCTCTCCCTCTTTGATCGTGTTCCAGCTGCCAGGGAGTTCTTCCTCACTTTTTTTTTTTTGATGGAACATAGAGAAATAGCAAGAGTAAGAATAAGAGCCAGAATCCAGGTGGCTCATCAGTAATTATGTAAATGCAGGCCAGTCACACCTTTCTTAGGCTTTATTTCCCCCATTACAGAAAAAAAAAAATGAGATAATGAAGGGGGAAAGGATTCTGAAATGTATAGGAAGCAATAGACATAAACTACCCTTATATTCAGCCCAGGTCCCTGTAAGGCCACACCCTCTCCATGGAAGTGTCCTCATACCCCTAATCCACCGGCAGCCTCCCACATGAACCCCCTACTTCCTGAATTTTACTGAGTAGAGCTGTGGTTCATCTAATTCTTTGTATACTAGTGACTCTCTTCAGGGATATGTGTCAATTTGATAAGATGTCCATCCTCAGGCTCAGGGCTCCTTTCAGGATTTACAAATGTGAAGGAGACAGTCTTCTCATATTTGATTTAACACTAGGGAAACAGAAAACTATACCTGCTCAATGTGTCCCCAATGTCCTGCAAGAGAAAGGAAAAAAAATAACCATGAGAAGTCATTTAAAACTTCGGTTTTCTTTCACAGATGTTTGTTGAAAAACCAACTACAGACTGGCTCTCATGGGAGAAATTAGGGAGAAAAGGATCACTGGAACATAACTCAGTGTTGAGGAGCTAAAAGGCAGGCAGAGGAAAATGGGATGCATACTATTTGCTATACCAGCATTTCCCATACCCTCCTTCAGTACCCACCATCCACTGGTCAAGGACCTCAGGATTTCAAATTTACTAACTTAAGCGTCCTATGATTGGACCTCAAGCTTGCCTACCTGTCCAGCTTGCTTTCTTTTTATTATGAAATAATTTCAAATACACGGAAAAGCTGTTAGTACAAAGAACTCCAGTATACTTTTTTTTTTTTTTTTTTTGAGACGGAGTCTCGCTCTGTGTAGCCCAGGCTGGAGTGCAATGGCGCGATCTTGGCTCACTGCAACCTCTGCCACCCGGGTTCGAGCAATTCTCCTGCCTCAGCCTCCTGAGTAGCTGGGACTACGGGTGTCTGCCATCACGCCCAGCTAATTTTTGTGTTTTTAGCACAGACAGCATTTTGCCATGTTGGCCAGGATGGTCTTGAACTCCTGACCTCAGGTGATCCACCCACCTCGGCCTCTCAAAGTGCTGGGATTACAAGTGTGAGCCAGCGGTGGCCTCTCCCTTCTTTCATACACAAAAAGTAGCATACTCTTGTCAGGCGCGGTGGCTCACGCCTGGGCAACAAGAGTGAAACTCTGTCTCAGGAAAAAAAAAAAAAGTAGCATACTCTCTATTTCACATTTTTATTTTCCACAAAGCAATATATACTGAAAACCACTCCGTATCAGTTCATAGGTATCATTCTTTTCCTTTTTTTAACTTGGATAGTATTCCATAGTGTATATGTGCATAATTAACTAAAACAATCTTGTAGGTTTCTAAGTCAGACTATTTCCAGTATTTTGCAATTATAAAAATGTTGCAGCAGGTTATCTTGTGCATATGTATTTTCAAATATATTTTAATAGTTATATCTTCAAAGTAAATTCTTAGATTTTTAAAATTTTTTATTGATACGTAACAGACATATATATTTTGGGGGTGCATGCGATAATTTAACATGTTCATAATTTGTAAAGAAATCAGTGTATTGGGATATCCATCACATCGTTAAATATTTGCCTTTTCTTTATGCAAGAAGCATTGCAATTATTCTCCTCTAGTCACTTTGGACTATAAAATAGGCCAGGCGCAGTGGCTCACGCCTGTAATCCCAGCACTTTGGGAGGTCCAGGCGGGCGGATCACCTGAGGTCGGGAGTTTGGGACCAGACTGGCCAACATGGAGAAACCCCGTCTCTACTAAAAATACAAAATTAGCCGGGCATGGTGGCGTATGCCTGTAATCCCAGCTACTCGGGAGGCTGAGGCAGGAGAATCGCTTGAACCCGGGAGGCAGAGGTTGCGGTAAGCTGAGATCTTGCCATTGTACTCCAGCCTGGGCAACAAGAGTGAAACTCCATCTCAAAAAAAAAAAAAAATATATATATATATATATAATATACGTATGTATATGTGTGTGTATATACATAGATATATATAATAGTTTTGTAAACTACAGTCACCCTACTGACCTATCAAACACTAGCTTTTATTTCTTCTATCAAACTGTATATTTGTACCCATTAATCAATCTCTCATCTCTCCTCCCTCTACCCTTCCTAGAAAAATTGTTAATTCTAACTGTGTGTATACATACACACACACACATACAGTTTTGTTAAATATTGAGAAATTCTCCTCCAAAAGGGTCATGATTTTGCATTCCTACCAGCCCACTGGCATATGAGTGTCTCTCCGACACTTCGTCAAAAGTGTATTAAGTTGAAAATTTTTGCTATTGTAACGAGTAAGAAATGGTATTTTAGTGTGGTTTTAGTTTGCATTTCTCTTATTATAAGTACAGCTGAGCATTTTTTCACATGTTCACAAAGCAATTTATGTCTTTTGCAGCTTGTCTATTTGTGCCTTCAACCCATTTTTCTCTAGAATTTTGGTCTTTTCTCTCGCAATACTTAAAAGGTCTTTTTATATTAGAACTATCACTTGTATTTGTGATATTTGTGGCAAATATTCAATTTTAATACTATCTTTTGACTGGTTACAATGTGTGTGCGCTTTTTTCTTGTACTAATACCAACAGCTTTAATTATATGGGCTTTAAAATATGGTGTAGTATCTAGTAGGGCCAGTTCTCCCTCAGAGCTCTTCTTTCACAGTGTAGCCTACCTATGTTTTTTTTTTTTTTTTAAGACAGAGTCTTGCTCTGTTACCCAGGCTGGAGTGCAGTGGTGCAATCATAGCTCACTGCAGGCTCAACCTCTTGGGCTCTAGTGATCTATCCCAGCTTTTTTTTTTTTTTTTGAGACAGAGTCTTGATCTGCCTCCCAGGCTGGAGTGAAATGGTGCGATCTCAGCTCACTGCAACTTCCACCTCCGGGTTCAAGAGATTCTCCTGCCTCAGCCTCCCAGGTAGCTGAGATTACAGGCATGTGCCACCACACCTGGCTAATTTTTGTATTTTTAATAGCGACGGGGTTTTGCCATGTTGGCCAGGCTGGTCTCAAACTCCTGACCTAATGTGATCCACCTGCCTCGGCCTCCCAAAGTACTGGGATTACAGGTGTGAGTCACTGCACCCGGCCTATCCCATAAAAATAAGCACATAATAATATGTGCTTATTTTATATGTGCATATTATTATGTGCTTATTTTTCTATCTGAAGTTGACTGTCAATTTGTCTAGATCCAGAAAAAGAGCTTGTTGGTATTTTTATTGAAATTGCAAGGGTGGGGGGGGGGGGATGAGGGATAACAGATTACTTAATGGGTACAACGTACACTGGGTACCTGGGTGATGGTTACACTGAAATCCGAGACTTCACTACATAATATATCCGAGTAACAGAAAAAAAAAAGAAACTGCATTTATGAATGTGAAGGACAACTTGCTTTCCCTGTCTTATCAAACAATAAGTGATATCTCTTTATTTGTTCAAGTTTATTTTGTGTCTTTCAGGAATCTTTGAATGTTTTATAATTTTCTCCACATAGGTTTTTGTATATTTCTTATAAATTTATTCCCAGATATTTTATCACTTGTTTTTTTTTTGCAAATGGAAACAGCATGTTCTCTTCTAATATGTCTTCTAGTGGCTGCTATCTGGCATATGAAGGCTGCTGATTTCTGTATGTTAACTTCTTTCCCAATTTGTATACCTATAATTATTTTATTTAACTGAACTGGTTAGAACCTTTAATGCAGTGTTAAATAGAGATAAATGATACTGGGCATCCGGCCTGTTTCTGACCTCAATGGGAATGCCTCCAGTATTGCCCCATTAAGTAATATTTATCCTGCTTTTCCAGTGACTTCCAACATAAACACTTTTTGATATTCATGGAGCCCCTCCTCCCTTACTGAGTCCATGACTTCTTTCTTTCTCTCCTTTCCTCATCATCCACCTTCAGTTTCATGCTCCATCTGTTTAAAAAAATATTCTTAAAAAAAAAAAAAAAAAAAAAAAAGAAGCTTTAGACCAGGCGCAGTAGCTCACGTCTATTATACCAGCACTTTGGGAGGCCAAGGTAGGCGGATCACCTGAGGTCAGGAGTTGAAGACCAGCCTGGCCAACATGGTGAAACCCCATCTCTACCAAAAATACAAAAATTAGCTAGGTGTGGTGGTGTGTGCCTGTAATCCCAGCTACTCGGGAGGCTGAGGCAGGAGACTCACTCAGGAGGTGGAAGCTGCAGTGAGCTGAGATTGTGCCACTGCACTCCAGCCTGGGCAACAGAGTGAGACTTTGTCTAAAAAAAATTTAAAAAAAGGTTTTAAAGCCTTAATTATGGTGCTTGCTTCAGCAGCAGATATCCTCAAATGGGAACCATGCACAGATTAGCATGGCTCCTGCACAAGGATAACACACAAATTTGTGAACCATTTTCTACTTTTTGTGTTCAATGTTCACAGCAGCACTATTGACAATAGCCAAAAGGTGCAAACAACCAAAATGCCCATCGACTGATGAATAAACAAAACATATTATATATCCATACAATGGAATGTTATTCAGCCATAAAGAGAAATACTGAAACATATATATATGTACTGAAATATATATTTTTTCATATATATATTTTTTGAGATGGAGTCTCATTCTATTGCGTAGGCTGGAGTGCAATGGCACGATCTCGGCTCACTACAACCTCTGCCTCCCAGGTTCAAGTGATTGTCCTGCCTCAGCCTCCTGAGTAGCTGGGATTACAGGCATGCGCCACCACGCCTGGCTAATTTTTGTATTTTTAGTAGGGACGGGGTTTCACCATGTTGGCCAGGCTGGTCTCGAACTCCTGACCTCGTGATCTGCCCACCTTGGCCTCCTGAAGTGCTGGGATTACAGGCGTGAGCCGCCGCGCCTGGCCAGTACTGAAACATATTACAATATGAATGAATCTTTAAAAAAATATGCTAAGTGATAGGCCGGGCGTGGTGGCTCACACCTGTAATCCCAATACTTTGGGAGGCTGAGGTGGGTGGATCACCTGAAGTCAGGAGTTTGAGACTAGCCTGACCAACATGGGGAAACCCCGTCTCTACTAAAAATACAAAATTAGCCAGGGGTGGTGGCGCATGCCTGTAATACCAACTACTCGGAAGGCTGAGGCAGGAGAATCGCTTGAACCTGGCAGGCGGAGGTTGCGGTGAGCGGAGATCGTGCCGTTACACTCCAGCCTGGGCAACAAGAGTGAAACTCTGCCTCAAAAAAAAAAAAAAGTATGCTAAGTGAAGAAAAAGGCTACGTACTGTATGATTTCAATTATATCTAATATCTAGAATAGACTAATCCATAGAGCCAGGAGTTAGGGGTAGAAGGAAATGAGGAGTGATTGCTTAATAGTGTGAGGTTTCCTTTTGGGTGGTAAAAGTGTTTTAGATCCAGACAGTGGTTGATAATTTACAACACTGTGGATTTACTAAATGCTACTTTGTGCCAGAGTTTTACACTTTAAAATGGTGAAATTTAGGTTACGTATATTTTACAATTAAAAAAATGAAGAAGGCTGGAAGGCTGGATGTGGTGGCTCACACCTGTAATCCTAGCACTTTGGGAGGCTGAGGCGGATGGATTGCTTGAGCCCAGGAGTTCAAGACCAGCCGAGGCAACATGGCAAAACTCCATCTCTACAAAAATTACACAAATTAGCCAAGCATGGTGGTTTACGCCTGTAGTCCCAGCTACTTGGGAGGCTGAGGTGGGAGGATCATCTGAGCCTGGGAGGTCAAGGCTGCGGTGAGCCATGATCATGTCACTGCACTCCGACTGGGTTTCAGAGTGAGACCCTGTCTCAAACAACAACAATAAAAACTAAGGAAAAAAAAACACTCAAGTCCATCTTGCAAAACCCCAATCCTGGATGAGACTGACCATCTGCTTACTCAGTGCCCACGCCAGAGCAGTCAAGATTTGAGAAAGCAAAGCTGATAAGAAAGTTACACGACAGGGGCTGGGCACGGTGGCTCGCACCTGTAATCCCAGCACTTTGGGAGGCCGAGGCAGAAGGATCACCTGAGGTCAGGAGTTCAGGACCAGCCTGGCCAACATGGTGAAACTCCGTCTCTATAAAAAATACAAAAATTAGCTGGGCGTGGTGGCACACGCCTGTAATCCCAGCTACTTGGGAGGCTGAGGCAGGAGAATTGCTTGAACTTGAGAGGGGGATGTTGCAGTGAGCCAAGATTGCACCACTGCACTCCAGCCTGGGCAACAGAGCAAGAGTATGTCTTAAAAAAAAAAAAAAAAGAAAGTTACACAACAGGGCAGAATGGTTACACTATAAATAGATGTTCACTGACCAAATACTCCTACTAGTTCTCGCAAACCAACTGTCTTTCCCATACTCTGAAACAATCATTTCTTCCCATACAACAGAAGACTCTCTGACACTAATTCCTGGCATATGTACTTTAGTTCTCATTTCCACCTGCCTTCTCAGGAACCGCACATTGCTGATCAGTACATGGTTTCTTTCTTCCTTTCTTTTTTTTTTTTTTGGAGACAGGGTTTCGCTCATTGCCCAGGCTGGAATGCAATGGCGCAATCTCGGCTCACTGCAACCATCGTCTCACTGGTTCAAGCGATTCTCCTGCCTCAGCCTCCTGAGTAGCTGGGATTACAAGCATGTGCCACCACACCCGGCTAATTTTGTATTTTTAATAGAGATGGGGTTTCTCCATGTTGGTCAGGCTGGTCTCAATCTCCCGACCTCAGGTGATCTGCCCACCTCGGCCTCCCAAAGTGCTGGGATTACAGGCATGAGCCACCGTGCCCGGCCAGTATATGGTTTCTTGTGGCTTCAGTGTTCTCCCTCACCTAGAAACCTTACAACATATACTCCTTTCCATATGTATTTTGAAAATATGTCTAACTTCTAGTTTCTTTAACCAACCCTTCCAGATAAAACTCCATAATCCTGTCTCGTCTCTAAGTATTTTATTACAACCCCTTAACAGTTGTACTTGAAATAGTCATCTACTTGTGTAGTCTCCATTCACCTGACCTAGTCACTACTCAACTCCCCCTAATGTGGCTCCTGCCCCAATTATTCCATTGTGATAGTTCTACCTAAGATCACCAATGATGGTCATGTTATTGAATCAAATGGGTATCAGCTTTGATATTATTTGACCTCAACTGCATTACTATGCTGTCCACTCCCTTCTTGCTTCGTCTCAAAAATAAAAAAATAAAAAAAGAAAGAAAGAAATACATTTTTCTGATTTTTACCATTTAAAAATGTAAACTGGCCTGACGCTGTGGCTCACACTTGTAATCCCAACACTTTGGGAGGCCGAGGAGGGCAGATCACGAGGTCAGGAGTTTGAGACCAGCCTGACCAATATGGTGAAACCCCGTCTCTACTAAAAATACAAAAATTAGCCAGCCATGGTGGTGTGCGCCTGTAATCTCAGCTACTCAGGAGGTTGAGGCAGGAGAATCGCTTGAACCCAGGAGGCGGAGGTTGCAGTGAGCCAAGATCGCACCACTGCACTCCAGCCTGGGCAACAGAGCAAGACTCAATCTCAAAATAAATAAATAATATTAAATTAAAATTAAAATGTAAAAACCATACTTATTGCCCAGGACATACAAAAACAGGGGATGGACCATAATTTGCTGACCCTTGCCCTATGCCATCATCCATTTTTATTTTTATTTTTTATTATTTATTTATTTTTTTGAGACAGAGTCTCGCTCTGTTGCCCAGGCTGGAGTACAGTGGCGCGATCTTGGCTCACTGCAACCACTTCCTCCTGGTTTTGGGCAATTCCTTGCCTCAGCCTCCCGCGTAGCTGGGACTACAGGCACACCGCCATGCCTGGCTAATTTTTGTATTTTTAGTAGAGACGGGGTTTCCCCATCTTGGCCAGGCTAGTCTTGAAGTCCTAGACCTTGTGATCCACCCGCCTCGGCCCCCCAAAGTGCTGGGATTACAGGTGTGAGCCACTGCACCTGGCCCGCCATCATCCATTTTTAATGGCTTTTATCAAATACCTATAAGAACTATCTGATCGCCACACTAAAATATAATTCAGGAAAGCTTATTTGGCACTTAATCCCAGTGCCTAGAATAGTGCCTGACACAAAGCAAATAATTAATACGCACTGAATGAGCAAACGACAGACAGGCATTAGCTCATTTCCTGTAGTCTTGCCGGGGTAGGTCTGCTGCAGCTTTATCACCTGCTCTACCAAGGTTAAATCACAGGACTGCTCAGGTAACCTAACCACTCCTGCTCAAGTGCTCATTGTTTTGTGGCTATAGTAATACATTAAAACTACAGGATACTGGAGTGAGGAGAGTCTTTGAATGACATGTGGTCTAAGCCCCTCATTACTGAACAAATGAGGTCACTGAGGCCCAAAAAGGTTGAGAGCCTTGCCTGTAATCAGACCACTTGTCAGTGCTGTGTAGGCACAAGCACCAGGTCTTCTTTTTGCCATTTCTATGAGACAACGCAATTGACTAATTCAAGTTGTGTGAACCAGAACTTCTAGTTTACACAGTTTCCTTCCAAGGTGCACAATATAGAGTTTGGCAAGCTCTTGCTATTCCTGCAGAGTTAAAAAGAAGACAGGGGGTCCTGGATACTACTTGGCAAAGGAGAAGGGACGATATTTTCAGTGGGTGCTGCTCTAGCAGGGCTCTGCAAGCCTTACCTGCAGGAGCTCCCTGGTGGGCTGCTGCTGCTTCTCTTCTAGCTGAGCGATCAGGCTGCTGAGGTGGGAGATGTTGCAAGAGAACTGGGTGATGGCACCATTGATGCTATTGTAGATGGCCAAGTCTAGCTCCTCAAGGCGGGCCAGGAGGCGATACTCATGCTCCTTTAAGGAGTGATACAGCTGCTCAAACTCCCAAACAATCTTCTCCCTCTCCATCTGGGTTAGGCTCTATGCAGACGACAGGGAAAGGCAGTAAAGAGAAAAACGGCTCATTTCTAGGGCCTTCATAGTTCTCCTGTGACCATGTAGCCCAAGACCTCATTATGGATTAAAACAAGCACAGTGCTAACTCATTATTTCCAGTCTTTACTGACTGGATATATAATGCCCAGGAACTGAATTACCCCAGTGATTATTAAGACATAGTCCCTGTTCTCAAGCAACTCAGAGAAGTGAGTCAGGTTCATATGATATACATAGTCATGGATGGGTAATTAAAGATAGGGTGACAGCCTGCAATGAAAGAAACTGGTACCATCTTCACAGAAGCAATTTCACACAATGTTCATGTGATGAACAAGAATTCACCACATAGGCAATGAGCGGGAAGCCTTTCCAGGCAGAAGAAATGGCACAGGCAAAAGAGTGGGGAGAGAAAGCAAATGGTGCTATCTGGCTGGAGCACATGAGTGTTGAGGGAAGGGACCAGAAAAGGTAAGGCCTTGTCATGCCTGGCCTGGGAGGCTGGGGGTAAGGACTCTATCCCAACTGGGAAGCATGGAAGATTGTCACACAGGAAAGTGACAGGGTCAGATATGTGCCCTATGGAGGATGGAACAACCAATAACAGCTTCCTTGCCCAATTTCCCTGGGCCCTTCATATGTAATCCATACCCGCTGTCTGTCCTTCACGGGTGTTCACCAACTGCTGTCTCTAGCTTTGGGTAGGAGGGGGAGAGGTGCTCTCCCCACGATTCCCTCTTGGCGCTCATTTGTTTGCCATAATTTACTGTCCTTCGTTCTTCACCCAACCCCCACCACCAACAGGACTCTATTATAAACTTTTGTTCTAAACAAGGAGCCAGGCTGGGCGCGGTGGCTCACGTCTGTAATCCCAGCACTTTGGGAGGCTGAGGTGGGCGGATCACCTGAGGTCGGGAGTTCGAGACCAGCCTAACCAACATGGAGAAACACCATCTCTACTAAAAATACAAAAATTAGCTGAGTCTGTTGGCGTACGCCTGTAGCCTCAGCTACCTGGGAGGCTGAGGTGGGAGAATCGCTTGAACTGGGAGGCAGAGGTTGCAGCGAGCCAAAACCTCACCATTGCACTCCAGCCTGGATGACAGTGAGACCCTGTCTTAAAAAAAAAAAAAAAAATTCCCATATACCCCTAATATAAATTAACACATCAGCCACTTGTTAAGGCCTTGAGACTGGAGGAAGAGGGCAGAGTAAAAAATTCAGAATTAAGGCATTGTTAAGAAAGGAGAATAAGCCAAAGAGAAGCAACAGTGGGGATTACACAAATCCACTATTAGCAATTGTCTGCAGAATGGTACCAACGCAAGCTAACTGTATCCAATAATTTTACCTATCTCAGCTTTGCCAAGGATCAACCCTGGTCTACGCAGTTAGCAGGTTAAAGTAAACTGACAGGTCTGATTTCCAAGGGTTCCAAACTTGGCTTCTCCATGCTTTCCCCAAAAGTAAGGGAATCTTAGTTCTCCGGGTGAGTTCCCACTGCCATGTGCGGTTGATCCACCTCTACCTACAAGTTCTGGGTGACATGCTGGACAAGTTTAAGGGAAGTAACATCAGCTCTACAGAAGAGGAGAGCACCAGCAGAACCAACTGTGAATTCCAACAACCCTTACCAAGAGTTCAGCTCGTGCCTGTTCCCCCTGGGCCCGACGTCTCTTCTTTAAATCTTTCACTCTTTTTAAATGGTCGAGCTGGTTCTGGATTTGCTCCTGAGAAAAGCAAAACAGATGGGCAGTTCAAAATTAGGTAGACCTTAGCATCAGCATGGTACTTCTTATCACACATGGAGTCCACACACCTGATGCCAAGTCTCCAGTTGGCGCTTGTCCTTAGGCCACACTGCCACCCACAAGAGACTCAGGGCGCAGGGGCAAACAAGCCACTCCTTTGGCAATCTGTGTCTATCTTAGCAGCCTGTGGCTTCAACCACTCAGCTACCTCGTCAGGACTATTTGTGTCTATCTTAAACAATGAGTCATCTACCTGTCCCTGGTAGGATATTGCATGACTTAGCGGAACTGTGACTGGAGTAGGAGGCTTAGAACTATGTTGTATTGTAGCTCTTCCATATAGGTACACTGTGAAAGTGACTTATTTCCCTCATGTGTGAAATGGGCAAACACCATCTTCCCAACCTACTCAAGAGTTCTCACCAGAGTGAGTGAAATAATATAGCTGAAAGGTCCATAAATGTTAAGTGATTGCACATGAATGTACTCATATTTAAACACGGACATAATTGTGTACGCATTCCTGAAGCCCTCAACGTACAGAAAATACACAGTATCATGGACTCCTTGAAGGTCACCTTACAACTGTTTTATATGTAATACTTTGTTTCCACGTTTCTGTTTAGCTGTGCCAGTTCACAAAGGGCTCTGTGAGTCACATGATTCCACAATATTCCTCATAACTGTGTTATCTCCTGAGTCTCAGAGTGGTTAAGTGACTTACTCCAGCAGCGAAAAGCTGTTCTTTTCTGTGAGTTTCTAGACCAGGACGGATTGCAGGAAAGTGCTGGGGAAATGCTTATAGACTAAGGAATGGGCATAAGTCAGTTAACGTCCAACTGCGTTTTGTCTGAGAGCCGATGGGAGTAAGAGTGTCTGCAGCTTGTCGATGTGTACGCGGTTTTATGCACTTCTTTTAAACTGTCAAAAGGATGTCTCCGTGTACAATGTGTCCGTGAGACAGGTAACATGGGGGTAAACAGAGAAAAGAGAGTGGGGGTGGGGACACTCCTGGCTTCCTCGCCAGCTACAGGTTTTCCTCCAAATCTGAGTGCTGAGGCTCTGGAGCGGACAGAGAGGAAATGACGGCTGTGAACCACACGTCCGGCTCAGCCATTTTCTAGGCGGAAAAAAGGAAGCCCCTTTGGCTCTCTCCTCCCTTTGTCCGACTCGCGCTCCCGCCCTCCCGGATCCGCGCCCTCACCTTGAAGCCCTCCACCGCCTCCTCGAGCGGCAGCACGCTGTGGCCGCGGTGCTCGCGGGAGCGGTCGCACACCACGCAGATGGGCATCTGGTCCTCCTCGCAGTACAGCTTCAGGGGCTCGCGGTGCTTCTCGCACACGCCCATCTCGCCGCCGGGCCCCGACGGCCGCTCGGTGCGCAGCTGCTTTACCAGTTGGGTCACGTTGGCCAGGTGCCGGTTGGGCCGCATGTGCCTCTGCGGGAAGGTCTCCCGGCACTGCGGGCACGACACGTTAGTCTCTGCCGTGCCCCAGCAGCGGGCGAGGCACGCGCAACAGATGTTATGGCCGCAGTCGAGCATCATGGGCTCTGCGAAGTACTGCAGGCACACGGGGCAGGTGGTCTCCTGCTGCAGGCACTCGGCCACACTCCCGGAGGCCATGGCGCCGGCCTGCGGGGGCGCACGGGCATGGGCCCCGGCGCCGAGCTCTGCACTGAGCCCAACTCTCCGGCGCTCTCTCCGGTTCGCTGTTCCTGAGAGGCACCGGGCGGACGGAGGGCGGCGCCTCCCGGGCCCGTATCCCAGACGCGCCCGCGCACCGAAGGCTTGGAGTGGCCGGGCCGATGCCTGCGCCTGTGCCCCCTAAGCGAGAGCGGGAATACGGCCGGCTCACCGAGGCTCGCGGCCACGCTAGTGGGGCAGGAAAGGGTAGCCGAGGGTCAGAGTCCCAGGGCCAGGCGGGCAAAGCGCGCAAGACAACGTGGCCGCGTCCGAGCGGATGCCGGCGGCAGCGTAAACCCCACCCCAGCGCGAGCGGAAGAGGCGGCTCGCGGGGGCGGGGCTTGGCTCGCGCTTCCAGCGAGTGACAAGGTTTCGTGGCCTGGGGGCCTGAGCTGTTTCCTCTTGGAAAGGCCGAGGAGGCTCCGCCACTCTCCTTTGGACTGGTCGCGCTGAAGCTCTATCCTAGGGCACTGGTCGCAAGAGCAGATGGTGCCACACGCTCCGGGCCTACAAACTTCAGCGGCTGCCGGGCCCGGGCCCCTCGTCTTTTGTTGGGTTTCCTCTTGGTGCCAGGTCTCAGCCCCTGCAAAAGAAAGCTGGCTTTGGCCGCGCGCAGTGGCTCGCGCCTGTAATCCCAGCATTTGGGAGGCCAAGGCAGGTGGATCACGAGGTCAGGAGATCAAGACTATCCTGGCCAACATGGTAAAACCCCATCTCTACTACCAATAGAAAAATTGGCCGGGCGTGGTGGCAGGCGCCTGTAGTCTCAGCTACTCAGGAGGCTGAGGCAGCAGAATCCCTTGAACCCAGGAGGCGGAGGTTGCAGTGACCCGAGATCGCCACTGCACTCCAGCCTGCGGGACAGAGGGAGACTCTGTCTCAAAAAAAAAAAAAAAAAAAAAAAAGAAACGAAAAAATGAAAGCTGGCTTTGTATAGGTGCTGGGGAGCGCAAACACCTGGCCTCCCCAAGAGGCTGGAGGATGAGGAGGGTCACCGACTGAGCCCACCTGATAAGTGAGGCCTTTTATTAAACAGCCCCATTTGTAGGCACTTGCAGTTTTGTTTAGAAAAAGAAAGGTTTAATTATCAGATGGTAACATTTCTGTGTGTCAATAACAAGCCCAGTTCTGCTACCTCTCACTTGTGCCCAAGCAAGTTGGTTTACCATTCATTTACCTCAGTTTCTCCTCGTGTGAAATGGGGATGATAATTGTACCGCAGTAAGAAGTAGATTTCGTTACATCTTTTACTTTTTGAACCATAAGATTGTTTATCCATTAAAATGGTATTAAAATGCCCACTACGTAGGGTTGTTGTATTGAGTAGCAACTAAAAATTGCTTGCTCCTTTCTGAAGTATAGAGAAACTAAGAATCCTGCGGTGACCCAGGGTCTTGGAGTCCCACAATACTCATTGTCTTATCATCCAGTAGACCTCCAGCATTTTTAAGTTGCTTTCTTATCCCTTACTTGGTGTTTCCTAGTTTTCTTTGAGATTTTCTCAATATTGTCTTGCTATCTGAGCAAGGCGGGCTTCTGCTTCCAGACCATCACTTTATTTTTATTTTTTCAAAGTGAAAGTAAGATTATTAAGAAAATAAAGGAATAAAGAATGGCTACTCCGTAGGCAAAGCAGCCCACATCATCACTTTAGAGAGTTCCACTCTGGTCCTCTTCCCCATGGGACAAGAAGTCTGAGGGATTAAGTGGACTTGCCAGCCCCAAACCCACATCTACCTTCTCAACCATACTCTGAGTACCCAGTCATTCAAATTCCAGTCCCAAATAGCTTTAGCCCATTTCCAGAAAAATGTAGAGTACTTGGGCCAGGCCACACCACAGTCTGGTCTTGGTTTGAGATTGGGTCAACAATGAAATTTGTAAGAATTAAAGGATATGTCTATTCTCATTTACTCCAAAAAGGACTAATAAGCATTGCAATACAGTGCAGAAATATGAGAGATATGGATAGGTAGATAAAGCTGCCCTTCATCTTCTCCTTTACTTGGGGGATGCAAGCCTTGAGTTTGGCTTTGTTTTTCAGAATTGATTGTGTTTATCTTACCAACCCTTTATTACCTCTGGAGGCAGGTGACCTGGGGGTAAAGAAAGGTAGAACAGGCAGGGTGTGGTGGCTCATGCCTGTAATCCCATCACTTTGGGAGGCTGAGGCGGGTGGATCGCTTAAGCCCAGGAGTTCAAGACCAGCCTGACCAACATGGTGAAACCCCGTCTCTACCAAAAATACAAAAACTCGATGGGCACAGTGGTGCACACCTGTAATCCCAACTACTCTGGAGACTGAGGCTGGAGAATCACTTGAGCCTGGGAGACAGAGGTTGCAGGGAGCCGAGATCAGGCCACTGCACTCCAGCCTGGGCAACAGAGCAAGACTCCGTTTCAAAAAAGAAAACAAAAGGAAAAAATTTTAAAAAGGTAGAACAAAATAGATGAGTTGGGTAGAACAAGGTGGGAGTGGGGGAAAGGGAATATTTACATTAGCAATCTCTAACAGTCCCCTTCCTTTTTTTTAATTTAAAAAAGTTACACCTGTCTTTTTCTCAATAAATTTTGTAAGAAAAAAGAAATTTTAAGAGATGGGGTCTTACTATGTTGCCTAGGCTAGTCAAGAACTCCTGGGCTCACGTGATCGTGACCCTCCCATCTCAGCCACCCAAAGTGAGGGGATTACAGGCAGAAGCCACCATGCCCAGCCCCTCTTCCTTGAGTGTTTACTGTCTTCCCTTCATCATCCAGATTTCATGGAATTTTGATTTGCTTAATTTACCTGTTCATGTTAATTTCTATTACTAATCCTAACCTATATTATTGCACCAGTGTGTCAGTTTACAAGTATTTTTCAAAGAATCGGTAGCCGTGCAGCCTTCCCATTAATTTCTCTATTTGTACTTTTTCACTGATTCAAATACCACCTCAAGGAATAGAATCATCCTTAAAAATTCTTAAAGAAGAAAATGCTTTTCATTCTGTCGCTTCTTACTCAGACATCTTCAAAGTTTTGTGGGTTTTTTGTTGTTGTTGTTTATTTGTTTGTGTTTGCCTCTGGGACATTGTCCAAATTCTTTAGTATAAAGGCCTAATAAAATTCTTATTAATAGGCCCGGTAGCTCACGCCTGTAATCCCAGCACTTCCGGAGGCTGAGGTGGGCGGATCCCGAGGTCAGGAGATCATGACCAGCCTGGCCAACACAGTGAAACCCCGTCTCTACTAAAAATACAAAAATTAGCCGGGCATGGTGGCGCACACCTGTAGTCCCAGCTACTCAGGAGGCTGAGGCAGGAGAATCGCTTGAACCTGGGAGGCGGAGGTTGCGGTGAGCCGAGATCGCGCCACTGCACTCCAGCCTGGGCGACAGAGCGAGACTCCGTCTCAAAAAAAGAGTATTAATAAAATATACTTTTTTTTTTTTTGAGACAGAGTCTCGCTCTGTCGCCCAGGCTGGAGTGCAGTGGCGCGATCTCGGCTCACCGCAAGCTCCGCCTCCCAGGTTCACGCCATTCTCCTGCCTCAGCCTCCTGAGTAGCTGGGACTACAGGCACCCGCCACCATGCCCGGCTAATTTTTTGTATTTTTTTTAGTAGAGACAGGGTTTCACCGTGTTAGCCAGGATGGTCTCAATTCCCTGACATCGTGATCCGCCCTCCTCGGGCTCCCAAAGTGCTGGGATTACAGGCGTGAGCCACCGCGCCCGGCCTAAAATATACTGTTTTAGGGACAGGCACAGTGGCTCACGCCTATAAACCCACTCTGGGAGGCTGAGGCGGGCGGATGACCTGAGGTCAGGAGTTTGAGACTAGCCTGGCCAACATGGGAAGCCCCGTCCCTACTAAAAATACAAAAATTATCCACGCATGGTGTCGCATGCCTATAACCTCAGCTACTCGGGAGGCTGAGGCAGGAGAATCGCTTGAACCTGGGAGGCAGAGGTTGCAGTGAGCCAAGATTGCGCTATTGCACTCCAGCCTGGGCGACAGGAGCGAGACTCTGTCTCAAAAAATAAATAAAATAAAATATACCGTTTTAAAATGAATTTCCTCCTGCCTCCTCTAAACCTCCCTGCCCTAAGGGAACGAGTGACTTTTACTAGTATTGGCCAAATCCAAGGGACACTTTTCAGTCTTCATCTTAACATCTCGAAGGCATTTTATGTGGAGTCCTAATCAGGGAAAAGGAGTCAGGCTGGTGGGACCAGGGGAAAGCAAAGATAAAGCAAACAAGTGATAGGTCTGCTTTTTTTATGGCCCAGGGCACATGGCCCTCCTGTACATAACTCACAAACTTCCTGCTTACCATCAAACGCCTCGATTTATCAAGCACCTTGGCTGACAGAAGAATGCGGGTTAAGCTTCCTGCTACCTTAGCGTTATCAATCAGTCCAAGTTCCATTGTATAAAATCCCTAGCAAGTCTTTGTTTCTTTGTAGTCAGCTTCTCTTCTGTTGATACTGCCTGTTGTCTCCCTGGCAACATATTTTTCTACTTTCTCTAATAAATCTGCCTTTCTTTACCTACAATGGTCTTGGTAAATCTTTTCCCCCTACACCACAGGCCCAGTTAGTCGTCACTTACCTGTGACATTTTACACTGTTGATCCCTCCCTCCTTGGATCATTCTTCTTCCAAGCAGCAAACTGAGTGGGACCTGATGAGGCCTAAAGTATTTCTGCTTCTTCTATCTCCTTCTCTCTTATCTGTCTTTTACCAACTGATACTAACCTTAGTCTGGAAAAATAAAAAATTATCATAATAAATACAAGAATACAGTACTTAAGAAGCCAACGTATTAGATGAGACAGAATGGGAAATGGAGAAAAAGACAAAATATCAATAAGAATTTAACATTAATATAAGGTCCGGGCGCGGTGGCTTATGCAGGGTAATCCCAGCACTTCGGGAGGCCACGGCTTGAGTTTAGGAGTTTGAGACCAGCCTGGGCAACATGGTGAAACCCAGTCTTTACCAAAAATACAAAAAATTAGCTGGGTGTTGCGGCGTGCACCTGTGGTCCCAGCTACTGGGGAGGCTAAGGTGGGAGGATCCCTTGATCCCAGGAGGCAGAGGTTGCAGTGAGCCGAGATTGCACCACTGCACTCCAGCCTGGGTGACAGAGCCAGACCCCATTTCCAAAAAAAAAAAAAAAAAAAAAAAAAAGAATTTAGTACAAGATACAGGAGAAATTGCAGGTTGGTGCTATACATTCAATAAATGATTGTGGAATAACTGGCTAGCTACTTGGGAGAAAAAAGATCTCATCTCACTTCTTATACTGAACTATATTATTGATCAATGAAATTTTTTTAAGAAAATTAATCCATAAAAATTCCAGGAAAAAGAAAACTGATTGATTTTTTTTAAGGCACTTGTCATCTGGAAGATCTTTCTAAACATGACCCCACAGAAGTCACAAATGGATAAATTTGGTTATACAGAATTCAAAATTAGATGTCTTCTTATAAAAAAATTTTCTAAACAGCTGAATGATAAAGGAAAATTGGGGAAAGATGTTTTTAGCAAATTAAACAAAGGATGAATTTCCTTGAGACAAAATATTTGCACAAATAAAAGCAAAAAAAGAGAGAAGAAAAATGAGCAAAGGTCATGAACAGATGGTACAGAGAAAAAGAACAAATGGTCAATAAACATGTGAAAAGAGGTGATGTTAATTTTAATTTATGAGATTAGCAAAGATTTAAAACTTTGACAGTATTCAGTATTAATGAGAATGTGAGGAATTCCAGTACACTGTGAGAATGTAAATTGGGAGAACACCATTGAAAGCAATTTGACAATTGGGCTGGGCGCGGTGGCTCACGCCTGTAATCCCAACACTTTTGGGAGCTGAGGCGGGTGGCTCACCTGAGGTCAGGAGTTCGAGGCCAGCCTGACCAACACGGAGAAACTCTGTCTCTATTAAAAATACAAAATTAGCTGGGCGTGTTGGCGCATGCCTGTAATCCCAGCTACTCAGGAGGCTGAGGCAGGAGAATAGCTTGAACCCGGGAGGCAGATGTTGCGGTGAGCCGAGGTCACGCCATTGCACTCCATCCTGGGTGACAAGAGCAAAACTCCATCTCGATTAAAAAAAAAAAAAAGTAAAAGAAAACAATTTGACAATCACTAAAAAAATTTAAATGCACTCACTCGTAGAACCTTCTACTCTGCTTCTCTCCCATCTGGACAGAGATGTTTGATTATACAAGGATTGCCATTACAGCATTGTTTGGATTTGTAAAATACTGGGACCAACGTCAATATGCTCCAACAGGGGATAAGTTAATGAAAATATTATGCAGGTGTACAATGAAATGCTATGCAGTTTCCAAAAACAAAAACAAAGAAGAAGGAGGAGGAGGAAGAAGAAGAGGAAGAGGAGGAGGAGGAGGAGGAAGAAGAAGAAGAAGAAGGAGGAAGAAGAAGAAGAAGAAGAGGAAGAAGAAGGAGAAGAAGAAAAAGAAGAAATAATCTAATAGGGAAAGGTGTCTGAGATTTATTTACTCATTAATTTATTCAACAAATGTTTGTTGAGTGTCAACTATGTGCCAGTCTTCTAGATTCCAGGACACTGTGTGGAACAAAACAGACAAGGTTGCTGGGGTCATGGAATTACTTTCTAGAGGGAAAGTTGGATGATAAGCAAACCAAGCAATAAACACATGGTATGAAACATGCCATAAAGTGGAATGAATCAGAATATGGAAGATGAAGAGTGATGGTTATTACTTTATATTGGGTCATCAGGGTGGAATCTCTCTGATGAGGTAGCCAAACAGCTGCTGCAGTTTAGAGTCTCAAATTTGCATGTCACTGGGCATTTATCTCAGAGAAATAAAAATGTTTGTTCACCCAAGAATCTGCACAAAACATTGTTCGTAATAGCCAAGCCTAGAAATAATTCAAATGTCCTCGAATGGTGAAGAGTTAAACAGTGGCACATCCATATTATGAAATACTACCCAGAGATAAAAATGAATGAACTACTGAGATAGGCAGCAACTTGGATAGATCTCAAGGAAATTATGCTGAGTGAGAAAAGTCAATCTCAGGTTGTGATTTGTATGATTCCATTAATAACATTTATTTATTTATTTATTTATTTATTTATTTATTTATTTATTTTTGGGAAAGAGTCCCACTGTGTTACTCAGGCTGGAGTGCAGTGGGACAATCTCGGCTCACTGCAGCCTCTGCCTTCCGGGTTCAAGTGATTCTCCTGTGTCAGCCTCCGGAGTAGCTAGGATTAAGGCATGTACCACCATGCCCAGCTATTTTTTTTTTTTTGTATTTTTAGTAAACACGGGTTTTCACCATATTGGCCAGGCTAGTCTCCAACTCTTGACCTCAAATGATCCACCTACCTCGACTTCCCAAAGTGCTGGAATTACAGGAGTGAGCCGCTGTGGCCAGCCCACAACATTCTCGAAATGATAAAATTATAGAGATAGAGAGCAGATGAGTAGTTGCTAGGCATTAGGGAGAGAGAAGGGAAGGAGGTGTCTGTGGCTATAAAAGGGTACCCTGAGGGATCCTTGTGATGGAACAGTTTTGTATCTTGACTGTAATGTTGTTCCTATGTGATATTTACACATGCAATAAAATTGTATAGAACTAAACACACACAAACAGATGAGTGTATGTAAAAATGGTGAAATCTGAGTAAGATTGGTGGATTTTATCAAAAATAATTTCCTGGTGTGATATTGTACTATATTTATGCAAGATGTTACCATTGGGAGAAACTGAGTGAAGGGTATGCTGGATCTTTATTTTTATTTTATTTTATTCTTTTGGAGACAGAGTCTTGCTCTGTCGCCCAGGCTGGAGTGCAGTGGCATGATCTTGGCTCACTGTAACCTCCGCCTCCTGGGTTCAAGCAATTCTCATGCCTCAGCCTCCCAAGTAGCTGGGATTACAGGCATGTGCCACCATGGCTAGGTAATTTTTGTATTTTTAGTAGAGACAGGGTTTTGCCATGTTGGTCAGGCTGATCTTGAACTCCTGGCCTCAAGCAATCTTCCCTCCTCTGCCTCCCAAAGTGCAAGGCTTATAGGAGCGAGCCACTGCACCCAGCCACTGAATCTTAATTACATCCTATAACTGTATGTGAATCTACAATTATGTCAAAATAAATTTTAAAAAATTTCTGCAGTCACAGCATCAATGACTTGTCTTTCCCAGCCAGCAAAGCCCTGTGTTTTGCTCTTATTGATTGGACTAATCCCTGTGGACAGAGAAATTCATGTGCCAGTTGGCTTAGGTTTGGTTTTACTACCTATTCCTGAACCAATTACTATGGCAAGGGGACTGAGATAATGCTCACTGGTCTATGCATCAAGACCCACTGAAAAATGTAATTGTCATTAGTCATCTAAATATAATTTATTTTTGAATTGGTTATGTGCTTCCCAACATTTAGCTATATTCTATTTCCTGGGGATAAAATCTTTGAAGACAGTGGGAGGAAAAGCTAATCTGACCCCTTCTTTCAAACAGCAAGGGGTTGAGGATTTCCTTGATTTTAACACAGGCATTTTGAATATGAGCAGACCATGCCTGGTAAACACACTAGACAAGATTCCTGCCCTTATGGAGCTGACAGGCCACTGGGGGCTGGATGGAGGCCGAGATGGTAGCTGTCTCCAAGATAGTCACTATCTTAGAGACCTCTCATATGCACATGACATTGGATCACCAAGATATGTAAGCTGGGCATCATGGCACATGCCTGTAGTTCCAGCTACTTGGGAGGCTAAGGTGGGAGGATTGCCTGAGCCCAGGAGTTTGAGGCTGCAGTGAGCTATGATCATGCCACTGCACTCCAACCTGGGCGACAGAGTGAGATCCTCATCTTAAAAAAAAAAAAGGCCGGGTGCGGTGGCTCGCACCTGTAATCCCAGCACTTTGGGAAGCCAAAGCAGGCAGATCACCTGAGGTCAGGAGTTCAAAACTAGCCTAAGCAACATGGAGAAACCCTGTCTCTACTAAAAATACAAAATTAGCTGGGCATGGTGGCGCATGCCTGTAATCCCAGTTACTTGGGAGGCTGAGGCAGGAGAATCACTTGAACCTGGGAGGTAGAGGTTGCAGTGAGCCAAGATCACACCATTGCACTCCAGCCTGGGCAACAAGAGTGAAACTCTGTCTCAAAAAACAAACAAACAAACAACAACAACAACAGAAAACAGGGTGCAGCCCACTCCTCCAGCCCCTTGAATCTGGTGGGCTGGCCTATGAGTACTGTGACTAACACTGTATGGCAGAAGTGATTCTATACCAGTGCCAGGCCAGGGCTGTAAGAGGGCTGACAGCCCCTGTCTTGTGTCTCTGAGTCCTGAGACACCATAGATATGTCTTTATTAGTCTCCTCAGGCTGGCATACAAAATACTAGATGGCTTAAAAAACGGGAATTTATTTGCTCACATTTTATTTTCTGGATACTGGAAGTCCAAGATCAAAGTCTGCAGGGTTGGTTTCTCCTGAGGTCTCTCTCCTTGGCTCGCAGGCAGCCGCCTTCTGACTATGTCCTCACATGACCTTTTCTCTGTGTGCATGCACCTCTGATGTCTCTTCTTCTTCTTATAAGGACACCAGTATTATCAGCTTAGGGCCTCACTCTTATGACATCATTTATCCTTAATTGTCATCCCTATAAAGATCCTATCTCCAGGCAGTCGCGGTGGCTCACGCCTGTAATTCCAGCAATTTGGGAGGCCGAGGCAGGTGTATCACTTGGGGCTGGGAGTTCAAGACCAGCCTGGCCAATATGGCAAAAGCCTGTCTCTACTAAAAATACAAAAATCAGCTGGGCATGGTGGTGCACACCTGTAATCCCAGCTACTCAGGAGGCTGAGACAGGAGAATCACTTGAACTCAGGAGGCAGAGGTTGCAGTGAGCCAAGATTGAGGCACTGCACTCCAGCCTGGGCAGCAGAGCAAAACTCTATCAAAAAAAAAAAATTATCTTCAAATATAGTCACATTGGGGGTTAAAATTCCAAAACATGAGTTGGGAGCTGTGTGTATGTGGTGGGCAGAGTGGACACAACTCAGTCCATAGTGATGTCCACCTACTCTACTACGGGACTCCATAAGGGGGGAGTGAGCTCATTGAGGCCATCCTTCCAGCCATTCCCTGAGAAAAGCATGAGGATTTTCAGTGAAGAGCAGCCCAACTACCAAATGGATACATTCTGAGTTGCCAGTTAATGCCAGGTGTTACAGAAAAATCATCCCAGTGAGCCCTACCTGTTGGGGCAGTTTGTTATGCAGTATGAAATAATCAGAATAAGGAGTTGCATTCAGTTATTAATCAAATCAATATGTGGTTACTAATTGTGACAACTTCTATGATGGAAGAGACAGGATGCTATGAGAAAGAATAACACAGTGGGTGGGAATGGCATCACAAACTGCAAGGGAGAAATAATTGAAGGACCTAGAGATGTTGGGCCTGAAGAAGATTTCAATGCTTTTGTGAGCTCTGGAACCATTTCTCTTCCCTTTCTGGGCTAAACTCCTTGAATAAGCGGATCCCTCCGCTTTCCTTGCAGGTGACCACTCCCTCCAGATCAGCCTCTCATAAAACTTTTCTCGTCTTCCCAGGTCACAACAATTTTTCCCTTTTTAACATTGTATTAGGCTGTGCCGGCACTGCTGTAAAGAAATACCTGAGGGCCGGGTGCAGTGGCTCACACCTGTAATCCCAGTACTTTGGGAGGCTGAGGCTTGCGGATCACTTGAGGTCAGGAGTTTGAGACCAGCCTGGCCAACATAGTGAAACGCTGTCTCTACTAAAAATATAAAAAAATTAGCTGTGTGTGGTGGCGTGTGCCTGTAATCCTAGCTACTTGGGAAGCTGAGGCAGGAGAATCGCTTGAACCTGGGAGGTGGAAGTTGCCGTGAGCCAAGATTGTGTCACTGTACTCCAGCCTTGGCAACACGGAGAGAGACTCCATCTCAAAACAAAACAAAACAAAAAAAGAGAAATACCTGAGACTGGGTAATTTATAAGAAAAGAGTTTTAATTGGCTCATGATTCTGCAGGCTGTACAGGAAGCACAGTGGCAGCTGCTTCTGCAGAGGCCTTGGGAAACTTCCGGGTTTTTTGTTTTGTTTTGTTTTTTTTCAGACGGAGTTTCTCTCTTGTTGCCCAGGCTGGAGTGCAATAGTGCTGTCTTGGCTCACTGCAAGCTCCGCCTCCCGGGTTCAAGCAGTTCTCCTGTCTCAGCCTCCAAGTAGCTGGGATTACAGGCGTGCACCACCGCGCTTGTCCAATTTTGTATATTTTTAGTAGAGACTGGTTTCACCATGTTGATCAGGCTGGTCTTGAACTCCTGACCTCAAGTGATCCACCTGCCTCGGCCTCCCAAAGTGCTGGGATTACAGGTGTGAGCCACTGCA
Organism: Homo sapiens; assembly: GCF_000001405.40. Classification (NCBI taxonomy): domain Eukaryota; kingdom Metazoa; phylum Chordata; class Mammalia; order Primates; family Hominidae; genus Homo; species Homo sapiens. The sequence continues at coordinate 200,692 of NT_167248.2, forward strand.
CCTGGCCTAGGAAACTTCGAATCATGGCGGAAAACAAAGGGGGAGCAGGCATATCGCCTAGCGAGAATGGAGCAAGGAGGCCCCACCGGACCCCACCTCCAATATTGGGGATTACATCTCAATGTGAGACAAATATCCAATTTGAGTGGGGACAAATATCCAAACTATATCAAACATTTTTAGAGTTTATGCTGTAGAGCATTTAATTGACATTAAATGATAAACTGTTTCATATTGTTAATTTATTGAGGTAAAATATACATAAAGGGAACAAGCCTTCAGTGTATAAGCTAATGAATTGTTACATGTGTGTACCCACCATCCAGATCAAGAGGAAAAATATTTTCAGCATCCAGGAAGGCTGTCTCATGTCTCTTTCCATCAGTATCCACTCCCAGAGGTTACTTAGAAAAAATCACTATTCCAAATTTCTAGAAGCATTGATTAATTCTGCCTGTTCTTGAACTTCATATGAAGAGACTCCTATCATGAGCACTTATTGGGGTTTTAAATTGTTGTCTGTTATGAATAAAGCTGCCCTAAACGTTCTGGTGGTATATGTCTGTTCATGGACAAATGCCCTCATTTCTAGGAGTGGAATTGCTAGTAGGCATATGTTTAGTTTTTTAGATAATGCCAAAAAATGTTCCATAGTGAATGTGCTAATTAACACTTCTAGCAGCAATGCATGAGAATTCTAGTTGCCGCACATATTACACCAACACTTGGTACAGCATATGTGTTTTAAAATATTTTAGCTGTTCAGGTGGATTTGTAGTGGTATCTCATTGTGGTTTTAATTTATATTTCCCTGCTAATTAATGATACTGAGCACATTTTCAAATTTTCTTTTGCTGGAGTGCAGTTATGCAATCATGACCCACTGCAGCCTCAACTTCCCAGGCTCACAGGATCCTCCTACCTCAGCCTCCTGAATAGCTCAGACTACAGGCACACGCCACCATGCCTGGCTAATTTTTTTTTTTTTTTTTTGTAGAGATGGTGGGGCAGGGGGAGTCTTACTATGTTGCCCAGGCTGGTCTCGAACTCCTGGGCTCAAGTAATCCTCCCACCTCCTGAAGTGCTGGTGGCATTACAGCGTGAGCCACTGTCCCTGGCCTCATATGTGTACTATTTGAATGTAGTCTTTAGGGAAGTTCCTGATCAAGTCTTTTGTCATTAAAAAAAAATTATTTGTCTTTTTCTTGTTGATTTACAAGAGTGCTTTATATATTTAGGATGAGTCCTTTCTCAGGTATGTATTTTGCAAATGTTTCCTGCAATTTGTGGCTTCCATTTTTCATTTTCTTTTTCTTTTTTTTTTTTCGGGAGACAGAGTCTCACTCTGTTGCCAGGCTGGAGGGCAGTGGCACAATCTCGACTCACTGCAACCTCCGCCTCCCGGGTTCAAGTGATCCTCCTGCCTCAGGCTCCTGAGTAGCTGGGACTACAGGTGTGCGCCACCACGCTCAGCTAATTTTTGTATTTTTAGTAGAGACAGGGTTTCACTGTGTTGGCCAGGATGGTCTTGATCTCTTGACCTTGTGATCTGCCTCAGCCTCCCAAAGTGCTGGGATTACAGGCGTGAGCCACCACGCCCGGCCTCCATTTTTCATTTTCTTAATGATGTTTTTTGATGAATAGAAGTTTCCAGTTTTGATGAATTTTATTTCATCGACTTTATTGATTTATTTTTAAAATTTTTACACTTATTTATTTATTTAATAGACATGGGTTCTCACTGTGTTGCCCAGGCTAGAGTGCAGTGACTGTTCACAGGGGCTATCATTGTGCACTACGACCTCAATTTCCTGGGCTCAAGCGATCCTCCCACCTCAAGCCTCCTGAGTAGCTGGAACTACAGGTGGGTGCCTGTTTAACTTTTTTTTTTTTTCATTTTGGTTACTCTTTCCTGTTTTTGAAATCTTTGCGTACCTTACATTCATTAACATATCCTCTTTCTAGAAGCTTTACTTTCCCTGTCATACTTAGGTGTATGGTCCATTATGAATTCATTTTTGTGTTTGGTGTGAGGCAAAGGTCTAGATTTAGTTTTTTTCCTAATTGGTCCAGCACCTTTTATTGAAAAGTTATATCATAAATTTGTAAATGCATTTCTGTCTATTCACCTCGTTTTAACCACTATCTCCAAAAAGCAGAAAATAGCTGCACTAATGGAAAACCAGTTCACCAGATTTACTTATTCTGTTTTTTTTTTAGACGGAGTCTCCCTCTGCCGTCCAGGCTGGAGTGCAATGGCATGATCTCGGCTTACTGCAACCTCCTGCCTCAGCCTCCTGAGTAGCTGGGACTACAGGTGTGCACCACCATGTCTGGCTATTTTTTTTTTTTTTAAGACAGTGTCTGGCTCTGTCGCCCAGGCTGGAGTGCAATGGCGTGATCTCGGCTCATTGCAACCTCCACCTCCCCGGTCCAAGCAATACTCTTTCCTCAGCCTCCTGAGTAGCTGGGACTACGGGCAGCCACCACCACGCCACCACGACCAGCTGATTTTTATATTTTTAATAGAGACGGGGTTTGACCATGTTGGCCAGGATGGTCTCGCTCTCTTGCCCTCGTGATCCCCGCACCTTGGCCTCCCAAAGTGCTGGGATTACAGGCATGAGCCACCGCACGCGGCCTATTTTTTGTATTTTTAGTAGAGATGGAGTTTCACCATGTTGGCCAGGGTGGTCTTAAACTCCTGACCTCAAGTGATCCGCCCACCTCAGCCTCCCAAAGTGCTGGGATTACAAGTGTGAGCCACCACACAAGGCCTACTTGTTCTTTTTAACTAATTATAACATTTACAGCAACTCATATGTTGAAGCGGTTTTAACAGCTTTAAAAGGTTTCTGTGGGATTATCATTGACCTGTTTTTACTTTGTCTTAGTGATAGCTTTGTAGGAAAGATTAATTTTTCCTTAGCCCAGCAGAGAGAGGTGAGACTGATGGACATAAAAAGAAAATACTCAAGAAAATATATTAATCAATAGTGTATTTTATTATTAGAATACATCCATAAGAATCCTTTATATTTATGCCTACACTCTTCATGAATCTCTTCTTGTGGACATATTTATTTACTTATACATTTCTTAATTCAACATATATTTATTGAATACATTTTTGAATATGGCAATATACATTCATATTTGTTATTATTATTATTATTACGAGATGGAGTTTCACTCTGTTGCCCAGGCTGGAGTGCAGTGGCGCCATCTCAGCTCACTGCAACCTCTGCCTCACAGGTTCAAGGGATTCTCGCGCCTCAGCTTGGGAATACAGGGGTCCGCCACCACGCCCATCTATTTTTTTGTATTTTTAATAGAGACAGGGTTTCACCATGTTGGCCAGGGTGGTCTTGAACTCCTGACCTCAGGCAATCCGCCTGCCTCGGCGTCCCAAAGTGCTGGGATTATAGGCATGAGCCACCGTGCCCAGCCTCATATGTATAATTTTTAGTTAAATTAATAAATTAATATTTATGGTTTTCATCATTATGACTTTGTAATATTTTTCACAGCTGAGCTCCATGGTATACCATAATTACCTTCTTTGACAACCTTTTGTTCTTCCTGGGATTAATAATTGCCTCCTGTTCTTTGCTTACTTTTCTAAATATTTATTCCTAATTCAAAACCAGCTTTCTGACACTATTTTCTCGTCAAATGCATGAGGCAGTATGTCAGTTCCATTTTCCCCCATTGGAAACAACCCTCGTTTAGCCCTCTTTTTTCTATTCCACCGTAGACTGATTGCCTTCTAGCCTGGTAGCTCAGCAGTTGCCCCGGAGTTTTTTCCTTTACCTTTCTTCTGTGTTAGGTCCCCAGTCACCGGATTTCATATTTCCTTTTTCTTAGTTTAATTCCCTAGTTAGTGGACAATTCTCCAGAAGCTTTCTGAGAAAAGGTACTTGGGAGATAATGTTCTGCAAATGTCCATTCACATTTGATTGATAGTTTGGCTGGGTTCAGAAATCTAGTTGTGGAAACTATTTTCCTTTATTGAAATGATTTAGAAGGCATTGCCTCATTGTCTTTCAGCTTTTGGTGTTGGTGCTGCTGTGGAGAAAAAAAGATGACATTCTAATTCATAATCCTTTCTGTGCAATCTTTTAGTTTTGTTTTCCTTCTGGAAACATTTAGGATATTCACTTTATTCATCTGATATTTCACAATGACAAGCTTTATTGTGGGGCTTTGCCACACCCTATGCAGGGTAGTTGGTGGGCCTTTTAAATCTGGAGACTTAAGGTCTTTGGTTCTGAAAAATAATCTTATATTACATCTTTATCTCCTTTATTCCACTTTCTCCTCTTTTCCTAGAATCCCTGTTAGTTTGTTGGCATATCTTCTATTATACACCATTTTATTTTCTTATCAATTCTTTGCTATTTTCCATCATTCACCCCAAACTTTCCAGATTTCTACAACCTTATTTTGAAATTTTAGGCCAGGCGCAGTGGCTCACAACTGTAATCCCAGCACTTTGGGAGGCTGAGGCGGGCGGATCACCTGAGGTTGGGAGTTCGAGACCAGTCAGACCAACATGGAGAAACCCTGTCTTAACTAAAAACATAAAATTAGCCGGGCGTGGTGGCGCATGCCTGTAATCCCAGCTACTCTGGAGGCAGAAGAATCTCTTGAACCTGGAAGGCAGAGGTTGTGGTGAGCCGAGATTGCATCATTGCACTCCAGCCTGGGCAACAAGCGCCAAACCCCGTCTCAAGAAAAAAAAAAAAGAAATTTTTAAAAATCCAGCCATCATAATATTATTAATAATTTTAAGAACTCCCCTCCTTTTTGTTTCATGAGTGCAGTATCTTCTCTTACTTTCCCGAGGATTAATTATAATTTTTAAAAAATCCAACTTCCTGCATTGTATTTGTTTCCTCTTAGGTTCTTCCTGCCCCCTTCTGTTTGTATTCGTCCTTGTCTTATTGTAGAAATATTTTCACAACCACCTGATTATCCTTGGTTGTCGTACATATTTTAAGTAAGGCACTAAACACCTGATTCTGGAAGCTCTGTGGACCTGCTCCAAGCCTGTAGACTGCAGAGTCTTTGGGGATTCTATGGAGACCCAGCCATTTCTTTGGGAGATCCTCAAATACCAGTGTTTGTCGTTGTTTTAATTTTTATTTTTTCCTTGTAAATTGACTTGGATATCTCATCTGTCTTTCTTTATCTCTGGAAAACTTTATCCCAGTTTCCCTTGACATACTCCTTCAACCTCCTGGGAGAGGTAGGGGGAGGGGAGATGAGCCTGTTTGACTAGTTCTGGGAATGTGGTGAGGGAAGAGATCTGGGGATTTCGGCTCAGTGCTGACACTTCCTTCATGCTACTCTGGTTTAGCACCCCTGCACTTCACCCTCTTTCAACTCCTGACCAAGTCAACTCCTGTTACTCACATCGACAGTCATTTTTCATGTTCAAGACCCCTGAACCGCTCTCATCCCCCACTCTCCGCTAACTCTCCTGCTTCGCTTCAGGTCTACATTGCCTCGCTCATTTCTTCCCTGCTGAGCTCTTTGATTAGTTTGCTAAGCAGCATCTCGGGAACAGCCCCCGTGCTATGTGTTCTTTCTTGTCATGGATATGTGTTTTTTCTTGTCATGCTATGTGTTCTTTCTTGTTCAAGGCAGAGTCGCGGCTGGGTTGTTAGGATGCTCGCGCCCCTGTACCCGGGGCGTGCAGGGAAGTGTAAGAAGGGGGCGAAGGGCGAGAAACGCTGAATTCTAGCCTGAATTGGTAGGAGAGCCTCGCAAGCTGAGTCACGGTTCCTGATTCCATTTAAATAGAACGTTTTGTTCACTTGTAGGAATTTCCTTTTCCATTTCTTTCATTAAATCGCGAACGTAGTAATGACTTAACGCTGGTTACGCATTCATTACAATCGAAGATTATATTAATTTGCGATGGTAAGTGTCCCAGGTGTCAGGATGGCCGAGTGGTCTAAGGCGCCAGACTCAAGCTTGGCTTCCTCGTGTTGAGGATTCTGGTCTCCAATGGAGGCGTGGGTTCGAATCCCACTTCTGACACAACTATCTTATTCTCCTTTTACTCTACTTTCTCAGCCATTTCTGTGTTTTCATTCTTTCTACCTCAACTTTTTTTATTCTAACTAAAATGATACACTCTCAATGAGGTCTGCCCCCTTGCTTTTCAGTCTTGTTCGCTGTTTAGTAGTGAATCACGTTTTGCCCCGCTTTGGTCAGTTCGTTAAAAGGCGCATTCATTTACCACATGAGCACTCACCCAGAGGCGTACTGGGAGGAAACTAGACTAGGTAGGAATAGAAAGACATGTATACAGACTCCATCATTACATACTGGCCCTGAGCTCATAGGTTATTGGGACCGCAGATTACATGTTTTTCCTCACGGCCAGAAACCATCAAAAATAAAAGTGATGAAACTGAAATTGAAAGCAGCAAGGTTCACGCTCAAGGTTATCGGAAACAAGGCAAAAGGAGAGAAATGAAAGGTTCCACCGAGATTTGAACTCGGATCGCTGGATTCAGAGTCCAGAGTGCTAACCATTACACCATGGAACCCTACTTAACAAAAAATGGATACTCGATCCACCTGGGGTCTCTCTTGTCTTCTACTTACTAATTGATTTAAAGTAATTTTGCAGGGGCAGTTTTTTTGTTTTGGATGGCCAAACGCAGGGATGGGAGGGGTAGGGCTCACACACTGTTTCCACCGCGCCTTTCTCCCAGATTTCTTTCCATCCTTCGGGGCAGGGCAGTATACTGATCTGGGAATATGGTTATTCCTGGAGATTTTTATTTTCTTTCGTTTCCAGCCCACGAAAAGGTGAATTGAATTTTAGTCTCACGGTTTGAAAGGGAGAAAAGAGAGAAAAGAAAAAATATACTATCTACTTTCTACAGTCTTATTTATTCATTGTACGATACCTACAGATGCCTCTAGAACAACCTCCGAGTATCTTGGCACTGCCCCTCAGTTGTAACCATGGGCTTAAATTTTTAAAATCTGTCTCCCGCATTCCTCCAAAATGCCTTAAGTGCAGGGCTGAGTCTCAGTAGTCTTTGATAGCCCACGGTCTGCTACTTTGTAGAAGCTCAACCAATGCTTGTTGCATGAATGCATAAATGAAAGGATGAGTGAATGAATGAATGAATGAATGAATGAATACTCAGTGGGACAGCCCAGCTTAGACTTTTGGGAGACTTTAGACTTCTTTTTTGCCTTCACTTGCTAGGCTAAATTTTACAAGTTCAAAAGGGAATAATTATTTCTCCTCCTCCTCCTATCTTCTTTTGCCTTTCCAGGTCCCAGCTCCCAGGTGGACATCTTAGCGTCCAGATGACCCAACATATAGGTGTCCTTTAGTATGGATGACCAAACTAGGATGTTATAGTGCTGGATGTAGTAATTCATTTTTTCAAATCTTAACTTTATTAAGATAACATGGTTATTTATCTAGTAATTGTGAGAACAACATATAACAAATAGACCACATATATACGTAGCGTGTCTGGAAGAAATACTCAGATATAAATTACTACTTTAGTCAATCTTAATATTAATTATTTGTCAACTATGCTTAATGTGCCTCTCTAGTCTCTCAAGACTAAATTGCTAAGGAACCCTGGAATCATTTGCTGGCATTCATCCTTTCAAGCAAGGTGCCTGTTACAAAATATCTGCTCAATTAGTATGTATTGGATACATCTTTTGGAAGGTGAGGAAGGAAGCAGTGAAATTAGAAGACTTCTGCCTAGGCGACTGTAAAGTGCTCCTAAGCATCTACCCACCTCCCTGCACACAAAAACTCTCCATTCTATCTCCTCGAGTCTCCTAGCCTTAAAAGATGGTCTAAACTACCCCAGATCCAGGTAAATAACGGATCAAGTCCTTCTTCCCTAAAACAGGTGTTATTCTTTCTATTCTATGAGCCTCCACCTTATTTCTTAAAAAAAAAAAAGAAAAAAATGTTTACTGTTTAAGAAGATAACAGAATCTCAAAAGCTAACTCTTCAACTGTGTTCAACTAAGGACCTTAAACTGCTCTCTGAGGATAGGTGAAGCGGGAAAGGCTCTAGGTGTCTGGTGACTGTTTCTTTTGTTGGTTCGTTTGTTTTTTCAGCCTTAGCACATTTATCCCTTGGAGAAGACAATGGAAAATAGGGCAGATGAGCGTGCGTGGCTTATTTATTCTTGAGTCTGGAGTTAAGAAGGTTGTACTTTTTCCTTAGGATTGCCCTTGGTTGGTTCACAAATTTCGCAAAGTGAATGAAAACACATGAAGGCCACTGAAGGGAATAACTAGGGGACGAGATGTCTGAGCCCCTAAATCGAGAAACATTTGGGCACCGTTTGTGGGACTGTACATATGGGTGTTATCTGTGGCCCCTAGGAAAACAGAAGAGGAACCTGTCTCACTTAGGAAGCTGTGAGAACTGCCCACACAAGGCTTGAAAATGGAACTTTACTGGGTCAGAATGACGAGGGGGAAAAAAAAATACCTCACACTGGCAGCGGTGGGATTCGAACCCACGCCCCCGAAGAGACTGGAGCCTTAATCCAGCGCCTTAGACCGCTCGGCCACGCTACCACCCACAGGGTGCGTCGCCGCTTTCAGTTTCACCCAAGTGACTGTCGCCCCTTTCCAGTCCTTTCATTCCCATTCCCACATCACCATAAGCCCTTCCCTCAGGCCCCTTCTTCAGCATTCCTTGCTTCTCAGCATAGCCCGAGAACCCCCGATCCCTGACACTTTGCTTCTTCTCAGCTCCCAGATGGATCCTGGACAGGATGCTGCAGGTGGTGCAGGAGGGGAATCCTGCCCCATTTATCATCAACACAGTAAAAAGGGGTCGAAGAGACCGAGAGCGCCAGAGGACGCCATGGGCTCCACATCCACTTGGATTCCAGGGAGTAAGCCTCTCGACTTCAGGAGTAAGCAAGGCCAACCGTTTGGTTTGAGCCTGTTGCTTCTAAGAAAAGCGAGGAAAAATCCTGAGACCTCCTCCCCTCGCCCTTCATCCACTTCAGGGGACCGAGTGTCTCCACGGAACTTCACAAGGGAGGAAAAGAGTGAACTCATTATTATTTGTCTTGTCTTCGTTTCAGAGGCGGTACATCTACGAAAGCCCTAATCATAGAGGGAAAGACTCCTCGTTCCTGGCCCAGAAATGAGATGAGAAATCCAGGGCCCCGTACAGGAAGGCCTTTCGCAAAGTCCAGACTCAATTGCCTTCGCAGCCCTTAAAGTTTCCTTAGGAAGGTCTGTGGGAGAACGAGGTTGGTTTAGGAATTGGCCCCTGCCTTGTACTACGTAGTTTTGTCATCCAAAGTGTTTTAGAAGTGAATTGAATCATAGTTACGCCTTATTTTGAAACACTGTAATTCAGAGAACGTAAAACCTTATTAAAATGCCTCATAATCATCTTGGTAGAGCCGTTGGTTAAGCGGGAGAGACAGTTGCCTCCTTAGCGCAGTAGGCAGCGCGTCAGTCTCATAATCTGAAGGTCCTGAGCTCGAACCTCAGAGGGGGCAAGGCGTCTGTTTTGCCATTTTACTTCTTCTTGATCCAAAATGAGTAAGACAACAAAGGAAGTTGACAAAACGTTGTTCTTTCTCTGCTTTCTCTATAGAAAAGTGTACAATATGTCTGGTAAGGGAAAAAAAAATCTAAGGACATTGCTTTGATGGAACAGAACGGGTAATTGCTGTTTAATAGAACCATGTTCAGTTACAAAACAGTGATTTTCACTAAGAATTAAATTCTCCAAAATTCTCATCTCCCCTCCCGCCCTGCATACCAATTGGAGATAGAGCTGGTAGCATTTTCAAATGTTTTTCAGATATGCTTGGCAATTGTCTTTGTTTTAACAACACCAGAGTCAAGAAACTTGCCAGTTTTAGAGTGCTGAGATAAGAAAAAGTGGGTGGAGGGTTGTACTAGGGGTGTGGAAGGTATAGAATCTAATTATCAATTACTGACTTGGTTATCTTTTACCATTCTTCTGGAATGGCTTACCACCAGGTTGCCACCAATAACATTCCATATGAAAAAAGAAAGGAAACAAAAAACTGACAAAAAACTCCCCCCTCAGTCTCATTGCATTGGACCTTTTCTCTTGCTTCCAGTCCTGTTGACTGGATCTAAATCATCCAAACTACCAGATGCAGGAAGGGGTAAAAAGAGAAACAAGAAGTGAAGAAGATAGGCTGATATTTACAGTCAAGATGAGCCCCTGACTCAAATAATAATGAGCAAGACTGATCATTAATGTCCTGCTCTTGAGTCCTACTTTGTTCCAAGCTGTGTTCCTATTAATCCATTCCCTCTCAGCTTTAAAATCACCCTTATATACTTTGTTTTGTGACATTGGGGCTGGGCGCCTGCAAATGATATTTCCCAAACTCCTTTGCCCATTGGCTTCCTCTTGTGTTCTGTCAATAAGAGGAACCAGAAAGAGACTAGAAAGCAAGAGGAGAGAAGCAGGGGCTGCTTTCTAAATTTTGTTCTTCCTGTCAGGTCACTCCAACAATGGCAGTTGAATCCCATCTCTATTTGTTCTCTTCATGCATTCCAGAATGTCTCACTGTCCATTACATAAGTAAGTAGTAGTCCAGCTGCAGCGCGTCCTCTTTAGCACTCCAGGATGCCTTTCCTCAGTGGTCTCAACCTCTTCCTTTTTGTTCTTCCAGCCCTACAAGGTGGTAGCTACTTCCCAGTAGTTATCACCTCTGAGTTACCATGGTGTGCCCAGTTGAAATACCTAGTCTTATTCCTTTTTTTTTGAGACAGAGTCTTGTTCTGTCACCCAGGCTGGAGTGCAGTGGCACAATCTCAGCTCGCTGCAACCTCTGCCTCCCGGGTTCAAGCGATTCTCCTGCTTCAGCGTCCCAGGTAGCTGGAATTACAGGCGCCCGCCACGACGTCCAGCTAATTTTTGTATTTTTACCAGAGACGGGGTTTCACCATGTTGGCCAGGCTGGTCTTGAACTCCTGACCTCAAGTGATCTGCCCGCTTCGGCCTCCCAAAGCGCTGGGATTACAGATGTGAGCCACCGTGCCCAGCCTTATTTCTTAACTAGACCCTGAACCACACATAGGGGGTGCAGGGATAGCACTCCACACAACAGAAAAAGCTTCTGCTCTCATGGAGTTTACATTTTAGTGGGGAATGATAAAGAATAAATTCAACCAGATATATAAAATGTGAAGTAGTGATACATGCCATGAAGGAAAAGAGCAAGAGAATGGAGAACAAAGGGGAGGGGATTGCTTTATAATAAAGGGTGACCAAGGAGGCCTTCCTGATAAGGAGGCATCTGAACAGAGACTTGAAGGAAGTGAGTGAGTGAGCTGTGAGGCTATCAGGGAGAAGAGAATTTCAGGCCAAGGGAACAGTAATTACAAAAGGCTTGGCAGGAATGCCATTGGCATGTTCAAGGAACGAAGGAGGAGACTAGTGCAGCTGTAGGTCAGTAAACAAGGGAGAACTTGATAGGAGATGAGGGGGTTAGATACACATAGACCCTACAGGATGCACATAGATCATGCAGGGTCTCAGAGGTCATGATCATGTTCAGAGAGGGAATTCGCTGCATAGGGGAGAGAAAAGACAACAGTGATTTAAGTTGTGGAGGTCAGCCAGACCTTGAGAATATTCTGATTCATGAGTCTGAGATAGAATCTGTGAATCTTTTTTTTTTTTTTGAGATGGAGTTTCACTCTTGTTGCCCAGGCTAGAGTGCAATGGCACGATCTCGGCTCACGGCAACCTCTACCTCCTGGTTCAAGCGATTCTCCTGCCTCAGCCTCTGGAGTAGCTGGGATTACAGGCATGCGCCACCACGCCCGGCTAATTTTGTGTTTTTAGTAGAGATGTGGTTTCTCCATGTTGGTCAGGCTGGTCTCGATCTCCTGGCCTCAGATGATCCATGCACCTGGGTCTCCCAAAGTGCTGGGATTACAGGTGTGAGCCACTGCAACTGGCCTGAATCTGAGTTTTTAACAGTGACTCCAGGAGATTTGAATGCCATCAGTGTGGCAACATTTTGGAAGCCCCAGTCAAGGACTTACTCGGCCTATATTCATTTATCCTATGTTGACCGTCTCTGGAGAGATCATTTCCTCCCAAAATTCTCCTCATTTTTGTTTAGTCATCCAGGGCTTGCTTACTGGTTAAAACTAGGAGCACTTGCCTCATCAAGAGCAGAATAAATGTTCTATGCTTCCCAGAGAACTCTCAAAAGCTACAAGGTGCCATTTCCTATTCTGCTTTATTTCTAATTTTTCTTTTTTCTTTCTTTCTTTTTTTTTTTTTTTGAGATGGAGTCTTGCTCTGTCACCCAGGCTGGAGTGTAGTGGTGTGATCTCGGCTCACTGCAACCTCTGCCTCCCAGGTTCAAGTGATTATTTTGCCTCAGACCCTTGAGGTAGCTGGGACTACAGTCATGCACCACCACACCTGGCTCATTTTTGTGTTTTTAGTAGAGATGCGGTTTCATCATGTTTGCCAGGCTGGTCTGGAACTCCCGACCACAATTGATTTGCCCACCTCTGCCTCCCAAAATGTTGGGATTACAGGTGGGAGCCACTGGCCTCGCCCTGTTTTGCTTTATTTCTGCCTTTCCCTGTAAAGAGCTTTTCTTGGTAAATAAGCAGCTGAGACATCTTGACACCTCCTGCCCTCCAGGTTCCCAGGGGCAGTCTGGGCCCAAGTTTTCTTTCTTCTAGCTGTTCCCCAGTTTCTCTGCATCATTCCTCCCCACTGCCATGTCTCGATGGCCTTCTTCTGCACAATGGCCTAATTTATGTTTTTGCATCACCTCTTCCTCCATTCTGACTCATTCTTTACATAAAGCCAGTGTACTCTTAAAAGTAATCTCATCATGTCATTTCTTCCTGCTTAGAATTCCCAGTGGCTTCACATTGCTGCTAGGGTGCAGTCAGCTCTCTGCACTACTAGCCATAACCTCTGAGCCTGTGAGTCACTGGTCTGTCCCTGCCTTCCTGTCCACCTCAGACCCCACCTTCATGAACACTCTCTTGAGCTCTCTGTACACAAGCTGCTCAGGCCTTCTCTCAGGTGTCTGGAAGTGTTCTGCTCTTTAATCTCCCTGGAATGCTGGAATCACATTTTTGTCCAACTAGGCCTTTAGTTTTCAGTTTAAACATCACTTCCTGGGAGAAGTCTTCTCTAATCCCCTGGAAGAGGTCATCTCCCTTTATAATCCATGCTCTTGAAGATAGAGGGCAGGGTGTGATTTACAGTGTGCGATTTACAGTGTGCATTATTTTGTCTCACCTTACTTTTCTCTATGTTCCCTTTATCTTGATTTAAATTAACATTTTTCACTTTATCTTACAGTATAGTTGTGTAAATAACCTCGAATCTGTTTTTCAATAGTAGCATAAATAAATGCACGATCAGAAATGTACCACATGACAACCATTGTGCTAGACCTAGCCTTTGAGGGATTTCTGCTGTGAGATTAAAGTGGTCAAGAGATTAACAAACTTGTCTAAAGTGGCACAAGCAAAATGGTTAAAATACAGTGTTCTAAATGATCCACTTTACAATAAGAATAATTGTGATAACACCTAATTTTCATGGAAATGTCACCAAGCGTTTGCTTACATTATCTCGTTTAATTTGCAAAGTAAGGTCATGAGATTTTGCTTGTTTTTCCTCAACATTTTGTAACCTGAACGTTTTCTCAAGAGCATGTGTTACAGTGACTGTTTAAACAGTGTAATTTGTCGTTTAACGGCTGCTTTTCACTTGTAAAATATGAACGCCCCAAGGGCTGAGGTAGTGTGTCCCGAATTGGTGGGTTCTTGATCTCACTGACTTCAAGAATGAAGCCACGGGCCCTCGCGGTGAGTGTTACAGCTCTTAACGTGACGTGTCTGGAGTTTGTTCCTTCTGATGTTCCCATGTGTTAGGAGTATTCTTCTTTCTGGTGGGTTCGTGGTCTCGCTAACTCAGGAGTGAAACTGCAAACCTTCGGAGAGAGTATTACAGCTCTTAAGACAGCACGTCTGGAATTGTTCGCTCTTCCTGCTGGGCTTGCGCTTTCGCTGACTTCAGGAAAAAAGCTGCAGACCTTCACGGTGAGTCTTACAGCTCATAAAAGCAATGTGGACCCAAACAGTAACCAGTCGCAAAATTTATTGCAAAGAGCAAAAAAAAAAACAACACTCTACAATATGGAAGAAGAGCCGAGCGGGTTGTGGATGCTGGCTCCGGCAGCCTGCTTTTATTCTCTTAGCTGGCCCCACCCACATCCTGCTGATTGGTAGAGCCGAGTGGCCTGTTTTGACAGGGTGCTGATTGGTGCATTTACAATCCCTGAGCTAGATACAAAGGTTCTCCACGTCCCCACCAGATTAGTTAGATACAGAGTTTTGACACACAGGTTCTCCACGGCCCCACCAGAGCCGCTAGATACAGTGTCGATTGGTGCACTCACAAACCCTGAGCTAGACACAGGGTGCTGATTGGTGTGTTTACAAACCTTGGGCTAGATACAGAGTGCCGATATGTGTATTTACAATCCCTGAGCTAGACATAAAGATTCTCCACGTCCCCACCAGACTCAGGATCCCAGCTGGCTTCACCCAGTGGATCCCGCACCGGGGTTGCAGGTGGAGTTGCCTGCCAACCCCACGCCATGCGCTCGCACTCCTCATCCCTTGGGTGGTCGATGGGACTGGGTGCCGTGGAGCAGGGGGCGGCGCTCGTCGGGGAGGCTCGGGCTGCACAGGAACCCACGGAGGCGGGGGAAGGCTCAGGCATGGCAGGCTGCAGTCCCGAAGCCTGCCCCGCGGGAAGGCAACTAAGGCCCGGCGAGAAATCGAGCGCAGCGCCGGTGGGCTGGCACCTCTGGGGGATCCAGTACACCCTCTGCAGTCGCTGGCCCGGGTGCTAAGTCCCTTATTGCCCGGGGCCGGCAGGGCCTGCCGGCTGCTCCGAGTGCGAGGCCCGCCAAGCCCACGCCCACCCGGAACTCCAGCTGGCCCGCAAGCGCCGCATGCAGCCCCGGTTCCCGCTCGCGCCTCTCTCTCCACACCTCCCTGCAAGCTGAGGGAGTGGGCTCCGGCCTTGGCCAGCCCAGAAAGGGGCTCCCACAGTGCAGTGGTGGGCTGAAGGGCTCCTCAAGTGCCGCCAAAGTAGGAGCCCAGGCAGAGGAGGCGCCCAGAGCAAGCGAGGGCTGTGAGGACTGCCAGCACGCTGTCACCTCTCAGTAGTACTTCTCCACTGCAGGAAACCCGGGGCAAAGCTGAGAGCCTTGCTCAAAATAAGTTCTCAAAACCTATTTTTTTTTTTTCTGGAGTCTCACTCTGTCACCAGGTTGAAGTGCAGAGGCAAGATCTCGGCTCCCTGCAACCTTCGCCTCCCGGGTTGAAGCGATTCCCTTGCCTCAGCCTCCCGAGTAGCTGGGACTACAGGCGTGCGCCACCACGCCCGGCTAATTTTTTTGTATTTTAGTAGAGACGAGGTTTCACCATGTTGGCCAGGATGGTCTAGATTTCCTGACCTTGTGATCGCCCGCCTCGGCCTCCCAAAGTGCTGAGATTACAGGCGTGAGCCACCGCGCCCGTGTGCCAGGTGTTCTTAAGGTCGCAGGGAAGACTGGAGCATAACCTTTGAAGACTAAAGACAAGACAAACCCGGCGATTACGTCTGTAGTTATACATTGCTTTTACAAGTAATTGTTTGGAGTACATTACACAAAGATGGGAGTTAATTTTTTCCATGAGTTGGGGACAAAAATAACTGTGAGCCATATTCAAAGTGGGCAAAAGCATAGATGGGAATAAAGAAAAGGAACATGGATAGGATTTAAGTTGGACGATATCAAGTTTCTGCACCTTTTTACTCACTAGAATGTGCAGGAAGAAGGCTTTTGCAGGGAGCCCGGATAGCTCAGTCGGTAGAGCATCAGACTTTTAATCTGAGGGTCCAGGGTTCAAGTCCCTGTTCGGGCGGGAGTGGTGGCTTTTAGTACCTGATTCTGGTATCATGTTTGAAAAAGCCAAAAAGGATACTATCGTTTTATAGGGACAGATTTCATATACTGCAAAAATTCACCAAACCCTGTAGAACCCCAAATTTTAAACCACGAATAGGCGAGTAACTCTGATGCCAAATAAAAGTAGTAAGGTGAATACATGGGCCCTCTACAGTGAGATAGCCCCAGATTTTCTGAAGAAAACTAACATTTAAGGACAACCTTAGAATACGAAGTATTTAATATTTTATGATTCCTGTTACTCTGCTTACAGGTGCCAAAGTAATCTTCTGTTGTTACTTGCTTTCCAGTGCAGAGTTTATTTTACGTAGGAGGGAATATACTGATCAATTATCAAGAAAGTTATAATATGTTCATATTCTGGCTTGGCATATTTCTGGCATTTAGTTACCGTGAGTCAGCCCTGCAAGTCTTAAAAACTCTAGGTGAATTTAAAAATAGTTTCCGGCCGAGCGCTGTGGCTCACGCCTGTAATCCCAGCACTTTGGGAGGCCGAGGCGGGCGGATCTCGAGACCATCCTGGCCAACACGGTGAAACCCCGTCTCTACTAAAAATACAAAAATAATTAGCTGGGCGTGGTGGCGGGCGCATGTAGTCCCAGCTACTCGGGAGGCTGAGGCTGGAGAAGGGCGTGAACCCGGGAGGTAGAGCTTGCAGTGAGCCGAGATTGCGCCACTGCACTCCAGCCTGGGCGACAGAGCGACTCCGTCACAAAAAATAAAAATAAAAATACATAAAAATAATTTCTGACGGGGCGCGGTGGCTCACGCCTGTAATCCCAGCACTCTGGGAGTCCGAGGCGGGCAGATCACCTGCGGTCAGGAGTTCGAGACCAGCCGGGCCAACATGCTGAAACAGTCTCTACTAAAAATACAAAAATTAGCCGAGAGTGGTGGTACGCGCCTATAATCCCAGCTACTTGGGAGGCTGAGGCAGGAGAATAGCTTGAACCAGGGAGGCAGAGGTTGCAGCGAGCCGAGATCGCACGGCTCCACTCCATCCTGGTAGACAGAGGGAGACTCAAAATAAATAATACAAATAAGTAAATAAAATAAAAATAGTGTCTGATTCTGCAAAGGAGAGGAACAGACTCTGAATTGTGATGGCTCCAATAAGGATAAAGCAGTCTCTGGAGAGCTGCCTGAACAGCCAGACAACCCAGCTCTTAGGCTTCTCCCAAATCTTTAACAGCATTTCCTTAACTGTGGTAGATGCAGGCTCCTGGAACCAGAGGCCTAGGGTCCAGACGAAATTGTTAAGATGTTCCCTATAAAACGCTTCCTTAAGTCGGCAACAGAATGAACTGTTAAGAGAGCTGTCCTGAAATACAGACCCCTGAGGTCCAGACATGTTGGAGGAGAGCCCTCTCTTTTTGCAGCACGGACTGGGCCAGAGAGGTATAGCCTGCAAGATGAATTTCAGTATGTGTAACTGCTGGGGTGATGATTGCAAGTAATCTAAGTTTGAGATGTTGATTGTGTGGAATAAGATAGTGACAAGAAGCATGGAAAGAAAACCATAACATTTAATATGCAAATTAAATGATTGATTTGAGAAATACTTGTTTATCAGATACCGTGCTAGGCACTGAAAATATAGAACTGGATAAAACAAATTCAGTCTCTAACGGAATTTACAGTCTAGGAGGATGGGTGGGCAACAGACAATAAAAACGTTAAAAAATAAAAGAACAAGGAAACTTTATATAGTAAAAAATTCTATGAAGAAAATAAAACAGCTTGAGGTTGATGTGATGGGAGGTTGGTGAGTGAAAGAAGGGATGGTGTGTTGGTTTCCTAGGGCTGCCACAACAAATTGAATATCAGGTTTTCATCTGTCTATTCATTTTTTCAATAAATTAAGTTGCACCAGTAGAAGGATACTGTCCCACGAGGGAATTGAGGTCAGAAGAACTCGGAGAAAACAGCAAGCCCACTGGAAAGAGATGATACTCATAAGAAGAACTAAAAGAGATTTACTAGAACTTGATAAGCCGTCGGGACAAAGAGAGCTGAGACTTCGTCTGTCTGACAACATATGCCGGGCCCGGCAATTATAGAGATAATTGTATACTGAACAAATAGGGTTATTTGTGGAAGTTGGGGACAAAATGGCAGCTGCCCCCTCTGAGGTTCGAACTCAGGACCTTCAGATTATGAGACTGACGCGCTGCCTACTGCGCTAAGGAGGCAGACAACTAGTGCTCCTCAGCAGGTGTTTTCAACACTGATTTTTACCTTATTTAAACATTTTTGTCTACATTACCTTTATTTTAAATTTCTAAAATAAAATATTCTTATGAAACTTCTCAAAGCTCACCAGCTTCCAAAACCTGAATCAGATGAAGAAAGTCGCTGCTGATCCCGCTGCTTTTGCCCCTCTTATTCTGAACTGATGACCCCCCACTTCTCACCTTAGGTGGAAAATTTCCAAAACGTCCTGTCCAGAAACCTGACAATTAACCTGCACGGGCGTCCATCCATTTTGTCTGGAGAGATCAGGAAAACGGCCTGTTTTTCTCTCTCCCTCCATACCGGTTCTTTCCCGCAGGAAAAGTGATCCGGTGTTTCCCATCCGGAAGCATTGAAGCGTTTACTATCTTAAACAACAAAACAATGTCCTTTGACAGGCGTCTCCACCTGTCGCTATCTCATGTGCTCAAACGTCTTGTAAGGCCGTCTTAATGTACAGCAAACTTCTTGTAAGGCCGTCTTAATGTACAGCAAACTCCTTGTAAGGCCGTCTGTTTTAAAAAAATACCTCCCTAAGTCCCACTGGCTTTTCAACCCACTGCAGTCTTCCCCAATCACGTCTCCGTCTCGGTCTTGAGGAAGTCCAAAGGGATTTGGACAAATGCAACTTCATGGGGTAAAGAATATGGCGCTCTTGGTGCAAACTCTTGGGCATCTGCTAGGATGTGAGAACGGTAGTAATAGCAGGAAGGGGTGAAAAGCTTGTCTTCTCCACTGTCTTTGTTTGCCAGGGGATTGTCTGGAGTTTAGCACTCAAAGACCCACTTCCCAGGAAAACCCTACCTGGGATGTGAAAAGTCCGGGCTTTCGGTTTTTGGCGATAGGTTGGAGAGAATATATACACACAAAAAGTGACAACCCCATCCTTGTTCCCACCCCTGCCCCAGGGCCGAAAGCAACACTGATTTTATTGCCAATGGATAATAGGGTTTAGGTTATCCCACTTTTGTAGTTGTCGCCGTTTTTCCCCTGTCCGCTGATGGTGACAACCTTGCACCGTGCATCGCTCTGAGTGAGGCGACTTAAATGCGCGATGTTACCGTTTTCAGCCGTGACCGTAGCACTCGGTCTTTGACTGTAGACTGTTGTGTCTACATAGTGCTAGTTTGTATTGCTAGTTTAATTTTTTTTTTTTTTTTTGAGACGGAGTTTCGTTCTTGTCGCCCAGGCTGGAGGGCAACGGCGTGATCTTGGGTCACTGCAACAGCTGCCTCCAGGGTTCAAGCGATTCTCCTGCCTCAGCCTCCCGAGTAGCTGGGATTACAAGCCTGCACCACCACGCCCGGCTAATTTTTTGTATCTTTAGTAGAGACGGGGTTTCACCATGTTGGCCAGGCTATTCTGGAACTGCTGACCTCAAGTGATCCGCCCGCCTCGACCTCGCAAAGTGCTGGGATTACAGGCCTGAGCCACCGCGCCCGGCCTTAGTTTAATTTTTAACATTGTGAATATTATGGCCAGATTTTTAGAGTTTAGATAACGAAAACGAGAACGATTATCATGCGAACGCCAGCATAACCCAGATAGCACTGAAAAAGTCTAAGTAGACTGTTACTTCAATGACAGATAGAAGGACACATACAACCGGATTTGGAGAATAAATAATCAAAACGGAGCATACTACGCAATATTCAAAACAGATTTGGATGTGAAAGTACACAGGGAGACGGCATCTCTCAAGTCTGGGATGAGACAGGCAAGAACTTCTGAACCAATCAAAAGTGTTTTTGTCTCCCAAAAGTGACACCAGCGCTCTGTAGAGAATAGCATTGGGCTTGCTTACAAGGAGACCTTAAAAAAAGTTAAAATTAAATAAAAGAAAATGGTATTGGGCAGAATATTAGAAAAGAACACGCATTATTTTATGGCTTCCTTAATTACTCTATTTCCTGATTCAGAGGTTGCATCTCGTGGGTGAACAAGAGGAAATTCTGATACCACATATTGGTCTCTTGCAGTGTACAGCTGATTCTATCAGACGACCTTGCTCTCTACAACATAATGATGTGTCAAATCCACCTCAACCATTAAAAAAAAAGTTTCCCTTAGCTCTTACATACTTTGATTTGAAACATGATGTTGAAAATCATCTTTCCTGGTATGCATGAAGACTTAATGAAACCACTTGAAGCATAAACAATCATTGATATGTTGGTCAACTACAAGTTAGATCTTGCTCATCTATCTGCATATTTGGCAGACAGTGCAAATGTAAATTTTGGCAAATTCCATTCAGACTATAAACTTTCTACCAAAGAAAATGAAAAGATCTTACATGTGACGTGTTCTGCACATGTTGTTCACAACACTGCTAAGAGGCCGGGCGTGATGGCTCACGCCTGTAATCCCAGCACTTTAGGAGGCCAAAGCTGGTGGATCACCTGAGGTCAGGAGTTTGAGACCAGCCTGGCTAACATGGTGAAACCCCGTTTCTACTAAAAATACAAAAAATCAACGGGGTGTGGTGGCACATGCCTGTAATCCCAGCTACTCGGGAGGCTGAGGCAGGAGAATCACTTGAACCCCAGAGGCAGAGGTTGCAGTGAGCCGAGATCGTACCATTGCACTCCAGCTTGGGCAACAAGAGCGAAACTCCGTCTCAAACAAAACAAAACAAAACAAACAACACTGCTAAGAAGGATTGTGATTTGTTTACTGGTGATATTGAGGCTTTCATGGCTTAATGAGATTTATGGTCACTTTTTAGTTTCCTCAAAATGTGCAGAAACAATAAGAATTTTCACTTTATAGAAACGAAAGGAGGTAGCCTCCTTAGAAATGTCTAAAGTTGACTATAATTATTGCTGGCCATAGGATAGATGTTAAAATGTTTACTTGGTGTAAAATCATATTTTCAAAATGTGGGACAAGAGGAATGCTATTCTCTAATTTGACAATATTTTAAGAGTGAGAATGGAGAAAAGAACTACCGTAAAACAGAAATTTATACTTTCATTTGTTTGACGTTGTCGAAGAACAAAATTTCAACACACTTAGGTTAAAGATCAGATCAACTTTTATTGGCAATTCATGAATCAGGCAGCATCTCATCTACAAAATAGGAAGGTGCTCTGACGAGGAGATGAGGTTATAGGTAGAAAAGGCTGAAGAAACTACAAACAAGGAACAATAGGTGGATTGGTAATTACAAAGTGACTGTCCTTGTAAGGTTAAAGCAGAGGATACTTCCTTAACATGCTGGCTGAGGTAGTCTGGACCCTTTTCTACTGGTTATTGTGAATCTCCTGTTTTTTGGAAAACTGGCCTGTTTTAAATTTCAGTTTGATTACTTGGCACCCTGCACAAAGGGCTCCCTTCTGGTTTGGTCTGGTCTGTTGGAGCCTAATGCAGGAGTTCATTCCAAAACAATAGCCTCCCATTAATTTTAACAATGTTATGTTATGTAGATTGTGACATAAAGATTCATACACTAAGAAAAGATTCTTTTTTTAAAAAAAAAAGACTGCTTCAGAATGCAAGTTAAATAGGACTTTATCAATCTCTTGCTAAAAATACAATTTATTTGGAATCCAAGCTTTGTTTCCCAAATTTATCATTTATTTATTTCATTTTATTTATTAATTTTTTTGAGATGGAGTCTCCCTCTGTTGCCCAGGCTGGAGTGCTGTGGTGCGATCTCAGCTCGCTGCAACAGTCTGCTATTGCTAGTAAGTAAAATACCGAGTATTCAATGCTCAAATGCTTTTGTTGAGAGGATATTTAGTGTGATTTTATCACACTAGAATGATACCAGGAATCTAAGTAATATGGGCTTGATAAGAGCAGAGCTGCAATTCAAAGTGAATTTTACCTTTGACTGTATTCAGTATTACCACTATATAAAAGAAAATAAAGATGTCTTAAATGTTGCAGACAGGTCACAGAAAGAATATTGGAAAAAGAAACAGAAAGGGTAAAGATACTCGATTGTTTCATGCGACAGAAAGAAATGTCATTATTTTTTATTAAATATAGGTAATATCTGCTTAAGTAGTTTTATTGTAGTTATGTTCTTCTTTTACATTCTTGTTGTATTTTACGTTTTTGTATTTATGTTTTTCATTTATTAATGCGCCTTAAAGTTGAAATAATATAGCCTATGAGACTTAAATATCCAATAGTTTTAAAAAGTTAAAATAAATCACTACATAAGAGAACAGATAGAAATACTAAAAACATATTGTTATATTTTTCCCAAACATATTATTTATGTAATTAGTCCTATTATAAATTACTTCTAATTGCCATTATTAACTACTCCTATTGAGAGGTGACAGCATGCTGGCAGTCCTCAGAGCCCTCGCTTGCTCTCGGCACCTCCCCTGCCTGGGCTCCCACTTTGGTGGCATTTGAGGAGCCCTTCAGCCCCCCCACTGCACTGTGGGAGCCCCTTTCTGGGCTGGCCAAGGCTGGGGTCCACTTCCTCAGCTTGCAGGGAGGTGTGGACGGAGAGGCACGAGCGGGAACCGGGGCTGTGTGCGGCGCTTGCCGGCCAGCTGGAGTTCCGGGTGGGCGTGGGCTTGGTGGGCCCCGCACTCGGAGCAGCCAGCCAGCCCTGCTGGCCCCGGGCAATAGGGAACTTAGCACCTGGGCCAGTGGCTGCGGAGGGTGTACTGGGTCCCCAGCAGTGCCAGCCCACCAGTGCTGTGCTCGATTTCTCGCTGGGCCTTAGCTGCCTTCCACGGGGCAGGGCTCGGGACCTGCAGCCCACCATGCCTGAGCCTCCCATCCACTCCATGGGCTCCTGTGCGGCCCGAGCCTCCCGGACGAGCACCACCCCCTACTCCATGGTGCCCAGTCCCATGGACCACCCAAGGGCTGAGAAATGCGAGCACAGGGCGCAGGACTGGTAGCCAGCTCCACCTACAGCCCCGGTGCAGGATCCTCTAAGTGAACCCAGCTGGGCTCCTGAGTCTGGTGGGGATGTGGAGAGTCTTTATATGTAGCTCAGGATTGTAAATACACCAATCAGCACCCTGTGTTTAGCTCAAGGTTTGTGAGTGCACCAATCGACACTCTGTATCTAGCTGCTCTGGTGAGGACGTGGAGAACCTTTATGTCTAGCTCAGGGATTGTAAATACACCAATCGGCACTCTGTATCCAGCTCAAGGTTTGTAAACACACCAATCAGCACCCTGTGTTTAGCTCAAGGTTTATGAGTGCACCAATCGACACTCTGTATCTAGCTGCTCTGGTGAGGATGTGGAGAACCTTTATGTCTAGCTCAGAGATTGTAAATACACCAATCGGCACTCTGTATCTAGCTCAAGATTTGTAAACACACCAATCAGCACCCTGTGTTTAGCTCAAGGTTTGTGAGTGCACCAATCGACACTCTGGCTGCTCTGGTGGGGCCTTGGAGAACCTGTGTGTCAAAACTCTGTATCTAACTAATCTGTTGGGGAGGTGGAGAACCTTTGTATCTAGCTCAGGGATTGTAAACGCACCAATCAGCGCCCTGACAAAACAGGCCACTGGGCTCTACCAATCAGCAGGATGTGGATGGGGCCAGATAGGAGAATAAAAGCAGGCTGCCCGAGCCAGCATTGGCAATCCTCTCGGGTTCCTTTCCACATTGTGGAAGCTTTGTTCTTTCGCTTTTTGCAATAAATCTTGCAACTGGTCACTCTTTGGGTCCATGCTGCTTTTGTGAGCTGTAAGACTCACCGTGAAGATCTGCAGTTTCATTCCTGAGCCCAGCAAAACCACGAGCCTACTGGGAAAAACAAACAACTCCAGATGCGCTACCTTAAGAGATGTAACACTCACTATGAAAGTCTGCAGCTTCACTCCTGAGCCAGTGAGACCACGAACCCACCAGAAGAAAGAAACTCCGAACACATCTGAACATCAGAAGGGGCAGACTCCAGACCCACCACCTTAAGAGCTGTAATGCTCACCGTGAGGGTCCGTGGCTTCATTCTTGAAGTCAGTGAGACCAAGAACCTACCAATTCTGGACACACCATTATTGTTTTGTTTAAGTAATAACAGTTTTGCAATGGAGAAACAAATATTGCAGAATAATATATAATTTCAAACATCTATTTTTAAAATTTGATGTCAAAGTAATACATGCATTTATTATATAATTGTTGGATTTTTTTTTTGTGGGGGTGGAAAGGTTTGGTATGGCTATGTCTCAGTTGGCTCCCTAAAAAGTTGAACAGCAACAGCAACTGGTTCACCAGTTTGGGGAAACACTATTTATGAAAAGAATAAAGAATTAAGAGGTCTCAGTGAGCTTCAAGGACAACGTCTGGCTTAACAGATAAAAATGGATGGTTTGATAGATAATAATGGTTTATAGGTGATTGGAGGTAACAGGATGATTGCCAATGGCTTTTCCTTCTTTTCAGATACTTATTCTTTGGGTCATGAAACTGCTTCTGCCTGAATAATAAAACAATTTTAGCAACACTGAAGGAAGTTATTATTTCCTTTCTGCTGTGAAAAAAGATTAAAAGAGGTCATCTCATAAACTTGAGGCTGGTATACTTGAGGTCTTTCATTAACATTCAAGGATTTAATATTTGTGAAAGAAGACCCTCAGGGGTCTAATGAGGAACATGTTGTTTTTTTTTAAATTTATTTTTATTATTTATTTATTTATTTATTTATTTTGAGATGGAGTCTTGCTCTGTTGCCCAGGCTGGAGTGCAGTGGAGCCATCTTGGCTCACTGCAAGCTCCGCCTCCCGGGTTCACGCCATTCTCCTGCCTCAGCCTCCCAAGTAGCTGGGACTACAGGCGCCCGCCACCACACCTGGCTAATTTTTTTGTATTTTTAGTAGAGACGGGGTTTCACCGTGTTAGCCAGGATGGACTCGATCTCCTGACCTCGTGATCCACCTGCTTCGGCCTCCCAAAGAGCTGGGATTACAGGCGTGAGCCACTGCGCCTGGTCGGAATGTGTTTTCATGAAGGGGGAATATCAACTGGGCCAAATGACATTGAGAGGCTGAGCAAATTGAAGCCTGAAAATTGAACATTGGGAGAGCATTGGGAACATTATGGCAGACGGGAGACAGGACTAGATTGCACCTCTTACTTCAATGGACGGAGCAGCGTGTGGAGGCCCTCATCATGAATTTTAACTCCAGAACGACTTCAGGAATAAATCCGGAAACCCGAGAGGACCCACGGACCCTCTGAAGGAAGCAGATTGCTCCTGTAGGACCTGGGAGACACCTCAAATACTGTGAGTGCCCAAACTGTGGAAGTGAGAAAGGGAGATCCTCCGCCCCCGAGCACACACCCCCACTGGGGAAACTGAAGGTCTACTTTACGGGAGAAGATTCTGAATTTATCTGGAGCTGAGTCAATTTAGAGAGCCAAGGGAAATACAGGGGTAGAGGAATCAATTGGACAGGCCCTGTGAGCTTGCTGGGTCCCCAAGTAGGCCACTCCTGCTGGCATCACAGGGATCCTTTGGGAGGGCAGCCAGAGGCACAGGGAAAATGGCACAGGAAGAAGGAAACCTCCAGCTGAGCTTTGTAACAATTTGAACTAGTCAAGAAACCTCATGGCCAGAACTTGGGGGAGGGCATGAATCCAGCATGCAGACTCCACAGGTAGGGGAAGAACTAAAACCCTACTTTCTTTCACAGCTGGGAGGCGGGTAGCCTGGGGCAAATTCTCAACTCTTCTTGCCCACTGCCTGGAAACAGATTTGGTGCTGTTAGGGGAGGCACAGTGGGAGTGAGACTGGCCCTTCAGATTGCATGGGAGCTGGGTGAAGCCTGTGACTGCTGGCTCTCCCCCACTTCCCTGACAACCTACATGACTCAGCAGAGGCAGCCAAAATCCTTCTAGGTACATAACTCCATTGACCTGGGAACCTCCCCTCCTCCACAGCAACCGCAGCAAGACCCACCCAAGGAGAGTCTGAACTCAGACACGCCTAGCCCTGCCCTCACCTGATGGTCCTTCTTTACCCACCCTGATAACTGAACACAAAGGGCATATACCCTTGGGAGTTCTAGGGCCCTGCCTACCGCTGGTTCATCTCCATACTACCACAGTTGATGTTCTCTGGAAAGTGCCACCTACCAACAGGAGGCCAACCAGCACAAAAATAGAGCATTAAACCACCAAAGCTAAGAACCGTCACGGAGTCCATTTCACACCCTGCCACCTCCACTGGAACAGATGCTGGTATCCAAGGCTGAGAGACCCATAGATGGTTCACATCACAGGACTCCGTGAAGACAACCCCCAGTACCAGCTCACAGCCTGGTAGACTTGCTGGGTGGCTAGATCCAGAAGAGAGATAACAATCATTACAGCTTGACCCTCAGGAAGCCACATCCATAGGAAAATGGGGAGAGTACTACATCAAGGCAACACCCTGTGGGACAAAAGAATCTGAACAACAGTTTTAGCCTTAGACCCTCCCTCTGACAGAGCCTACCCAAATGAGAAGGAACCAGAAAACCAACTCTGGTAATATGACAAAACAAGGCTCTTTAACAACCCCCAAAAATCACACTAGCTCACTAGTAATGGATCCAAACCAAGAAGAAATCCCTGATTTACCTGAAAAAGGATTCAGGAGGTTAGTTACTAAGCTAATCAGAGAGGCACCAGAGAAAGGTGAAGCCCAACACAAAGAAATCCAAAAAATGATACAAGAAGTGAAGGGAGAGACCAGGTGCAGTGGTTCATACCTGTAATCCCTGGGAGGCTGAGGTGGGCAGATCATTTGAGGTCAGGAGTTTGAGGTCAGCCTGGCCAACATGGTGAAACTCCATCTTTACTAAAAATACAAAAATTACCTGGGTGTGGTGGCGTGCACCTGTAATGCCAGCTACTTGGGAGGTTGAGGCAGGAGAATCACTTGAACCTGGGAGGCGGAGGTTGCAATGAGCTGAGATCATGTCACTGCACTCCAGCCTGAGCAACACAGTGAGACTTCGTCTCGAAAAAAAAAAAAGTGAAGGGAGAAATATTCAATGAAGCAGATAGCATAAATAAAAAACAATCAAAACTTCAGGAAACATTGGACACATATATAGAAATGCAAAATGCTCTGGAAAGTCTCACCAATAGAATTGAACAAGTAGAATAAGGAAATTCAGAGCTTGAAGGCAAGGTCTTTGAATTAAACCAATCCAACAAACACAAAGAAAAAAGAAAAAGAAAATATGAACAAAGCCTCCAAGAAGTCTGGGATTATGTAATGACCAAACCTAAGAATAATTGGCGTTCCGGAGTAAAAAGAGAAATCTAAAAGTTTTGAAAACGTATTTGGGGGAATAATCGAGGAAAACTTCCCTGGTCTTGCTAGAGGCCTAGACATCCAAACACAAGAAGCACAAAAAACACCTGGAAAATTCATCACAAAAAAGATCATTGCCTAGGCACATTGTCATCAAGTTATCTAAAGTTAAGGCAAAGGAAAGAATCTTCAGAGTTGTGAGACAAAACCACCAGGTAACCTATAAAGGAAAACCTTCAGATTAACAACAGATTTCTCAGCAGAAACCTTACAAGCTAGAAGGGATTGGGGCCCAACATTCAGCCTCCTCAAACAAAACAATTATCAGCCAAGAATTTTGTATCCTGCAAAACTAAGCATCTTATATGAAAGAAAGATAGTCTTTTTCAGACAAACCAATGCTGAGAGAATTTGCCACTACCAAGCCACCACTACAAGAACTGATAAAAGGTTCTCTAAATCTTGGCCAGTCGCGGTGGCTCACACCTGTAATCCCAGCACTTTGGGAGGCCGAGGCGGGTGGATCACCAGGTCAGGAGATCGAGACCATCCTGGCTAACACGGTGAGACCCCCGTCTCTACTAAAAATACAAAAAATTAGCCAGGTGTGGTGGCGGGCACCTGTAGTCCCAGCTACTCGGGAGGCTGAGGCAGGAGAATGGCGTGAACCCAGGAGGCAGGGCTTGCAGTGAGCCGAGATGGCGCCACTGCACTCCAGCCTGGGCGACAGTGCAATACTCCGTCTCAAAAAGAAAAAAAAAAAAGCGGAGGAAAACGGCATTTCATTCAAACGGACAATAAAATTGAGCAGGCGTAGCTATTCTTATATCAGACAAAACAAACTTTAAAGCAACAGCAGTTAAAAAAGACAAAGAGAGACATTATATAATGGTAAAAGGCCTTGTCTAACAAGAAAATATCACAATCCTAAACATGTGTGCACCTATGATTGAAGCTCCCAAATTTATAAAACAATTACTTAATAGCCCTAACAAATGAGATAGATGGCAACACAATAATAGCGAGGGACTTCAATACTCCACTGACAGTACTAGACAGGTCATCAAGACAGAAAGTCAGCAAAGAAACAATGGATTTAAACTATACCTTGGAACAAATGGACTTAACAGATATATACAAAACATTCCATTCAACAACTGCAGAATACACATTCTATTCAACAGCACATGAAACTTTCTCCAAGATAGACCATATGATAGGCCACAAAATGAGGCTCAATAAATTTAAGAAAATTCAAATTATATGAAGCACTCTCTCAGACTACAGTGGAATAAAACTGGAAATCAACTCCAAAAGGAACCTTCAAAACCATGCAAATACATAGAAATTAAATAAGCTGCTCCTGAATGAACATTAGGTCAAAAATGAAATCAAGATGGAAATTAAAAAATTCCTTGAACTGAACGACAATAGTGACAACCTATTAAAACCTCTGGGAAACAGCAAAGGCAGTGCTAAGAGGAAAGTTCATAGCCCTAAACACCTACATCAAGAAGACTGAAAGAACACAAACTGACAACCTAAGGTCACATCTCAAGGAACTGGAGAAACAAGAACAAACCAAACCCAAACACAGCAGAAGAAAGGAAATGACCAAGATCACAGCAGAACTAAATGAAATTGAAACAAACAAACAAAAAAATACAAAAGATAAATAAAACAAAAATCTGGTTCTTTGAAAAGATAAAATTGATAGACCTTTAGCAAGATTAACCAAGAAAAGAAGAGAGAAAATCCAAATAACTTCAATAAAAAATGAAATGGGAGATATTACAGCTGACACCACAGAAATACAAAAGATCATTCAAGGCTGCTATGAATACCTCTATACACATAAACTAGAAAACCTGGAAGAGATGGATAAATTCTTAGAAAGATGCAACCCTCCTAGCTTAAATCAGGAAGAATCAGATACACTGAACAGACAAATAACAAGCAGCGAGATTAAAATGATAACTACAAAATTACCAGGCCAAGCTGGGCATGGTGGCTTATGCCTGTAATCCCAGAATTTTGAGAGGCTGAGGTGAGTGGATCACCTGACATCAGGAGTTCGAGACCAGCCTGGCTAACATGGGGAAACCCCATCTCTACTAAAAATACAAAAAATTAGCTGGGTGTGGTGGTGGGTACCTGTAATCCCAGCTACTTGGGAGGCTGAGGCAACATAATCGCTTGAACCCAGGAGGCAAAGGTGTAGTAAGCCGAGGTCACACCATTGCACTCCAGCTTGGGCAACAAGAGTGAGACTCCGTCTCAAAAAAAAAAAAAAACAAAAAAAAAATTACCAGGTCAGGCATGGTGACCCATGCCTGCAATCTCTTTGGGAGGCCAAGGCGGGTGGATCACCTGAGGTCAGGAGTTGGAGACCAGCCTGGCCAATATGGTGAAACTCTGTCTTTACTAAAAATACAAAATTAGCCGGTGGTGGTGGCGGGCCCCTGTAATCCCAATTACCTGGGAGTCTGAGGCAGAAGAATCCCAATTATCCAGGAGGCGAGGCTGCAGTGAGCCGAGATCATGCCACTGCACTCCAGCCTGGGTGACCGAGCGAGACTCCGTCTAAAAAAGACAAACAAACAAAAAACATTATCAACAAAAGAAGTTCAGTACCAGATGGATTCACAGCAGAATTCTACCAGACATTCAAAGAAGAATTGGTACCAATCCTATTGACGCTATTCCACAAGATAGAGGATGAGGGAACCCTCCCTAATTCATTCTATGAAGCCGGTATCACCCTAATACCAAAACCAGGAAAGGACATAACCAAAAAAGAAAACTACAGACCAATATCCCTGATGAACATAGATGCTCAAATCCTTAACAAAATACTAGCTAACCGAATCCAACAACATATCAAAAAGATAATCCACATTGATCAAGTGGGTTTCATACCAGGATGCAGGGATGGTTTAACATACACAAGTATGTGTGCAATAAATGTGATACACCACATAAACAGGGTTAAAAACAAAAATTACACAATCATCTCAATAGATGCAGAAAAAGCATTCAACAATATCAAGCATCCTTTTATGATTAAAATTCTTAGCAAAATCGGGATACAAGGGACATACCTCAACGTAATAAAAGCCATCTATGACAAACCTACATGCAACATAATCTGAATGGGGAAAAGTTGAAAGCATTCCCTCTGAGAACTGAAACAAAACAAGGATACCCACTGTCACCACTCCTCTTCAACATAGTACTGAAAGTCCTAGCCAGAGCAATCAGATAAGAGAAAGGAAGGGCATCCAAATCAGTAAAGAGGAACTCAAACTGTCACTATTTGTTGATGATATGATTGTTTACCTTGAACACCCTAAAGACTCCTCCAGAAAGCTCCTAGAATGGATAAAAGAATTCAGTAGTTTCTGGATATAAAATTAATGTACGCAAATCAGTAGCTCTTCTATACAGCAACAGCAACCAAGTGGAGAATCAAATCAAGAACTCAACCCCGTTTACAATAGCTGCAAAAACAATTAAAATACTTAGAAATATACCTAACCAAGGAGGAGAAAGACCTCTACAAGTAAAACTACAAAACACTGCTGAAAGAAATCATAGACAACACAAACAAATGGAAACACAACCCTTGCTCATGGGTAGAATCAATATTGTGAAAATGATCAAACTGCCAAAAGCAATCTATAAATTCAATACAATTCCCATCAAAATATCACCATCATTCTTCACAGAATTAGAAAAAAAAATCCTAAAATTCATATGGAATGGAAAAAGAGCCCACATAGCCAAAGCAAGACTAAGCAAAAAGAACAAATCTGGAGGCATCACATTATCTGATTTCAAACTATACTATAAGGCCATAGTCACCAAAACAGCATGGTACAGGTATAAAAATAGGCACATAGACCAATGGAACAGTAGAGATCCCAGAAATAAACCCAAATACTTACAGCCAACTGATCTTCCACAAAGCAAACAAAAACATAATATGGGGAAAGGACACTCTTTTCAACAAATGTGCTGGGATAATTGGCTAGTCACATGTAGGAGAATGAAACTGGATCCTCATCTCTCACCTTATACAAAAATCAACTCAAGATGGATTAAGGACTTAAATCTAAGACCTGAAACTATAAAAATTCTGGAAGATAACATTGGAAAAACCCTTCTAGACATTGGCTTAGGCAAGGATTTCATGCCTAAGAACCCAAAAACAAATGCAATAAAAACAAAGATAAATAGTTGGGACTTAATTAAACTAAAGAGCTTTTTCACAGCCAAAGGACAGTCAGCAGAGTAAACAGACAACTCACAGAGTGGGAGAAAATCTTCACAATCTATACATCTGACAAAAGACTAATATCCATAATCTACAATGAACTCAAACAAATCAGTAGGGAAAAGAAACAAACAATCCCATCAAAAAGTGGGCTAAGGACAGGAATAGACAATTCTCAAAAGAAGATATCCAAATGGCCAGCAAACATATAAAAAATGCTCAACACCACTAATGATCAGGGAAATGCACATCAAAACTACAATGTGATACCACCTTACTCCTGCAATAATGACCATAATCAAAAAAATCAAAAAACAGTAGATGTTGGTGTGGATGCGGTGATCAGGGAACACTTCTACACTGCTGGTGGGAATGTAAACTAGTACAACCACTGTGGAAAACAGTGGGGGAGATTTCTTAAAGAACTAAAGTAGAGCTACCCTTTGATCCAGTAATCCCACTACTGGGTATCTACCTAGAGGAAAAAAAGTCATTAAACAAAAAAGATACTTGAACATGCATGTTTATAGCAGCACAATTCACAATTGCAAAATTGTGGAGCCAACTCAAATGCCTGTCAATCAATGAGTGGATAAAGAAACTGTGGTATATATATACAATGGAATACTACTTAGCAATAAAAAGGAATGAATTAATGGCATTTGCAATGACCTGAATGGGATTGGAGACTATTCTTCTTTTTTTTTTTTTTTTTTTTTTTTTTTTGAGACGGAGTCTGTCTCTGTCCCCAGGCTCAAGTGCAGTGGCATGATCTCGGCTTGCTGCAACCTCTGCCTCCTGGGTTCAAGTGATTCTCCTGCCTCAGCCTCCCAAGTAGCTGGAATTACAGGCGCCTAACACTATGAATGGCTAATTTTTGTATTTTAGTAGATACAGGGTTTCACCTTGTTGGCCAAGCTGGGTTTGAACTGCTGACCTCAGGTGATCTGCCTGCCTCGGTCTCCCAAAGTGCTGGGATTACAGGTGTGGGCCACTGTGCCTGACCTTGGAGACTATTATTTTAAGTGAAGTAATTTAGGAATGGAAAACGAAACATGATATGTTCTCACCAATAAGCTATGAGGATGCAAAGGCATAAGAATGATACAATGGACTTTGGGGGAAGGGTGGGAGGAGAGTGAGGAATAAAATACTACAAATAGGGTGCAGTGTATACTTCTCGGGTGATGGGTGCACCAAAATCTCACAAATCACCACTAAAGAACTTACTCGTGTAACCAAACGCCACCTGTTCCCCAATAACTTATGGAAAAATTCATAAATAAATAAATTAGTTAATTATGAAAAAGAA
Source organism: Homo sapiens (assembly GCF_000001405.40). Lineage (NCBI taxonomy): Eukaryota > Metazoa > Chordata > Mammalia > Primates > Hominidae > Homo > Homo sapiens. The sequence goes on from NT_167248.2 coordinate 233,787, forward strand.
AACTAACCATTGGATCTAGCAAGATGGAGGTTGCTGGGATTTGACAAGGAAGTTTCAGTGGAATGGAGGGGAGGAAACCTTGGTTTAGAGTGTGACAAAGAAAGGAGCGCAGTTAGGAGTATTCTCTATTCATTCACCTATTCATATTCAGATACGCCTTTGCAAAGATTATCACAGTGAGAGAAATCTAACATGGCTCACTCCATCTTGCTTCTTTCTACCTTCACAGGCTGATCATCCTCACTCATTCTTAGGTGTAGGCCAAGCTAACCATTGGAGGAATTTAGTTTATAGTTTAAGTTGGAAGCAAAGATGATAATATCCCTCCTTGTTTGGGGTGCTAAAACTGCCTTTGTAAGACAAATGAAAGACCATAAAATTAGGATTCTGAAAGGGGCCTGAATTCTGCTAAAATGTAGGTATAGTTTCTATAATCCCTTACGGCTCAGGAGTCATGTGGTCAGAGGTCACATGATCTGTGACTTCTCCAGTTGTTCCTATAGATAACATCACTATATAGATCCTAAGATTGGTCTTAAAGATGCTTTTCAGACTTTTGTATTCTACCAACCGACTGACCCCACCTGGATTTGGGACTCACAACTCAACTGATCCTATACCTCCCTCCAACCCTCCACGAGAGGTGAACTCAGCACATGAGGACCGTTTTCCACACCCCTGTGATTGCATCCCCAACCAATCAGCAGCACTCATTCCTTTGTTCCCTGCCCACCAAACTATCCTTGAAAAACCCTAACTTCTAAACCTTCAGGAAGACTGATTTAAGCAATAACTCCATCTTCCACGTGGCTGGCCTTGTGTTAATTAAACTGGTTTTTTTGTTTGTTTGTTTGTTTGTTTTTTACCTCCGAACTTCCTATTGGTCTCCTGCGCCCCAGAGGGTACCCTGCTTTTGCCAACTTGATGTCTCAGAACTTTGGTGTCCTTGGTCTCAGACACCACTTTGCCATCCACTCACTATCGGGCGGGTGGTGGTCTTTCGGATGGTTTGCATGGAGTTGCTGCTGTCCAGGGCATCACGAAGGCTGAAGTCCTCGCCATCTTCCAGCAGGCGGCGGTAGGTGGCGATCTCAGCCTCCAGCTTTACCTTGATGTTCAGCAGGGCCTCGCACTCCTGGGCCTGGCGCTATCCGTCTGCCCCGGTCTGTGTCAGCTCTGACTCCAGGTGCAGCAGGATTCCGCTGAGCTGCTCCATCTGCAGGACATAGCGGGCCTCCACCTCCCTCAAGCTGTTCTCCAAGCTGGCCTTCAGATTTCTCATGGAGTCCAGGTCGATCTCCAAGGACTGGACTGTATATCTCTGCTCCGTGAGCGTCATCTCAGCAGCTCCAACACCGATGGACTGCATGGTGACCACTGTGGTGCACTCTCAATCTGCTGAGGCCAGTGCTTGTCTAGCTCCTCTCGGTTCTTCCAAGACAGCTCGTCTTATTGGGCCCAGATGTCTGCCATGATCTTGGCGAGGTCCTGAGATTTGGGGACATCTACCTCCACGGTCAACCCAGAGATGGCAATCTGGGCTTGTAGGCCTTTTACTTCCTCTTCTTGGTTCTTCTTCAGGAAGAGCAGCTCCTCCTTGAGAGCCTCGATCTCTGTCTCCAGCTGCAGCCGAGTGACATTGGTATCATCAATGACCTTGCGGAACCCATGGATGTCGCTCTCCACAGACTAGCGCATGGCCAGCTCTGTCTCACACTCGACTCTGAAGTCAACAGCAGCAAGTCGGGCATTGTCAATCTGCAGAACGATGCGGGCATTGTCCACAGTATTTGATCTGAGCCCCCAGGTCCTCCATGGTCTTGAAGTAATTTGTCCAGTCTCCGACCTGGCGTCCCTTCTTCTCCAGGTGCTCCCGGATTTTGCTCTCCAGCTTCCGGTTCTTGGTCTCCATGCTTCTCACTCTGTCCAGGTAGGAGGCCAGGCGGTCCTTCAGGCTTTGCATGGTCTCCTTCTCGTTCTGGATGCCTCCCATTCCTGCCAGAACCCCAGCCATCCCTGCCGCCAGGCCTCCAGACCCCATGCCGCCCCAGAAGCTGGTGGAGGGGGACGCGGAGATCCGGGAACCAGAGCCCCCGGCGCCTGCATAGACGCTGGCCGCGCTGCAGACTGGCTGGGAACCGTAGCTGGGCGCCTGGACAGAGCCCAGGGACCGGTAGTTGGTGGAGAAGGTGGAGCGAGTGGTGAAGCTCTTGCTGTCCGGGGAGGAGAGCGAGAGGACAGGACTCAGGCTTTGCTGACGACCAATTAAACTCTTAAACGCAATACCACAGTCTCAGTGAAATGATTTTGTCTGTGCAGGGTGGGGGCAGGAAGAACCTGTCTGGTGATTACATGACCAATGATTGTGAGTGAGACAAAGGTTTTGTAAGCTACTAATGCTGATAATTAATCATGAAATTTAAGTTGTGTAAAGAGGGAAGTAAAGATGTAAGGAGAAAGGAGATGCATTAAATAATTTTCCACTGGGCAAAAGAAAATAAGCTGAAAAAACAGAAGGTGATAATCAGTATAAGAGATGATTGAAATTTACATCTTGGGCTTGGTGCCTGCAGTTTAGGTTAATGTCAAGGTCAAGGGTAGTGTGTTTTTCAAAATGTATATTGTGACACCCTTGTGGCACATGAAGTTAATTGAGTGGATCATGAGTAGAATTTTGATTTTAGTGAAAGAGAATGGAATGCAAAATGTCCCAGTGCATTGCAAATAAATAAGAGTTGTGTTGTAACCTATACTTATATTTTTTATTATGGGTTCCACTAAAAAAGTTTGAAAAACAGAATGGGATATTTAGAAATGAAAAAGTCAAGGACCTGGGGGAGACTAATGGCTGAGGGAATGCATGTCCCCCTGCACACCTGAAACCCATTTACTAGACAAGGTTTGGGAAGCTCTTTGGTGTATCCACTATACAGAAAGGGAAGGAAGACACCATGAGTAAGATTTGTTTCTCACGAGTTTCATATATACCTGGAAAAGGTGAGAAGTCATAGAAGCTGGCTTTTGACAGAATAATGCAGGCACATTTACTGAAACCATGATTTTTAAAGCAGGAAGAAATCATAGTTCTCAAATTAAGGAAAGTGAGCATATTTCTTTCTACAAAAAGACTATCTTAGATTTTATGTCGAAATATACTCGTGGTTGGGCATGACGGCTCATGCCTGTAATCCCAGCACTTTGGGAGGCTGAGATGGGTGGATCACTCGGCGTCAGGAGTTCCAGACCAGAGTGGCCAAAGCGGTGAAAATCCATCTCTACTAAAAACACAAAAAATTAGGCTGGGCACAGTGGCTGACACCTGTAATCCCAGCGCTTTGGGAGGCTGAGGCAGGCAGATCACTTGAGATCAGGCGTTCAAGACCAGCCTGGCCAAAATGGTGAGACCCTCCCCCCACCCCCGACTCCGTCTCTACTGAAAATACAAAAATTAGGTGGTGGAAGTTGAAGTGAGCCAAGATCGCCCCACTGCACTCCAGCCTGGGCAACAGAGCAAGACTCTGTCTAAAAAAAAAAAAAAATATATATATATATATACATATACACACACACACACACATATGTGTACATATATATATATTTGTGCTATTATTTTCTTATCCTTTTTTAAATCTTCCCTTTTCTCCTCATTCTCCTTCCTCTTTCCTCCTCAATTTGTGAGATTTCTAAATACAGAGTCAATTCTTTTTGAGCATGTTAAGGAGAGGATTACTATCAAGCACCCCCATCAGCTTTGTAGGCTTCTTTTCACTGGGCTCCAAATTCAGTCTTGCTGACTCTGGTAACTTCAAAACATTTTAGCATGCAATAGCATTTCTTTGTTTTGTTTTGTTTTGTTTTGTTTTTGAGATGGAGTCTTGCTCTGTCGCCCAGGCTGGAGTGCGGTGGCGCGATCTCGGCTCACTGCAAGCTCCGCCTCCCGGGTTCACGCCGTTCTCCTGCCTCAGCCTCCCAAGTAGCTGGGACTACAGGCGCCCACCACCACGCCCGGCTAATTTTTTGTACTTTTAGTAGAGACCAGGTTTCACCGTGTTAGCCAGGATGGTCTTGATCTCCTGACCTCGTGATCCGCCCGCCTCGGTCTCCCAAAGTGCTGGGATTACAGGCGTGAGCCACCGCACCCGGCTAGCATGCAATAGCATTTCTTCATCTGAATGAAATACTGTGTTAAGGCATCAGACTCAAAGTTCGTTATTCTTTTGTTTTCTTATTTTTTCAAATCTCACGTCTTCAGAAGAAAAGTATCATCTTGGAGAAGACTTGCTGCTTCTGATGGCAGGCGACTAGCATCATCACATCTGCATCCTTTTCAATCTTTTCCTCTCTTTTACTTCCCACATCTTATGACCTTTTTTTTTTTTTTTTGAGACGGAGTCTCTCGCTCTGTTGCCCAGGCTGGAGTGCAGTGGCGCGATCTCGGCTCACTGCAAGCTCCGCTTCCCGGGTTCACGCCATTCTCCTGCCTCAGCCTCCCGAGTAGCTGGGACTACAGGCGCCCGCCACCATGCCCGGCTAATTTTTTGTATTTTTAGTAGAGATGGGGTTTCACCATATTAGTCAGGATGGTCTCGATCTCCTGACCTCGTGATCTGCCTGCCTCGGCCTCCCAAAGTGCTGGGATTACAGGCGTGAGCCACCATACCCGCCCTAAGGGAGTGTAATTTTGTCTAGTTCTGAGTTGTTTTTTTGTTTGTTTGTTTTGTTTTTTTTGAGGCGGTGTCTCTCGCTCTGTCGCCCAGGCTGGAGTGCAGTGGCCTGATCTCGGCTCACTGCAAGCTCCGCTTCCCGGGTTCATGCCATTCTCCTGCCTCAGCCTCCCGAGTAGCTGGGACTACAGGCGCCCGCCACCACGCCCGGCTAATTTTTTGTATTTTTAGTAGAGACGGCATTTCACCATATTAGCCAGGATGGTCTCCATCTCCTGACCTCGTGATCCGCCCACCTCGGCCTCCCAAAGTGCTGGGATTACAGGCTTGAGCCACCGCACTCAGCCTGAGGGAGTGTAATTTTGTCTAGCTCTGAGTTGTTTTTGTTTGTTTGTTTTGTTTTGTTTTGTTTTTTTGAGATGGAGTCTCTCGCTCTGTCGCCCAGGCTGGAGTGCAGTGGCCCGATCTCGGCTCACTGCAAGCTCCGCCTCCCGGGTTCAAGCTATTCTCCTATCTCAGTCTCTCGAGTAGCCGGGACTACAGGTGCCGGCCACCATGCTCAGCTAATTTTTGTATTTTTAGCAGGGACGGGGTTTCAGCATGTAGGCCAGGATGGTCTCAATCTCCCGACCTTGTGATCTGCCCACCTCGGCCTCCCAAAGTGCTGGGATTACATACAGGCGTGAGGCACAGCGCCCGGCCCCGTACTTCCCACATCTTATGAATTCTGTGTCTTCAGTTCTTCTGAGTCTGTTTCCTTTATTCTAATACAAGATTACCACCACCGTTTTACATGAGACTTTTTCCCTCCTCTTCCTTCTCCTCTTTCTGTATCTTTCCTGGATTACTGCAACAGCCTCCAGTTTGGTTGATTTGCTTCTAGCCCTGCTTGTCTCCCATTGTTTCTCTATACAGGGAGTCCCACTGGTGCCCTACAAAAAAAGATTTCCAGAGAAGGTGAATGGGGGCTGAAATATGACCTGAGCACTGAGAGCTAAGAGTCCTGGAGAGAGGACTTTTGACATTTTCCCTTTTCTATGCTTCATCAGCCCTGAGGGTTGTCTTTCTGTAATTCATCCACCAAAATGGCTTACTGTGGCATTTTTTTTTTATTTTATTATTATTTTTTTGACACAGAGTCTCACTGTGTTTCCCAGGCTGGAGTGCAGTGGTGGGATCTTGGCTCACCGTTGTCTCTGCTTCCTGGGTTCAAGCCATTCTCCTGCCTCAGCCTCCCGAGTAGCTGGGATTACAGGCATGCGCCACCATGTATTTTTAGTAGAGATGGGGTTTCACCATGTTGGCCAGGCTGGTCTCGAACTTCCGACCTTGGGTGATCCGCCCACCTGGGCCTCCCAAACTGCTGGGATTAGAGGCCTGAGCCACTGCGCCCAGCCTTACTGTTGCATTATTTGCCCAAAGGCACTCTGTGTGCTAGCTGTGGCTCTGCTTCCACAGAACTGGCAAGAAGAGCTTGCAAAAATACCCGTCATACTGACCTCTCTGTTCAGAACACTTTTCTGTCTCTCCATAGCCTTTTAGGGAAAGCTCAAAGTATTTAGTATTGTCAAGATACGGCTCACAGTTTGTTCTTACTTCCTACCAATATACAAGAGACAATTCCAAATGGAGTGATAGACAGAATAATGCTATTTCCACCCAAAAATATGCCCCTTCTAACCCTTGGAAACTGTAAATATGTTAACTTACATGGCAAAGGGACTTTGAGATGTGATTAAGGTTAGGGAACTTGTGATGGAGAGATGATCCTAATCACTAGAGTCTTAAAAGTGGAAAGAGGAAGCAGAAGAGTAGTTCAGGGAGGTGTGATCTGAGGACGCCATCCACCATTGCTGGTTTTAAAGAGCCCAGCAACACAGCAGCCTTTAGAAGCTGGGAGTGGCCATTAGCTTACAGGCAGCAATAAAACAGAGACTTTGATCCAACAACTGCAAACAACTGAATTTTGCCAATAATCTGAATGAGCAGAAAACAGATTCTCCCTTGGGGCCAACAGAAAGGAATGCAGCCTGCCAATACCTTGATTTTAGCACAGTGAGACCATACCAGACTTCTGTCTTAAAAAACTCTAAATAATAAATTTATGTTTTTTATAACCACTACATTTGTGGTAATGTGTTATGACAGCAATAGAAAACTAACACATGTCTTGAAATGCCAGCCGTTTTACTATTTCTTACAATTCTGTGAATAGACTGGGCTTACCTGGGTGATTCTGCTCCACATGATGTCAGTAAGGACTCCATTCCTCTGAAGGCTTGATTGAGCTAGGGATGTTCAAGATGGCTCACTCACATAACTGGCAGTGGCAGTTGATGTTGCTAGGACCTCAGTCAGTTGAGACTGTGACCCACAGTGCCTAGCCATGGCCTTTTCATGTGGCTTGGGTTTCTCATGGCATGGTGACTGGATTCTGAGAGGGAGCATCCCAAGATTTAGCATTCCAGAAAACCAAGTCAGAAGGTGCAAGATTTCACATGGCTTAGCCCTGGAACTGGCACAGTATCACCTCAATGAAATAATTTTGTTAGGTCAGCCAAGATTCACTGTGGGAATGGACTACAAAAGGGTGTAACGACCGAAAAATATGCTGCATTGAGGTCAGTTTTTGGAGACTGTATACTACACAAAGTAACGATTTTTTCCTTTGTAGCCTCATCTTTATCCTTTTTTTTTGTTTTTTTCAGATGGAGTCTCACTCTGTCACCCAAGCTGGAGTGCAGTGGCACAATCTCAGCTCACTGCAACCTCTGCCTCCAGGGTTCAAGCGATTCTCATGCCTCAGCCTCTCAAGTAGCTGGGATTATAGGTGTGTGCCACCACACCTGGCTAATTTTTGTATTTTTAGTGTGTGTCGGTGGCGGGGGGTCTCACCAAGTTGCCAAGGCTGGTCTTGAACTCCTGACCTCAGGTAATCCTCCTGCCTTGGCCTCCCAAAGTGCTGGGACTACAGGCCTCAGCCACTGCTTCATCTTTTTACTTTGGTCCATGAACCTTTGATTTTCTGCTCAGGTCTACTTGAACTAGGAACTAGTAATTTTCCCAGGCATTCATACCTTTTTAGCTTTGCTTCTGTCAGGACTTGATGGTAAAAATTTTTCCATGCCCTTCTTTATGTGCCTAATTATAGCTTATCTTTAAGACATATTTCAGGTAGCACCTCATCCAGTAAGCCATTCTTGTTCAGATTAGGTGCCTGTATTGGTGATCTTGTACACAGTACCCTGCCCTTACACCTATGGAAGAACTTAGGAGTAAATCTTCACTCTCACTGATTTACTTGTCTCTATTCTTTTTTAAAATTTATTTATTTATTTATTTATTTATTTATTTACTTTTTTGAGACGGAGCCTCACTCCGTCGCCCAGGCTGGAGTGCAGTGGCGCGACCTCGGCTTACTGGAAGCTCCGCTTCCCGGGTTCCCACCATTCTCCTGCTTCAGCCTCCCGAGTAGCTGGGACTACAGGTGCCCACCACCACGCCCGGCTAATTTTTTGTATTTTTAGTAGACACAGGTTTTCACCATGTTAGCCAGGATGGTCTCCATCTCCTGACCTCGTGATCTGCCTGCCTCGGCCTCCCAAAGTGCTGGGATTACAGGCGTAAGCCACCAGGCCCGGCCGTCTTCTATTCTTTAACAGGCCATAAGCTCCTTAGAGGAGTGCATTTTGTACTCTCAGATTCCCCAGGTAGACCTACTGTATATGGCACAGAAAAGGGTCTCAGTTAATGTTGGCTGACAGAAGGAGTGATTGAACAATTATCTGTACATATTTACCACTTACACAAGGTGGAAATGCACCCAACATGAAATCGTACAAATGTCATGGCTTCCACCATGGAAAAAATTATGTATGCGTGAGGACAAGAGCTAAAAAACAAGAAAGAAAATGTCTAGAGTCACTTGTGAGGCTGGAACTGTGGTTTTCTTTCTTTCCTTTCTTTCTTTCTCTGTTTCTTTCCTTTCTTTCTTTCTTCCTTTCTTTCTCTTTCTCTCTCTTCTTTCTCTCTCTCTTTCTTTCTCTCTCTTTCTCTTTCTTTCTCTCTCTTTCTTTCTTTCTTTCTTTTCTTTTCATGTTCTAATATTATAATGATGTGACAAGAACTTGTAGAACCATCAGGTCCAAAAGCATCAACAACCTTGTCACTTGCAGCGTGGGCTGCTGATCAGCAACACTGACCTAACCTGGGAGTTTCTCACAAATGCAGAATATCTACACCCCATCCTACACCTACAGCGTTAGAACTCTTCATTTTAGCAAGCTCCCCAGGTGATTTCATATACGTATTGAAGTCTGTGAAACCCACTCAACACAGTCCTTCACTCTTTCCCTTATTAAATTTACAGCTGTTTGTTTAATTGACCTTTTTGTAAAGGTTCCGAGGACAACATAGTAAGGGATGCTCATTCATCTCTCTGCCAGTGCTTTCTGCGGTCTCTTCAGCTAGTTCTATCAGGCACTTCTGGCAATCTGGAGCGGCAGCCGGCTGGGCGGCGAGGAAACCGCTGCACGGATCCCGCCTCCCAGCACACGCAGTCGGCAGTTGCAGCCTCCAAGACCGCGGTGCCACCAAACCAAGCGCCGGACGCGGTGGCGCGCGCCTGTAATCCCAGCTCCCCGGGAGGCTGAGGTCGGCGGATCGTGGGTGCTCGGGGGTTCGGAGCTACGGCGCTGTGTGGAGCGGGCGTCCGCACCGGGCCTGGCACCAACATGGTACTCCCGGGGGAGCCCGGGAGTACCAGGTTGTCTAAGGAGGGGGGGACCAGGCCCAGGCCGGACACGGAGCAGGTCAAACTCCCCGTGTTGGGCGACGGTGGGACCGCGCCTGCGAGCAACGCCTGCAGTTCCGCCCGGGACATCCGACGAGACCCGGTCTCTTTTAACTTCCCTTTTCGGGATTTCTTTTAAAAAATCAACAGCATTATTTCTGCATACCAAGTGAGTTCACTGGTGGGACTGGTATATGCTACCCTTTGCTCGATCTTCCTTTTTTTTTTTTTTACCCCTCAGGGAATGATGATTCATTCAGTCAGTGGGAGCGGAAGAAACTCGTTAGTGACTTATCATCTTGGAAATTTCTCCATGTTGCACTCTTCCTTTCCCCAAACAACAAGACAGTAGTCTGTTTTGCATTTTGCAAATGCAGTTGCATAAGAATTTAACAAAGACTATTCGCTTGGCCAAACTTTAGTCAGGCTTCTGAATCTTCTGCTAGGCCCATCTGTGCACTTCCTTGTAACGTCCAGTTTTAGCAAAGAACCCTGCCAAGTCAGTTTAGCAAGAACCCCCATATCATCTATGTTTAACCTCCATTTCTGATCAGGCTCCTCATTCTCCACCATCCCCCAGATGATTGATGTCTGATTACCTTGGCCTGTCTTCAGCAAGAATCCTGTTAGGTTTGTTTGGCCAGAATTCCCCTTACCTCTGAGGTTTTCTCTTGGTAATTTCCTGTCCACTGACCAGGACACACTGCTCCTTGGCTATAAATTCCCATTTGCCCATGCTATATTCAGAACTGAGGCCGATCTCTTTCCCTCACTGCAAAACCTCCTTGCAATGGTCCCTTGTGCCTATCCCGATAGTCCTGAATAGTCTTCCTTACATTGCTTTCAGAAGTATCACTAAATAATTTTTTTAAAAAACAAATTGCATGGCATGAGAACTTCATAATCTAAGACAGAGATTTGGAAAAGGTTTGAACTTCCAGCTTTTTCAGGAACTTCCCACATAAAAACCTGTACACAACTATTCTTATCGGATTGGATAAAACACCTAAAGAGACATTTCACCGAAGAAGATATACAGATGGCAAACGAGCACATAAAAATGTTTTCAACATCCTTAGCACTAGGGAAATACAAATTACGACCAAGATGAGATATCACTATACATCTATCAGAATGACTAAAATAAAAATAGTGGCAACAACCAAATGCTGATGAGGCTGTATACATGTAGGTGGGAATGTGAAATGTAGCTGTTCTGGAAAACAGTTGGCAGTTTCTTAAAAAGCTAAATGTGCAAGTACCATACCACCCGGCAGCTGCACTCCTGGACATTTATCTTGGCTAAACGAAAATTTATATTAACACTAAAACCAGTATGCAAATGTTTATGGTAGCTTTATTTGTAAAAGTCAAAAGCTGAAAATGACTCAAATGTCTTTCAGCAGGTGAATGTTCAAACTGGTAAATTCATACCACAGAATGCTAGTGAGCGAGAAATAAGAATGAACTACTGATGCTGAACAACCTAGATGAATCTCTAGAGAATTACACTGAGTGCAAAAAGCCAATCCTAATAGGTTACATAATGTATGATTCCATTTTCATAACATTCTCGAAATGATGAAATCATAAAAGTGAAAAACAGATTACTAGTTGCCAGAGGTTGAGGCAGGAACAGTAGGCAAGTGGGTGTGGCTGTAAAAGGGCCAAAAGGAATCCTTGTGGTGATGGAAATGTTTTGCATCTTGACTTTATCAATATCAATATCAATATCCGGATTGTGATTTTGTGCTATAGTTTTGCAAGATGTTACCATTGGGGGCAAGCAGGTAAAGGGGACATGGGACCTCTCCATATTATTTCTTATAACTGCATGTGAATCTACGACTACCTAAAAATTAAACATTTAATTTAAAAAAAGACCAAAGTCATTAAAATTGGAGGGATAGGGAGCTGAAAGGGAAGAGCAAGAGAGTATGGAGAAAAATAATGGAGAGTCAAGTTGATACAGGAGATACAAAGAAATTGCTTAGGTAGTTAGGGCAAAAGAGTCCTCGGCAGAACTTCTCTTCTAACAAAAAGCAGCCCTAGAAATTATTCCTTTTCTAACAAAGAGCAGCCTGCAAGATGGAGCTGCAGACATAGATAAGGAAGCTGGAAACTTGCATGGGGGAAGGCTGGCAGCTGCACCGATAGAAAAGGTCTACCTGGGGGTGAGGCATGTCCACCATGAGGCTCCACCTTCCCTTTTTTGTTAGCATGTGTACAGTAAGAAAGAAATGGGCAACATGGAGAAGTTCAGGCAGAGAACCCACCTGCATAATAACAGATTGGGGTGAGGGTTGCCAGAGATTCACACCCTATGCAGTTGGCACACCTGGTCCTATCTGGGTTTTTCATGCCTTATGTAGATCAGACACCATCTCCCCACTAGCTCATCTGTAAAACCCCCTGCATTTCACCGAATTTCGGCAACCCATTTTTCCAGGACCCCTCTCTGTAGCAGAGAGATATTTTCTTTCTTTCGCCTATTAAATTTCCACTCTTAACCTCTCTGTGTGTCCAGGTCCTTGATCTCTGTGGCTGTGAGACGATGAATCTAGGGTGTCACCCCAGACAACGAGGCTGCTTCAAAATCCCAAAGTCCAAAGGAGGACTGCTTCATAAGGGAAGGATTGTTTATAGGTTGGTATACTGTGCAAAATTAAGTATAGGACCAAAAACAGCCAAGACATTTGAAAGTTGGAAAGTTGATGGTAATGGTTTCCTGGGATTGGAAGGCAGACCTCCTCCGCTGATGAGCAAATAATGAGGTAAACATTGTTCTTTCAACAGGTTTGGTGCTGAGTGGAAGGAAAGAGTCTGAGGATAATGCATAAGGTCATGTGTTCCATTTTTGTTGTCCAAAGATAGAGGTTTAGACATTCTGTAATTTGAAGAGAGGCACGTAAGGAGGAGAGAGATGAAAGACACAAACATAGAGCAAAATGGAATGGGTAGAGGGTTCAAAAGCTCAGATGGAATATTAAGTAGACTTGGAAATGAGAGACCATTCCTCCGAGTAGGAAGACAGGGGTTGAATATGCCAAGAGCTAGCAAATTAGGAGGTTAGGAAAAAGGTGGCTGAGGGAATATGCTGGCTGTCTCCCTTTCACAGCGCAGCAGCCACCCCTCCCCTCCCCCACCTCTAGCAAGTAGCCACTTTTTCAACAGCTTAGGCGGCTCCTTTTTCCAGGAAACTTCCCTTCAGTTCACCGGCCGTGCCTCTCTCTATCCTTTTCCTCGGAGCAGGCTGTGCTATGATCAAGGCATTGTGACCCCTGTGACCCACACGTACACATCCAGAAGGTCTCCTGGAGCCAGAAAGTCTGGGACAACAGGAAAACCACAAAAGAAGAAAAACAGCTCCTGTCTTAGCTGATTAGCCAACCTTGCGACCTTCTACCATTGTAACATGCTCTACCCTAACTGATCAATCAACTTCGTGACACTGTGCTCTGTGACCCCTCCCACCTTGTGATAATGTACCTTGTGACATTCTTCCCTTGCCCGCAATAAACGGGCCCTTATTGTATCTTTCCACTGCTTACTCCTAACCTATAAAACTAGCTGCAATCCCACCACCCTCCGGTGGTGGGACTCCCTTTTCGGACTCAGCCCGCTCGGACCAGAGTGAATAAACAGCTTGTTGCTCACACTTAGCCTGTTCAGGTTGTCTCTTCAGTTAGACGCGCGCATAACACTAACAATTCACTTAATAAATATTTATTGAGGGAACAGAGGTCGCAAATAAAATGTAATTAGTATTGCTCAAGATTAAACTTCTTTCAGCACGTTTGCCTTTTCTTCTTTTATCTAGTGAGATGTTGAAACCCATACCTAGAGTTCTGCTACAGAAATAAACGTATCCCACAGTGTTCTTGCGATTTCCTTTATGAATTTGAGAAAAATATGACCCCATTTTAGGTTCTAAGGAGTGTTTCTGTATTGTAGAAGGAAAATTCCATATTTGTATTGCCGTGGGCACAAAAAACCGAGCGCTCTCATGCCGAAACCCGGGATCGAACCAGGGACCTTTAGATCTTCAGTCTAACGCTCTCCCAACTGAGCTATTTCGGCTCCGCCCACGCCACTTAAAAATAAGGCTTAATGAATTTATTACTTATGTTTTTTATTTACTATTAGGTATTTATTAAAAAAAAAACCCACAATGACAGGTACTCCGAAGGAACCAAAGACAAATTAAAAAATTATTTCGTTCTTCAAATGGCTCACCACTTTATGCAAAGAAAAGCAAGAAGACAATTACAAATTGATGCTACAATTTATTCTCGGTTGAATGCACACATCGAAACAGAGCACGTTCCATCATCCAGTTACGAACTTCCCAAATTACTCTTATGGCATTGCCACGCCCTCTGCCGTCCAGATTTTATTGGTTGGTGCAAAACAGGAGGTCAGTGAATACGAGAGCATGACCGTGCACTAACTCGTCGGAAAAGTAGAAGTCAACTGTGTGCGTATGTGTTGAGTTCTCGCTTCATAAATATGTTTTAATAAACCTACTTCAGCTTCCCTGGTGGTCTAGTGGTTAGGATTCGGCGCTCTCACCGCCGCGGCCCGGGTTCGATTCCCGGTCAGGGAATGAGGTTTTTCTGTTTTAACCTCCAAATTCTTTCATCCAGGAACGAAATCTCTGAGTAAACAGCAAATTGTGGATAAGTTAACTTTCAATTTTCATAGGAGGCATTTTCTGCATAGAAACCCTGTTCCTGTTTTAGTATTCCAGGTACAAAATGACAAGCAATGTAATTTTCAATTATTTTAAAACATTTATTAATGAATACTTAATCTAGCGTAGACCGAGTGTCCGGCATTGTTCTAAGTAAGCGCTTTAACATTTTTAACTCAATTGGGTGATTCAGTAAGCGGGAAATTCCGGAGACAATCCATTAGGAGTTAGTTGAGATTAGCATAACCTTTTGAAAAGACAGTTATGAAGATGACAGAGAAGAAATGGCGAAGTCATTTCTGGGAGATTTGATCGCTGTGTTCAAGCTTCTGAAGCTGCTAGAGCCTCGGTGGTTTAGACACCTACTCTATCTTCCTCGGATTTCTCTGTAAGTTTCACGCTGCTCCAACTGGGCGCTAGGGGATAGCCCTAGAAATACCTACACAGTAATTTAATATTCTGGGCCAAAGCAGTTTCAGGACTGCTTCATCTCTCCAGCGCTTCAACCTTTTTTCCCCTATGAAGGTACAAATTATGTTTTTTTCCTAAGAGAGGATAGGAGAAGGTCATAAACATGAAATTAAAACCTGCTGTCACAAAACTGAGAAACAGGCAAACAATGAATTCAGCACCATCTCTGAATGCACATTTGGTAAATTTACCGAGAGCTACTGGAGAAAAAGCAGACTTTTTGTTTCTCTCCTGACAAGGTTTGGTGACCCTGTGCTAACTGGTTCCTGTCTGACAATATCGGGGCATGAATCTTTGTTTCTTGGTCTGTCTAAAGAGCAGCTATTGCTTATTATTTCTTTCTTATATCTGCTAAGAGTTTGGGGCACGTATGACTTCTCTACAAGTTTCCAAACAAAGATCGTGGTGCTCCTGATCTTATTTCACCAACAAATGGAATATGTGATTTTTTGTTTGTTTTTTGAAATGGAGTCTCTCTTTGTCGCCCAGGCTGGAGTGCAGTGGCCCGATCTCAGCTCACTGCAACCTCCGTTTCCCGGGTTCAAACAATTCTCCTGTCTCGGCCTCCCGAGTAGCTGGGATTAAAGGCACGTGCCACCACTCCAGGTTAATTTTTGTATTTTTAGTAGAGACGCGGTTTCACCATGTTGGCCAGGCTGGTCTCGAACTCCTGATCTCAAGAGACCCACCCGCCTCAGCCTCCCGAAGTGCTGGGATTACAGGCGTGAGCCACCGCTTCCAGCCAGGATGTGATGTTGTTATGATCCAGTTAAATGAAGCAGGACTTTTTCTAATTAATTGCACTTTCTCTTCTCTTCCCTGGCTCCATATATTCACAGTTTCCAAAACTTCCTTGAGATGGGACACTCTTTTGTCATCTTGTCAGTTCTGTCCTTGAATTAATAAACTTTGACACATACATAAGATCAATTTGACTAAGAAATCTTATTTTGACATAGACATAAAAGTAATATGGTTTGTAAAATTCCTGTATATACGGAAGCCTTTTAATCTAATGTTTCATAGGAATTCAACCCTCTAGGCCTGCTGGTGATCAGTTCTTGAAAAGCACCCTCTTTTCGTGATATCACACGTTGTCTCCTCTATGTGCAGCAAGAATCTCTTGCTTCATTAGTTTTTATGCCTCTGCTTTCAGAAAACAGTCTGGTTGGGACCCCTGTGAAAGGAACTGTCTGGCTTAACTTATCTTGATTAATGCCTCTTTTTTTCTTTTCTTTTCTTTTCTTTCATTTTCCACATAAAGCTAATTGGATTAGAGAAAAAGAACTCTTCTTCGAATGCTACCAGTTTCTTTCCTTCTCATCTGAGCTATTATTCATTGTCCATAGGAAAAAAAATTCCCTAATTTTGGCACGGTAGGTTCTGTTTATTCACCAGACTTGCTACCGTTTACTCGTCAGCTCAGAGAGAACGTCGAAAAAATATAACAAAACCAAAATATGCATCAAGACAAGAGGAGGAAAGAGAATGTGAAAGACTACTAAAAAAAAAAAAAAAAAAAAAAAAGTCAACAGCTAGGGTCAAGGAATCAATCTGCAAATATTCAGAGCCAGTAGGCTTGTACTACACTAGTCACTATGGAAAATGAAAAATGACCAAGACAGAAATCTCACCTCTTAACACCCCCCAAATCCCAATTTTCTCAACTGTAAAATGGGAATAAAAGTATTACAGTATTTACTATATAAAGTTGCGATGAGTCAATAACATAATACACAAAAGCAGTCAGCCAATTATCCAAATCCGTGTTATTAATATTATCATCATCATCATTCTTCTCACCGTACTTGGGGAATGAAGGAGACAGATACTGTGAGTAAGTTTTCCTTTTTTTTTTTTTTTTTTTTTTTTTTTAGACAGAGTCTCGCTCTGTCGCCCAGGCTGGAGTGGAGTGGCGCCATCTCGGCTCACTGCAAGCTCTGCATCCTGGGTTCACGCCATTCTCCTGTTTCAGCCTCCAGGTAGCTGGGCCTACCGGCGCCCGCCACCACGCCCGGCTAATTTTTTGTATTTTTAGTAGAGACGGGGTTTCACCGTGTTAGCCAGGATGGTCTCGATCTCCTGACCTGGTGATCCGCCCGCCTCGGCCTCCCAAAGTGCTGAGATTACAGGCGTGAGCTACCGCGCCCCGCCAAGTGAGTAAATTTTCTATTGGGCACAGAGTTACCTGCTAAAATGAAGTGTGGAAAAATACAATGGGGTGTGTGTATGTGAGAGAGAGAGGGAGATTTGGAGGTGGGGTGGGGAAGACCCTATTTGAAGTGGGCTTTGAAGAATGAACAAGATTTTTATTAGGGAACAAAATGGAAACCAGCATTCCAGGACAAGCGTCTCAGGAGAAGCAAAAGCGCAGAGTTGTGAAAGCTCTTAGATTTTCAGAACTTTGAATTCTGAACTATATATAAACCTGGAAAATCTCGGTTAACTATGGGATGGCATCAAGATTTCAATTTCAAGCTTTCTGGTCATGCACAGTAAAGCTGGAATTAGAGTCTCTTACGTATGGCAGTTGTTGACAAGTCCGTACAGGTACCTAAGTGCTTCCCAGAAAATTCCTCAAGTTGGTAGGTCCTGGGGGAATCAGTTTAGTTCTAAAGAGAGGACTCATCAGAGATCTGTTCAACTTCCAGGAATCTGTGAGGATAGCTCCAAATCTCACTCTCATGCCCAGCCTATCAAACAAAGCAAACCGGTTGGACTGAAGCTGTGGGATCGGGACTGAAATAGAACCAGCGAGAAAGGCAGTCCTCCTCGATTCCTAGAGAGAACACATTCAGCCAGCAGTTGGATAGAGGATACTAGCAAGTCCCTCGCCAGGGCGGGGGAGCAGAGACACATTCCTGTCCCGTTTACATTCTTCCTCTGGCGGAGGCGGGAGGGTCGCTTGAAGCCTCGGATTTCGAGATCAGCCAGGACAAAAAAGCGAGACCCCCGTTTCTACCAAAAAGGGGGGGGGGTGGGCGGGGGGAAGAGAGAGAGAGAGAGAAAGGAAAAGAAAGAGAAAGAAAAGAAAGAAAAACTAGGCGCGGTCACGTGTACGTGTAGTTCCAGCTGCTCGGAGGTTGAGGCGGGAGGATCTCTTGAGCCCAGAAGTTCGAGGCCGCAATGAGCTCTGATCGTGGCAGAGCGAGGCCCTGGCTCAAATACATACATACTTTGTTCTGACTTTGTGTGCCCTTACTCTTTCCTCAGGTGCACGCTTGGGCTCGTTACTGCTCAGAATTTTAGAATCACAGATCCAGCAGTGATCAGGCAGCTGCAGCTGTCAGGGACCACCACCACCTACGCGATTGATCCGTGGGAGAAGCCGTCCTACTCTTTTCTTTCTCCTTTGTCCTTCTCATTCCTGACCCCTTCAGGATTCTCAGTCTTCCCTCCGGGAGGTAGGGATTCTACGGAGAGAGAAGGGTTGTGGGGCTTGTTCTGTTGCGGGTTCAAACCCAAATTGTCTTTTTCTTTTCAGACTTTTGGCCAGTCTTGTCTCGCTCCAACCTCCTACCCCCACCCCATTCCTCAGTGCATTCGTGAATTTCTCCAAGCAGGCCTTTCCAGATCGACACTAAGTTCCAATCCCGAGCTGTGTGACCCAGCACCAATTCAGTCACGATGATGACTTGCAATTGCTTAATCAGTTGGCCTTTCCTCCTAGCTGTGAAGGTGAGGACCGCCGGTGTCAGCGTTCGTCCTGAATACTCAGTGCCCAGGCACAGAGTAGGCATTCAGTCAATACTTGTTGAACGGGTTAATGGATTCCTGATGTTCACTGGTTGATATCGTCACTTTCAAATAATTTCTCCCATTTTTCTGTTTTGTTTTCACCCTCCTAGTTTACCGTGCAGGATTGCAAACACCAGAGAGAAAATCAGTCTCTGGAATGATGCCTTTGATGGACCAAGATGCAGCTGATGAAGCATTGAACCAATTAGCACCTAGCAGGAGGGCACCCTTGCTCTGTGTCCTTGAAGGTTAAAGCTGTCAAAAAGTGGTCTCCCTCAAGTTCGGCCATCTTGCTCTCAGAGATCTAGAACTGGTAGGAGAATATAGCCTTGATAGTGGAGAGGAAACTATTGCTGTTGTGAGGGACTGAGAGAACCAGGCAGAGAGCCCAGATTGACACAGCAGGTGACAAAAGAGGCGCGCCTACCTTGGGGAATACGGAGGAACAGAGGAAAGTGAGACCAGGAGAAAGAGCAGGGGGGCGGGTGTGCAGGCCGGGCGCCGTGGCTCACGCCTGTAATCCCAGCACTTTGGGAGGCCAAGGCAGGCGGATCACAAGGTCAGGAGTTCGAGACCAGCCTGGCCAATATGGTGAAACCCTGTCTCTACTAAAAATACAAAAATTAGCTGGGCGTGGTGGCGAATGCCTGTAGTCCCAGCTACTCGGAAGGCTGAGGCAGGAGAATCGCTTGAACCCGGAACCCGGGAGGCAGAGGTTGCAGTGAGCCGAGATGGCGCCATTGCACTCTAGCCTGGGCGACGGACTGAGACTTCGTCTCAAAAAAGGGAGTGACTGTGTTGCTTTTGCTTTCTTGGAAATCTTTTTTCTTAGTAATTTTCCTAAAGTAATTTCCTTAGGAAATAATGTATTGCTAAGAGTATTGCAACTTTTAGTATTGACGAGGTACTTTTACTGAATCAGTATAAGTCAACAAGCAACCACCAGAAGCTGGAAAAGGCCAGGATAGGATTTTACTCTAAAGTTTCTAGAGGGAGCTGGACGCAGCCCACACCTTGATTTTGGCCCACATACTGATTGTGGATTTCTGGCCTTCAGAAATACATATCTGTTGTAAGAGAATACATATCTGTTGTTTTTAGACAGTTTCTGATAATTTGTTACAGTAACCACAGGAAATTAACACCAGGCACTATGCAGTAAATTCCGTATGAACAACTCAAATATAAGAATTTGTAAGACAGCCGGGCGCGGTGGCTCACGCCTGTAATCCCAGCACTTTGGGAGGCGCGGTGGCTCACGCCTGTAATCCCAGCACTTTGGGAGGCGCGGTGGCTCACGCCTGTAATCCCAGCACTTTGGGAGGCCGAGGCGGGCGGATCACCTGAGGTCGGGAGTTCCAGACCAGCCTGACCAACATGGAGAAACCCCCATCTCTACTAAAAATACAAAATTAGCCGGGCTTGGTAGCGCATGCCTGTGATCCCAGCTACTCGGGAGGCTGAGGCGGGAGAATTGCTTGAACCTGGGAGGCGGAGGTTGCGGTGAGTCGAGATCGCGATATTGGACTCTAGCCAACTCCATCTCCAAAAAAAAAAAAAAAAAAGAATTCTAAGACAGCATAGTTTCCACTGGCATATTGGATAAAAACTTCCGTCAGCAGTGATTTTAATGAAGATGAATGACAAAACAATAAGAAACTCCAGCGCTAGTTAACTTTCTTTATTATGATCTTATTTGTCATAATTTTTTGCACAATGCGTTTTTATTTTAGGACTCAGTCAAAATTTTGGGCCAAGGAGACCGACGCGCTGTCGCCTGCACTAAGAGAAACGCAACGAACAACTTTGTCAATGCATTGCATTATACTATAGCAGCAACTATACTTTTAAATGATTCGAATCTTGAGGTTTCAAACTGAACCGTCTTGTGCCTTTTGCCCGGCGGGCATTTCTGCGGGGACCGCGGGTCACCTTCTGAATTTTTACCTTCATAAACAGCAAGGACTGCGCTCTTTCGCACGGCGCCCCGTTTTTTCGTAGAGTTCCGTCGGCCAAAACCACTTGAAACTCGCTCAGCGGCGTCGGGGCTCCAGCCAGGCGTCACCTTCCACAGCGAACCTGCGAACCACAGCGTCCCCTGGGGGTCTCCGTCCGCGTGGCCGCTTCCTCTTACATCGGTGACGCAAGGGAAGGGCGTCTAGGATCCGCCGGTTTCCTTCCTCACTGCTCCCATCAGTGCGAAAGCAACGTGTTGGGGGTTCGGGGTGTGTGGCGGCTGAACAGCTGCCTGAAGTTCTCTGATGGCGCTGGAGGGAGCTCCAGAGAAGAGGTCATGGGGAGAAGGCACACCTTAAACGCCCCGGGGTGGGGGGGGGGGGCGACATTCCCTAATGGGAAAAAAGACACACCTTAAACGCAGTAGAGGGCGACATTCTCTACTAGGGAAAATGCGGAAGAACACAGTTGTAATCAACGGTAGCGTGGCCGAGCGGTCTAAGGCGCTGGATTAAGGCTCCAGTCTCTTCGGGGGCGTGGGTTCAAATCCCACCGCTGCCAAGTACTTTTCATTCTCACTAGGGACTGTTTTTAGGAGAATCCCTTTCCAAATGTTCAGTATGAATGGTTCTTACGTATCAATCCCATTCTCCTCTTCGACTTCTGTTTACCACGGAGCCAGAGATAACCGTCCCCAGAACAATGTTCCCCCATTATTTAGAGGACAGTGTACTCCAGGCGCCTCAGATACAGCAATGAGTGACACAAGCAAAAAAACCCTTAATGGCACATACTTAGTGAGGTGGCACGATCTCGGCTCACTGTAACCTCCGCCTCCCCGGTTCAAGCCATTCTCCTGCCTCAGTCTCCCGAGTGGCTGGGATTACAGGTGCGCGCCACCACGCCCTGGCTAATTTTTGTATTTTTAGTAGAGACGGGGTTTCGCCATGTTGGTCAGGCTGGTCTCGAACTCCTGGCCTCAAGTGATCCTCCCTCCTCGGCCTCCCACAGTGCTGGGATTACAGGCGTGGGCCACCGCACGCAGCCTGAAGGATTAATTTATGTTTGGAATCAGCTGCTGTTCTTCCTCCAGCCTCTCTGTAGTGTGCTCACTTCACACTTGGAACCATAGTTATATGGTATAGAGAAGAGACAACTCTAGGGAAAGTGCCAGTGCCTTGCCTTACCTTACAACTGCCAGACACACCCAGTCAGGTACCTTCTCTGTGGGCTTCTCAGTACCCCGTATCTCTGTGGTTGCCGGGGGAGCCCTATCTCTCCTCGGAGCAGTTCTCTCTGCATACTTCTGGTCTGTCTCTCATTCTCTAGACCTCAGCTTGGAAGTTGTTTCTCCTTGGAAGCCTTCCCTCATCTCCTTCTCTTCCTCTTTCCAGCTTCATAAAGTTTGGGAGGGTATGGAGAGGATAAGGAAGGGAACAGCACAGAACGTCCTTGCCCCACGGAACTCAGAGTTTAGTGGGGTTCTCATGGGGGTTCACAAGGATTAGATAAGTTATTGCCCTAATATGGGGCAAACTCTACTAAAAAGGAGATAGCTTTCTATGTGTAGATTTTGAATGATGTTCCAGATTTAAGAGAATAAAAAGAAAATAATATGAATTGTATGTTAGAAAGAAGGACTGTCACAGAATTGTTCCCAACTGGGATTACAGGTGCAGGCCACTAGGTCCGGCTAATTTTTGTATTTTTAGTAGAGAGGGGCGTTTTGCCATGTTGGCCAGGCTGGTCTCAAACTCCTGACCTCAAGTGATCCTCCCACCTGGGACTCCCCAAGTGCTGGGATTACAGGTGTGAGCCACCACGCCTGACCACCTTTATTGATTTTTGAATGCTAATCCAACTTCTCCATGCTAGAATAATCTTAACTTGTTCAAGACATGTAATCTTTTAAAAAATGTATATTCCTGGATTCAGTTTGTTACTATCTCAAGATTTTTCTCACTACATTCATGAATGATAATAGCCTGTAATTTTCTTTTTTAAAAAATTTCCTTGTGTTGTTTGTTTTTCCTCATCGTTCCCTAATGGTTTGGTATTAAGGTTATACAGGCCTCATAAAATGAGTTTAACATTGGGATTATTTTCCCTTGCATGTTTAGTAGAATTAACTGGTGAAAACATCTGACCCTTGAGTTTTCTTTCTGGGAATATATATTATAGGTTCTATTTAAATAATTGGTATCAGACTATTCAGATCTTATATTTTTTTCCTGTACTAGTTTTAGAAACAAGAGTCTTCCTAAGGAAATATACCAGATGAACCTGGAAAATCTTTTCACCAGAAAGCAAGGAGGCTACTGAAGACTACTTTAGTCATGTTAAACAAAAAAGGCTTGTGCTGACACCTATGAAGTAGTCTTACCCAAATCAAATCTAAATATAGAATTTGATAAAGCCCTTAGATCTAACTATTAATTTTTAGGACATGCAGGGGCAGAGGAATGTGTTAAATACTACCAAAGGTGTGCAATAATTAAAATCCAAACTGTGAAACTCTGCAGCACCAGCAACCTAGTTAATCATTAAATAAATTTCAAGAAAAAAGAGATATAGGGAGAACTTATATATTAAAATACTTAAGATACATACCAACTAATCACAATGTATTGACCTTATTTGAATACTTTTTTTTTTTTTTTTCTGAGACAGTGTCTCACTCTGTCACCCAGGCTGGAGTGTGGTGGCACAATCACGGCTCACTGCAGCTTTGACCTCCCAAGCTCGTCTCCCGAGTAGCTGGGACCACAGTCATGCACCACCATGCCTGGCTAATTTTTGAATTTTTTGTAGAGACAGGGTCTTGCTATGTTGCCCAGGCTGGTCTTGAACTCCTGAGCCCAAGTGATCTTCTTGCCTTGGCCTCCCAAAGTACTGGGATTACAGGTGTGAGCCATGGTGCCTGGCTTGGTTTTTTTTAATGTTAAGAAAAAATGGCATTAGAGAAAAATTTGAACAGCGAATGAATCTTTGATGATGTTGCCAAATAGATAATTTTGTTTAGGTGTGATAACTGTACTAGTGTTAGTTTACTTATATTTTTGGTTTGTTTTTTAGAGATGGGGTCTTGCAATATTGCCCAAGCTAACCTCAAACTTTAGGGCTCAAGGAGTCCTCCCACTTCAGCCTCTTAAGTAGCTGGGACTACAGCATAGGCCGTCGTGCCCCTGGCTCTATTATTAGTTTGTTAGTTAGTTTGTTTGTTTGTTTATTTATTTATTTATTTATTTTGAGACTGAGTCTTGCTCTGTCGCCCAGGCTGGAGTGCAGTGGCGCGATCTCGGCTCACTGCAACCTCTACCTCCCGGGTTCAAGCAATTCTCCTGCCTCAGCCTCCCGAGTAGCTGGGATTACAGGCGCCTGCCACCACGCCTGGCTAATTTTTGTATTTTTAGTACAGGCGGGGTTTCACCATGTTGGCCAGGCTGGTCTTGAACTCCTGACCTCAGGCAATCCATCCACCTCAGCCTCCCAAAAGTGCTGGAATTACAGGTGTGAGCCACCGTGCCCGGCCCATATTGTTAGTTTTTTTAAACAGTCATTATCTCCTATAGACAATTAAATACTTATGGATGAAACACAATTTCTGTCATTTGCTTGAAAATAATCTTAAGCAGAGGGAATGGGTGGGGATACAGATGAAACAAGATTAACCCTGACGTAATAATTGTTGAAGCTGAATGATGTGTACATGGAGTTCATTTTTCTATTGCCTTAACTCTTGCATGGGTTTGAAATGTTCTATAATAAACTTTATTTTTTATTTATTTATTTTTTTGAGATGGAGTTTCGCTCTTATTGCCCAGGCTGGAGTGCAATGGCACAATCTCGGCTCACCACAACCTCTGCCTCCCGGGTTCAAGCGATTCTCCTGCCTCAGACTCTGAGTAGCTGGGATTACGGGCAAGCGCCACCATGCCTGGCTAATTTTTGCATTTTTAGTAGAGACAGGGTTTCTCCATATTGGTCAGGCTGGTCTTGAACTCCTGACCTCAGATGATCTGCCCACCTCAGCCTCCCAAAGTGCTGGGATTACAGGCAGGAGCCACTGCGCCCGGCCAATACATTTTTTTTAATAGAGGAGGACTATAAAACCTATGGGAAGCTCTGATGGCACGACTATGACTTGCTGATGTTCACTACAGGTTATCTGGCTAGGCCACTTGCTGAGAAACTCCTGATGTATCTTCAAGTCTATTCTGGTTGGATTTCTCACTGAAAACTGCGTCTTTTGTCTGGGAGGTGAAAGCCAGACCCTCATCTTTCTGGGAGATAAGGAAAGTAGGCTGGAGGCGTTGACATTCAGTATGCTCCTTTTTCAAATGGAATTCCTGTCCTCCATGTGTCTAGCCCACATATCCTTTGTTTAACCTTCTTCAGAAAATAAACCTCCAGTCTTCTTTGGGCTTGAGGACCTAGGACTCTGCTTGCTTCCTAAATAGCCTCTGACAGACTCTCCTCGTTTTAGTCTATTCATTCTCATTTCCAGGGGTACATGGTGCCACCAATTCTTGAGTCGCTTAAAGATTCTATGATGTAAAATAAATGTCTTTTTTTTTTTCTTTTCTTTTTTAGAAGGAGTCTCACTCTGTTGCCCAGACTGGAGTGCAGTGGTGCAATCTCGGCTAACTGCCACTTCCGCCTCCCACTCCCCAGTAGCTGGGACTACAGGCACGCACCACCAAGCCCAGCCAATTTTTCTATTTTTAATAAAGAGACAGGGTTTCACCATGTTGGCCAGGCTGGTCTCAAATTGCTGATCCCAAGTGATCTGCCCATCTCAGCCACCCAAAGTGCTGGGATTACACGTGTCAACCACGGTGCCCGGTCAGATTTGTCCTTTACTTGCCCCCTTCAGGCTAAAATTTAGCTTTCTCAAATTCAATGTCATTATTACTTATCCTTTTTTCAGTTTCCAAAATTTTGTAGTTGCCTCTTCTGCCATTCTTCCTGATTATGAATGGTTTTACTGTAGCATTAGTGTAGTTCTGAGGGGGAGCAATACCAAATACACGTAGTCAAGCTACAATCCTTACCAAGAAGTATCTTATCATCTTTCTTAAACTTAAATGAAATTGGCATTCTCCATTTCTTTTGTGAAGGTAAAAATAATCTCATATCAGTGTTCTGGTAAAAATTTTGTGTTTGCACGTGGAATGTAATTCGATTTAAAAAGTGAGTTTTACCTGGTGATTTTTGTATGTAAATTATAACTTAGACTAACTCTTGTTTGGTAACTCTTCAGAATTAGAACTACAGATATCTTAGGGTTTCAAGCAACATGTTTTGTCATTCAACTATGCACCTGACCTTCGAATTCCTTCAGTATTATTCTTACCAAACTTATTACCTTATGGCAGAATCTGTTCCAGTTGAGTATCTCCTAAATGTACAGATGTCCTGTAGCTTCTACTTGTGGATTGTAATTCTATTCTGGGATAGTTGCAGAACAAGATTAACCCACTGTTCATAAAGTAGTCCTTCAGAATTTTCAAGACATATCTTTTTCACCAGGTAAAAATCTAAAATTTATTCAAATACGCTCTCAAAATATTCATTTTATGTGTTTAGGAAACATCAAAAGACTTCTGGAGGTCAGACTAGTAATTTCTTTTTTTTTTTTTTTTTTTTGAGATGGAGTCTTGCTGTGTTGCCCAGGCTGGAGTGCAGTGACACGATCTTGGCTCACTGCAACCTCTGCCTCCAGGGTAGCTGGGACTACAGGCGTGCACCACCATGCCTGGCTAATTTTTGTATTTTTAGTAGAGACAGGGTTTCACCATATTGGCCATGCTGGTCTCGAACTCCTGACCTCGTGATCCTCCCTCCTCAGCCTCCCAAAGTGCTGGGATTACAGGCATGAACCCCCGTGCCTGACTCTTATCTGTGATTTCTAAACCTGTTCTCTCCCTGCCTCCCTTTTCACTTTGAATCTTAGCAATCCTGATACAATATGGAGAAGTACCATTCTAGCTTTATGTTAAAAAAATTGCTAAAAATGATTGGTGTTTATAAATTACAAACTGTTTTCTGCTGAACTGAGGTATAACTTCATGTCGGAAAGATGTGGTGCACGCATATGGGAATTGCCTAGGAAAGCCTGAGCACAGAATTTACTAGTTACGTGATCCTGGGCAAGTTTGTTAATCTTTCTGTGCCTCAAATTCCTGATCTCATAGGGATGTTGTATGGATTTAAAAAGTTTAAATGTGTAAATCCCTTAGAACAGTGCCTAGAACACAGCAAGCACTAATAAGTGTTTATTAATATTAGGAAGTGATTGATAAACTCTTGGAAGTAAATGTGCTCACTGAAAAAATAGTGAATAAGAAGGTAAAGGACAATGTCTTTGGGGAATCTCACAATTAAGGGTCAGGAAATCAGGAATAACTAATATAAGAGACAGAAGGACCAGCCTAAGAGGTAGGAAAAACAGAAAGTAACACCAGAATCGTTATACTCAGGCACTGGTCAAAATACTGACTACTGAGGTCTGAGAAACAGTCACTGGAGAGAGGGATTTCCTACTCCCATCAAGTTCATGGGTACTCCATACTTGATGTTTTCTTTTCTTATGTCCAGTAAGATTTGAGCTCACTCTAAAAGCTTTTCCACATTCCTCACATTCATAAGGTTTCTCCCCAGTATGAACTCGCTTATGTCCAATCAGAGCTGAGCCCTGACGGAAGGACGTGCCACACTCACTGCAGGTGTATGGCTTCTCACCAGTGTGGATTCTTTTGTGCTGCCTCAGGACTGAACTATGATGGAAGGCCATTCCACATACCTCACATTTGTGAGGCTTCTCTCCAGTGTGAATTCTTCGATGATTGGTCAAGTTTGACTTCCCACTGAAAGCTTTCCCACACTCTAAACATTTGTAAGGTTTCTCTCCAGTGTGGATTCTCTGATGGATGGTAAGGCAGTGCTTATCTTGGAAGGTTTTCCCACAATCCCTGCATTGATAGGGCTTCTCCCCTGTATGCTCTCGTTCATGAGCCCTGCGCTTACAGTTATGACGAAAGGCTTTCCCACACTCCTCACACCTGTAACGTTTCTCTTCAGTGTGGATCCTTCTGTGTTTGGTGAGTTCTGCCTTGATGCTGAAGTCTTTTCCACACTGGGGACACCCATAGTGTTTCTCCCGAGTATGGATTCGTTTGTGTTTGCTTAGGTCTGAGCTCCGACTGAAGGCCCTTCCACACTTGCTGCACTCATAAGGTCGTTCCCCAGTGTGGATTCTTATGTGTTTGGTGAGGTCTGAACTCCCACTGAAGGCCTTCCCGCACTCCTCACATTCATATGGCTTCTCCCCAGTGTGGATTCTGCCATGGATGGTAAGGGAATGCTTAAACTGGAAGGCCTTCCCACAGCAGTTACATTTGTAAGGCTTCTCCCCGGTGTGGATAAGCTGATGCATACAGAGACGGTTCCTGGTCTTGAAGGCCTTCCCACAGTCCCTGCACTCGTGAGGCTTCTCCCCACTGTGGGTTTTTTTATGTCGGCAAAGAGCTGATCTACTGTTGAAAGCCTTCCCACACTGGGTGCAATTAAAAGGTTTCTCCCCTGTGTGGATTATCCGGTGCATAGAAAGCTGATTTCTGGTCTTGAATGCTTTCCCACACTCATTACACACATGGGGTTTCTCACCAGAATGAATTTGCTCATGGAGAATTAGATCTGAGTGCCAACTGAAGTTTTTGCCACACCTGGCACATTCATGGAGTTTCTGTGCTATAAGAACTTTATTACATTGACTATGTTTTGAGTTTGGATTCAAGTTTTTACTAAGCACTTTCTGGTTCTTTCCTTTTTTGCAGGTCACTTCCTCAGAGCCTTCTTTCTCTTCTCTCAGTTTCTCCCTTATAGATGTTTCCCATTGATTCTCTAATTTGACATCCTGAACACAAACTTCTCTAACCTTAGGATCCCGGGAATCAACTTTTAGGAGACTGTTAAATTTCATCCAGTAGGCTTCTCCATTTTCAAAAATCTCTTGTTGTGAACTTGCCTTTTCATTCTCAGGCCACATCTTGTCAGCTGACACTTAAACAAGAAAATACAAATGTCAGAGGGAAGGAAATAAGTGAGATGGGAGGCGTGAAGCAATGTTAAGCTGTTTGAAGAGTAAATAACTTTTCCATGCTGGAAAAATTACTAACGTTGTGGCCAAAAGTCAGAACAGGCTGAAATAATGAAAAGTATTGAGATATTTTACACTCAGCACACTTTATAAAAAATCCTTAAAAACCTATTCCTCCTCTATAGTCTCCTAGTTTAGTGAGTGTAAACTCTATACACCTAGTCATCTAAGCCACAAAACAAAATAATCTTCAACTCTGTCTCCCTTGTATTTACCCAGCTAACATTTTACAAATTCTACCTGTGAAGAGAGTTACAGAGGAGGTGCTGAAATGCTGATGCAGTCCCTTTTCAAGGAACTGTCTGCTTTGCTCCCAAGGGTGGGCCCTGGAGAGCCATATTTCTGTTATGTGACTCAGCCCATCTGGTTGGGGCAGATTAGATCTGTGCAATACCTGACCCAAACCAGGTCAGATTCTCTAATCCTGGACTTTAGAATTGTGATCTGACGGCAGGTAAGGCCAGCTCTAAGAGTAGCTCAGTCTTTAGCACTTAAATTTGAGAACTAGTGGTGGTGGGATGGTATTTGGTACAGAGGAGGGAATGTTCTGCCATCTGGTCCGAGAAGAAGAGAAGGTCAATTTGCCTAGAAAGAAGAATGAAGCTGACTCACAAAGAAGCAGGGAATACAGTTGGAAACCTGATGGTTTTGAGTCTCTTCTAGGGCCTGACACATAGCTGCCCTTAGGTCCCATGACACATCCTGAATAATAAATAAATTCATGTTTTTCTGCTTAAGCTAGCTTGGGTTAATTTCTATTGCTGTCAACCAAAGACTCCAAATACATCTTATTAATATTATCTCTGAACTCTATCTCTTCCTCTTTATTTCCACTGCCAGTGCATTCTCACTAATTGCTATATCCCTCAAACATCCTTTACCCTGAATCCCTTCTAATCCATCCTCTGCACTGCTTCCAGATTATTCTCTCTGAAAATCAAGTCTAATCATGTCACTTTTTAGCTTAAAATACTTCAATGGCACTCCATAGTTAACCAGACAGGAAGAAAGTAAAGCATACGGTCAAGAGTCCTGGCTCTAGAGTGAGACTGCCTGGGTTCAAATCCTAGTATGACAGTTAATAAATCTTAATACCTGTGTGAACTTGGGAGGATGACTTCACTTCTCCTTTGCCTCAGTTGCTTTATCTAAATGAGTTAATGTATGTAAAGCACATGCCACACTGAAGTACTTTAATCAATATTAGCTGTTATTGTAAGTTCAAGTTTTGTAGTTTAAATTCCTTAAGAAAACTCCCAAAAAACAGACGTCATATCATGATCTTGCCCCTTTCTACTACTTATGAACCTCCCCAAAGCTATTCTAAGTCCCCTGCTCTACTCACACTGAACAATTCATAGTTCATATTATTTTATTCCTCAATGCTTTCTCACATGTTATTCCTTCTGCCTAGAATGACTCTCACCTGTCTCAATTTATGAGCACTGCAGTAACTGACACACAGAAGGGTAATAAATATTCTGAGATTTTTTTTTTTTTTTTGAGGTGGAGTCTCACTGTGTCCCCCGGGTTGGAGTGCAGTGGTGTGATCTCAGCTCACTGCAACCTCTGTCTCCTGGGTTCAAATGATTCTCCGGCCTCAGACCTCCCAAGCAGCTGGGATTACACCCAGCATGCACCACCACACCCAGCATGCACCACCACACCCAGCTAATTTTTGTATTTTTAGTAGAGATGGGGTTTCACCATACTGGCCAGGCTGGTCTCAAACTCCCGACCTCAGGTGATCTGCCCATCTTGGCCTCCCAAATTGCTGGGATTACAGGCATGAGCTACTGTGCCCAGCCTCTGAGCCTTTTTTGAGGGCCAAATTGCAAAAATCTATTAGATAGGTTGCAAAGAACCAATTAGATAATAACAGAATAATTGCCCAAATAGTTTGTCACTGTTTCAATTTTCTTTTCCTTAAGTTTCCTAAATGGGTTTCCTTTCTGGGCCCTTCGACTGGATGATCCACCACTGAGAATGTTCCATAACCATTATGCCACATGGAAGATCAGAGGGAACTGAAAGTTTCTCTATTACTCACCTGGGTAGGAGCAGCTTAGGGACTCCCTGTCCTGTGGATCCTGCACACAGGGGTCTACTTCTCGCTCCAGATGAGAGATTAAAGGAGGTTTAGGAAATGGAAATCCTGGTTGCAGAGAAGAAATAAGTGTGTAGAGTAACTTATAACTTAATAACTTATAACTTAGCTAAGCAGCCCTGATCCTTCTGTTTGTATATGAAAACAGGAAAGAAATGTTAATTTAGATAGAGAAAAGGGTTTTTCAGGGGTCTAGTAACATGTAAAAGAACATGTTTGGGGACTTTCTCAGAAAAGTCACACTCAGAAGGAAAGAGAAGTTCTGGGAAACAGTCATTTGGGTGTGCTCTCCTGTTTTTTTTTTTTTTAATTTTATTTTGTTTTACTTTAGGAGAATGGGAGTCTGGTATAGGAAGACTATCAGTTTCAGGCACATAGAAGGCAGTTCTTGACTAGGAGCGGAATATAGAACACCCCATAAAAAAATGAGAGGCTTGAGGAAGCAAGAACCCAGGGAAAACAGAAGGTAAATGTCTCCTTTTAACTCATTCCAAATCAGAAAACAGCAACTAGGTTAGCCAAAAAATTATCTTGCTATGTAATAGAGGCAACTCAAAACTCTTAATTTTTGGGCAAGATCCTGATGATAAAGAATAAGGACTCTTTCAATATGAGACCTTATATACATCAATAAATAAATCAATTAAATAATAAAAAAAGAAGGTAGAAAGCATTAAGTGTAGGGAAGGTCCTTACCAAGTGATACCATGTTCCCATAATTTTCCAACATCACATCCTTATAGAGATGCCTTTGAGCGTAGGTCAGACACTGCCACTCCCTGTTAGTGAAGTTCACAGCTACATCCTCAAATGTCACTGACTCCTGAAATAATATGCTCCTGCTATCCTGGAGAAAACGCCATAGTTTCCTCAGGAAACAGAGGCAGAAGAAAGGAATTTGCAAGGAGGAGGTTTATAGAAGTGAAAGGCTCTTCCCTTTTGGTGGGTATGTACAAATGAGATGAAAGGGAGCATGGGGTTTTGATAGCAAAAAATAATGAAAGAGAAAACAACCCACAAGTGGTTTATCATGCAACAAAATGTTCCTTATGAGAGGGAGAACATTGATTTAGGAGTTGCACAGCCAGAGAACGCAGTGAAAACAAGGCCATATTTTGGAGGTAGTGATGTATTTTCAAGGAGGAGGAAAGGGGCCTCAGCTCACTTGGGCCTGGCTCATTAGTGTGATATCTGCTTGCGGCAGGTTTCCTTGGCTTCCATCTTTAGTGAAGGCAGGATATGGAGCAGGTAATAGAGCTGAGGGAAGATAAGTAAGCCAAGAGTCAATATAGCACAGTATTAATGAAATCTCCTGCATTCGTCTTCTCTTCCTCAAATGTAGAAGCTTCTGCAGCTCTAACCTAGGGCTTTAGGCTACTGCCTTACAGTATCCTTCCTCTTCATTATTTTTCTAGTCTCAACTTCCAGTGTTGGGCATCAGGCCCTGGCACAGCAGCCAAGGCAGCTCTTGGAAATGCACTCTTTTCCTGTCTCACCTACTGTTTTCCTGTGGTCTTTGTCCTGGAATAAACTTTCCCCCTCCCCAAACAGATCTGGTAAAAAGGCCCAAATCACTTATTCCCTGGTTTTGAATAGACCTTCTTCCTGTATTTGAATACTGAAGTCATTTCTTCCAAAATACTTGGGGTAGAAGGAGGGTGAAAAAGAGTGTGTGCATGCACGCGTATGTGTGTGTGTGCATATGTGTTGAACAGAAGCATCCAGGGATAGGACCAAAGCTTATTTTTTCAGGTAACTTAATGGCT
Organism: Homo sapiens; assembly: GCF_000001405.40. Taxonomy (NCBI): domain Eukaryota; kingdom Metazoa; phylum Chordata; class Mammalia; order Primates; family Hominidae; genus Homo; species Homo sapiens. Next base: position 266,135 of record NT_167248.2, read on the forward strand.
GGTCTACCTCCAGTTAGTTACAAATTTTTTTCCTTATTCCTCTTAGAGAAGAATCATTCTTCCCGATTTTGCACATTTTTCCTACTAATTCCCTAGTACTGAGTTATCCTCCCTATGTCAATATAGTATAGCACACAGAGCATTTTAAAATGCAAAAGAAACTTTATAAAGAGTGTCCAAGTGTTCAGGTATAATCCATATGATTGGGTGAGAAGTAGTTTCTTTTTTTTTTTTTGAGACTTAAGAGTCTCGCTCTGTCTCCCAGGCTGGAGTGCAGTGGCGTGATCTTGCCTCACTGCAAGCTCTACCTCCTGGGTTCACACCATTCTCCTGCCTCAGCCTCCCAAGTAGCTGGGACTACAGGTGCCCACCACCATGCCTGGCTAATTTTTTGTATTTTTAGTAGAGATGGGGTTTCACCATGTTAGCCAGGATGGTCTCCATCTCCTGACATCATGATCCACCCGCCTCGGCCTCCCAAAGTGCTGGGATTACAGGCATGAGCCACCACGCCCAGCTGAGAAGTAGTTCATATTACTAATTAATAGGGCCTGACTTTATTCCTTGCAGGCCAGCTCAATCTTTCTGTAGCTTCAATGTTTAAGGTGCCTTATTTTTCTTGATAGTTTATCAACACATCGCCAAGTCCAAATCTGAATAATTGCTGTCTGCTTTTAAGACACCAGCAGGGTCAAAGTAATCTATTGGTAAGATTTTATAATCACCCTTTGGATTTAGACCTCCAAGACTATCATTCCATTTTTACGAAAAACCGATTTAGAACCAAGCTGATTTCTTTTCACTGAAATTGCCCAAGAAGACTCTTCTTTAGTTTCAGCTACTTATAGCTTTTGACCAAGACCAAGGCTGCATCTCAGTCATGGTGGTTCCATACAGTTTTTCCACTGTCTCACTCTAAAAGCTCCGAGCTCCTTTATAACTGTCTCAAAAAGTCTAAACTCATCTGGATGGCACACAACTCACAGCAGACACATGTTTGTGCCTTGTTAATGTTACATAACAGTTCTTTTCCTTATAACATTAACACACTTAAAGCTCTCAATTGGATGTTTTCAACCATTATTTTATTATGAATATTTTCAAGTATATAGAAAAGTTGAAAAAATTATATAGTAAATATCCATATACCAATCACTTACATTCCACAATTTACGTTCTGCAATATTTGCTTTATCACATACTTATCCATTTATCTATTCCTCTCTCTGTTCATTAATGTATTTTATTTTTTGAATCATTTCAAAGTAAGTTGAAAGCATCAGTACACCTCACCCCTAAACAGTTTAACATGTATATCATTAACTGGAAGTTCAACATTTGTTTACCTTCTTTTTCGAGGTAAAATTTACATATAATGAAATGCACATGTCTTAAATGTACCCTTAGAGAAACTTTGACAAAAGCATACCCCTATGTAACTCATTCCCTACTGGTTTTTACCATATCTTCTTCACAACTGGGAAAGTCTGTCACTCATAGTGATTCATAAGCTTTATTTTTTAGCTTTAGCTTTAGAAATTGAAAGGTTATTCCTCTTAAGTTAAAAATGAATTTAGGAAACAGGCTACATGAAAAAACAACATAAAACTTTTTGTTAAAGCAGTATACAGATATCTTGTGGGATAAGATTAATACATTTGTATTGTATTATATGATAGGTGGCTACAGAATTTCTGACCCTGAAAATCCACCACAGCAGATTTCACGACCATTTGAGAAAAAGAAGACTGGGAGACTCGTGCATCCGAGTTTAGCAATAGCTATTATTTTTTATTTCTAAATCTATAAAAAATTTATGTTCTATATTATTAATTCTCATTTGTGATCCCTTGTACAGCAGATATCTCAGGATTCCTCCTCTAGATGTTTCAACACTATATCTAGAAACACATTTTATTTTTATTTTTTGCAGGTAGCATATACTAAAAAGCTTACTTTTGAATGTGCCTACTCCTCTGTCCAAAAGTCTATGCCTTTCTGGGTTTGATTTTATGACTCCTGAATTGCTATATACTATCTCCTAGGTTGCACCTCCAACAGCAATTTTTTTTTTTTTTTTTTTAGACAGAGTCTCACTCTGTTGCCCAGGCTGGAGTGCAGTGGCATGATCTCAGCTCACTGCAACCTCCACCTCCTGGGTTCAAGCAATTCTTCTGCCTCAGCCTCCTGAGTAACTGGGGTTACAGGTGCATTACACCACACCTGGCTAATTTTTGTATTTTTAGTAGAGATGGGGTTTCACCATATTGGCCAGGCTGGTCATGAACTCCTGACCTCTAGTGATCCACCCACTTAGGCCTCCCAAAGTGCTAGGATTACAGGCATAAGTCACCGCACCCGGCCTACCATCAGCTTTTATACAAATCTTAACCACTTTTCCTCCTCACATACGCCACCAAAGAGCACAAGGCTTCAATGGGAAAACTTTTGCTTCTTCTTTTGTCACTGCTTTATTTTATATTTTGGAGATATCTATACATCATTTAAAAGTATCAGGGCTCCAGAAAGGTCTGCAGAAGTAAAATTGTATATATTCAAATTTTACATGTTGGCAAAATTATGTTTGGGTAGGAATTACTGAATTATACCACAAGTTTTATAAGTGTAAAATATGTGCAAATATGTACGCTATTTACCATATATCTCAGGTTATACAAACAGTAAATGCCTGACTGCATTGATTCTTTCTGATAAATTGCTTTGTAGAATCTTTTACACACTGATTTTTTTCAAAATTTAAGATACTGACAGAAACTGAATATTTAGTTCCTCTAGATATTGATCCAAGCCTCGTATAGAAACAAAATAAGACTTTCTATAAATGCTCATTAATGAACAGATTTTTGGGCCCCAGTGTGGCATTTTCCACCCACTCTGTGTCCTTACTACATTCTCAGCTGCCGTGACTCCTGCCACAATCTCCTGTGTATCTCACCGCTTTCCTGAGGGAGCTGGGTATCCTGGCGGGTCCAAAGCAGCTGGCTTGGTGGTCCTGAACTCTCATCCAACAGCACAACCTATTGCAAGACACAGAATGAATTCAGGAAAGTTATGAAGGTGAGAAAAATACATAGGAAGATGCAAGCAACCATACAGGTCTATCCACAGAAACTGTCTCCCAGAAATACCAAAAGAAGGGAGAAAATAATGGACTCAGTTCCTAATACCTTATGAAAACTAGAAATGGCATCTACAACTACAAAGCTTTAATGATCACCAGGTCAAGCAGCAAAAACAGTATCTAGGAGGAGACACCTCCAACAGTATCTAGAGTCAGACACACCTCCACTCACACTGCTTTCCTTCTTTCTTGGACTCACTTCTCCTTCTTCCTCCTTGTGATGTATCACAGACCCTCCTCTTCTTACCTCCTGCATCTTTTTACTCAGGTTTCTTTAACAGTCTTCCACTGCTGTCCTGGTTTCTTCCTACTGGTCAGATCCAGTTCTCAAACAAGCTGTGAAGTGGCTCCAGTTGATGCCAGCCTCCTTTGGAGAACACATGTTTTGGTGGTGCCAGCCAAAGGGCCCTTCTTGACCCACAGTGCCGCTACTGTTTGGCTTAATGTGTCAAACACTGCCCTGGATTTGGGGTTCATTAGCAACACTAAACCGCTGTGATCTCACATCTTGTTTCCCTGCATATTTGGTGAAGGGAAAAGAGGAATGTGACCACAGGAAAAAATAGGGAGTCACTGAGAACCTGAGGCACGAAGTCAAACTGAAAATGTGAACATATCCAGAATACAATCTCAACGGCTACCACCCTTGTCTGAGCCACCATCACCTGCTATCTCCCCTCCTTTCCATTACTGCGGTAGTCTTCTAACTGGTCTCCTTTCTTCAATCCTTGCCTTCCTCCTTTCTTTTTTTTTTTTTTTTTTTTTTTTTTTGAGACGGAGTCTCGCTCTGTGGCCCAGGCGGGAGTGCAGTGGCGCAATCTCGGCTCACTGCAAGCTCCACCTCCTTTCTTAATAGGGCAGTCTGAGTAGTCCGTTTACAACTTGAGTTGGATCATTTCATCGCTCTGCTGAAAACTCTCCAGTGGTTCATACTTAAAATAAAACCTGAAGTCCTTACCGAGGTATACAAGGCCCTACTGAATGTGCCCGTGACTTCTAACTTCCTCTCCTGCTCACCCAAAATAAGAGCTGAAGTCTTAAGAGTGGCATACAAGTCTACAGGATGTGTCATTCTCAACACCTTCTACTCTTCTCCCACTCCCTCAATCTTCAGCCATACCGACCTTCCTTCTCTTTCATCTTAGGGCCTTTCCATTGGCTGCTCCCTTCACCTTAAGCGATCTCCATGGCTAATAATCTTGCCTCCTTCAAGTGTTTTCTTATAGGTCATCTTCCCAAGGAGGTCTACTCTGAGTGCCTTATTTAAAATTGCAGCCTATCCCCTCCTTCCAATCCTGATGGGCCTTACCTTGCTTTACATGAATTCTTCTTTTCCTCTATAGCACTTTATAATTTTCCAGTATGGTGCATAAGTTACTTATTAATATATACATTGTTTACGGTGGTTCTACCTTCGCTAAAATTTAGGCTCTTAGGCTCCATGAGGGCAGGAATTTTTGTCGTCTTGTTCACAGTTGTATTCTCAACGCCTAAAACAGCGCTTGCAATAGTATGTGCTGGATTAAAAATTAGCTGACTGAATGAATATATGAATGGATGCTGTAGAGAAGAATAAAAAGAATGGGTCAGGAGGCGACAAGAGCAAGACTCCGGTCTCAAAAAAAAAAAAAAAAAATGGGTCACGAGCCCCTGGGAGGAGGTAGGGCAAATGGGCGGGAAATGCTCATTTTGGGGAATGGCTTCGAGGGAGGAAACCGCAGCCGACTCCCTCCTCAAATCTGGCCCCAAAGACCCGCCCCTGCCTGCAACCCCAGGGGCCCGGGTATTTAGGTGAGGGGGGCGACGGCGGCACCGGACTCCTCTCCTCTCAGCTGCAAATTCCGACCCACGACGGCCCAAGGCACAGACCTTCCCGCCGGTACTCTCCCCAAGAAATGAGAAACAGAAATATACAGAAGCTCCACTTCCTAGTCCGCCAATTATCATTTCCGGTGATTTTCTAGGAAAGGCGTCAACTCTCTGGTCTAGGCGTTCCCTTAAACTCTCCGCCCTCCTCCTCGCGGCTCAGCCTTCTAGGAGTTTGCGTGCGTTTATGGCCTGTGCAAAGGGGTTGCAGAAATATTACCCTTTTGCTCCTTTTTTCCCATGTAGAGGAACCTCTAGATAGGAATGGACAGAAGTTTTGTGACAAATATATGAAAAAGTTACTTTTAAATATTAACTAAGAACACAAATAATTGAATGTCTTTTTCAAAAGTAAAGACTATTTTAAGCCTATGCAGAAGTCGAAAGAAGAGTATAATTAACCCATATATACCCATCATTTACATTTAAAAATACATAAAATTCTGCCACACTTGTTTCATCCATCTCCATTTTTTCTTGCTGAAACGTTTTAAAGCAAACCCCAAATATCTTACTTTCAACTTCATTATGCATTTATTTTAAAAAGGATATTTTCCTACAGAATCACAATACCATTATCCCATTTAACAAAATAATTCCTGGTTATCATCTAATACCAAGTCCATATTATATTTCCCTAAATATATACATATGCTTCTTACATTTGTTTTCTATTTCATTCAAGATCTAAAGTTCCAGTATTTAATTTGGGCATGTGTCTTAATTCTTTTAAAATTCACATCTGAACTAGTTCCTCCTTCCATCCTCCTCTTCGTCTTCCCCTCATATAGTCAACTAATTGAACAAATTGGGACATTTGTCCTGAATGTTCTACATGCTGGCTTTGTCTATTTGTGTCCCCATTTTATTAGTTTCTCTAGCCTCATATTTCCTGTAAAACTTGATGTTACCTCTAAAGGTTTGATTAAAGTTAGGTTTAACTTTGTTAGTAAGAATCCTTAGGTGGTGCTATGTACTTTTTGCCACACATCAGGAAGCATATAATGTTTTTGATGCTAAGATTGACCAGTGGGTTTAATACTTGATAGCTGAATCCTTCCATGTAAACTTTCCCACTGGCTTTTAATCTGATAGATTCAGCCACCCCATTTCATTAGAGTTTGTAAAATTGTAATTTTTCTAATTCAATAATTTTTTCACATTTATTAGTTAGAACTCCTCTATAAAGAAAAACTTTCCTTCATCAATTTAGCAATTTAGGGCTATTTGGTTATCCTGAAATGTAGTTTGTACAGGAAAGAAAGACTGTTTAATTTTCAACATAATTGCCAATTTTCAGAAAAAGCAGTTGTGCCTTAGGTGCCATCAATGGTAACCACCTTACAAAATGTGATAGCCATCCTATAAAATGGCTAGCTGGGCCCTACTGTCCAGCATTCACATCCTTGTGTAGCCCCCTTCCACATTGTACCAGGGTTGGTTTGTGTGACTGAATGATCTGGTAAAAGTGATGCTATGTTTTGTTTGTTTGTTTGTTTGTTTGTTTTGTTTTTTGAGACAGAGTCTTGCTCTGTTGCCCAGGCTGGAGTGCAGTGGCGCGATCTTGGCTCACTGAAATCGCCACCTCCCGGGTTCAAGTGAGTCTCCTGCCTCGGTTTCCCAAGTAGCTGGGACTATAGGCATGCATCAGCATGCCCAGCTAATTTTTATATTTTAGTAGAGATAGAGTTTCGCCATGTTGGCTGACTGGTCTTAAACTCCTGGCCTCAAGTGATCTGCCCACCTTGGCCTCCCAAAGTGCTGGGATTACAGCCATGAGCCACCGCACCTGGCCGATGCTACATTATCTCTAATATTAGGTTATAAAATAATCTACGGCTTCTGTTTTGGTCTGTTTTTCTTTCGTAGATCACACACCCTTGGGAAAGCCAAATGCCATGTTGTAAGGAGAGGCCCAGGTGGTGAGGAACTGAAGCCTCCTGCCAGCAGACACATGAGTGAGTTTGGAAGTGGATCTTTCTACCTTAGTCAAGCTTTCAGATGACTGCAGCCCTGGTTGATGTCTTGGGTGCAACCTTATGACATACGCAGGACCACCAGCCAAGCTGCTCCCAGATTTCTGGTCTTCAGAAGCTGGGGAATGGCTTTGAGGGAGGAAACTGCAACAGATGTTTGGTTCTAAGTTTTATAACTAATGCAAAATTTTGTTTTCTCTTTTTGTGCATCTAATGTGCACTAATGTAAAATCTTTTTGTGCAACTAATGCAAAATTTTGTTTTCTCTTTTTGTGCACAACATCAAGTGTTCTGCATCAGTTGATAACTAATGCAAAATTTTGTTTTCTCTTTTTGCATATCAATATGAACACATGGATTTAAAAAAATACATTCAATGAGTCTCAATCAATTGCAGTAGTTATTCTTTTTAATGTTCAAATTATTTCATCTTTGGTCAGTGGGAGTCCCTTTATTTTATCTCCTGTGTCCTTTTCATCCAACTCTAAGCGTCTTTGCTTTTTTCCTTTATGGCAAGATAAATGTTTCAGACACATGTCATACATTTCCTGCCTCAGACCTGGAATCAGCCATTTTTCCAAGGTGTTCTGGTGCTTTCAGTGGGGGCAAGGATTGCATACCTTTGTGAATAGTCATGGTTAGCTGTTTTAAAAATGTATCAAAATGAAATAAAATTTGCTTAATTATGAGATTAAATCCTGGCTACCCCACTCACAATGTGTGTGTATCATACCTTAGACCCACCCTAGTTTGTCTATCTGCAAAATGGGTCCAGTGTAAATACCTAAATTTCAGAGCCGTTATAAGGATAAATTAGTTAATACGTGGAAATCACTTAACACATTGCCTGGCATCAAATTTCATGATGAGAATAACTGCAAACCTGGAAGATACTATAATGGTAATGAGGTATACTTTCTTCATTTTATACTTGAGAAAATTGAGGCCCAAGAGATTAAAAACTTGTTTGTACAAAAGAGGATAAAATTAGAAGAGAATCTAATGATTTCAGACTCTTGGATCTCATACCTAGACTACTTTGGATATAAATGCAGCCTTTCCAGCCCAGTCGGGTCTTCTATTTATTCAAAGACAAAGGAGGTAAGAAAATACTTGGCACAGTAGCAATAAAGTGGTATTATGGGAAGTGCAGAAACTTTATATTGAGAAGATCTTGTTCCTGATTCTGCAACTTGTTAGCTATGATACTGTGAGCAAGTTACTTAATTTCTCTGTGTCTTAATTGCTGCATCTGTAAAATAGTGAAAACAAATCCCTTATGCACAAATTCATTGTGAGAGGGTTAATATACATATATTGTATATGAAAATGCCTGGCCATATTGCTTGCTGAATAAAAATCATTATACAAAAATAATTTCTTCAATCCCCCAATTTTATAAAATTTTATTCTCATCTAATGGAAATTGGCATTTTAAGTAGAATGATCCCTAAGGATACTAAGTCTATAATTTTGTAAAGGACTTTAGTGAATACTGTGCAAAGGCACTGTGCAAGGAGCTACAGGAGAGATGCTATGCGTGGTCATCTACCTTCCAGGCTGACTGGGTACAGTCTTTCTTCCCAATATTAATCTACTTAATAGTAATAATGTCCAGTTCACATATTTTTGTGCAATACATTCATGAAAGACTGCTATACCCTTTGCTGTTATAAAGATACTTCCACAGTAGACTGTTAGCATATACTTTAATAATCTAGTTGGATTAAGAGACATTTATTTACATTATTTCCTCTAGGCTAACCACAATCGCTCATAAAACATCTCCTAAAATAATTAATACTGGAATTTTACCAGGGATCCATGTCAAATTTTTCACCCTGTTAATTCCACAGTTCACCTTCTTACTTTTTGAAAATTTGGATATTTGTCAGACTTGGGCATTTGTTGCACTACTCAAAAATGGGCTTCAGGGGTCCTGTGGCCAATCCTCCTGAACTTTAGTATGCTTTAAGCTGGGCATGAAAACTTGTAGTTACTGTTTAACTACCTTCCTTATGTAAATGTTTGTCCTATCATTCTCAACTTGAAGGTCACGACACTTGATGGAGATATGAAAGCCTGATAATGTTAAGTAATTTTATGGCCCTTCTGCCATCTGTCAAAATTACAAAATTCATTTCCTGGGGCTTTTGAAAAAAATAGCAAATATTTCAGGCATACTAAAGAGTAATATAAAGAACACTCAACATCTAGCTTAAGACATAAAAGATTATATACACAATTAAATCACCATGTCTACTCCTCACCAATTCCTTCCCCCTTCCTTCCCAGGTTAACTACTATCTTGATTTTGATGTTATTATTCCCATGCATGTTCACATATTTTTAGTACATACGTGGGTAGCCACAAATATTATATAGTATAATTTACATGTTTTACAAATTTTATACAAATAGTTTCAGTTTGTACATATCCTTTGAGCTCTAAATACTTGATTTCATTTTGGTTCAATATTTTTGGCAAGAATACATTATAGGGGTTACTATGTAATTTGTACTCAACTTTACATGTAGTTTTGAGATTTATCCTTCATGAAAAATGTGGCTCTAGCTCATCCATTTTAACTGCCATAGACAGGTCTTCCCATTTTCCTTCCAATAATCTTTTTAATTAACCTGATTGTTTTTCAGTTCAACTCAGAACTTGCTAGCAAGTATTTTTTTTGTCTTTGATATTTCATTTAAAAAATATTGGCAATCTTTTTGAAATAATTGTTTTCTTGGAATTTTCCCTTCTAAAAGGGTAATTTCCCATAATTTTTGGTAGAAAGTTTATATTCTAATATGGGAAAGAACAATCTAAAAAGTATTTACTATGGTACATAGAGGAAACTTAAATGCATATTATTAAGTGAAAGAAGCCAATTTGAAAAGGTTACATTCTGTATGATTTCAACTATATGACATTCTGGAAAAGGCAAAACTATGGAGACAGTAAAAAGATCATATATGTAGCATCTTAACCAAAGAAAAAAAAGTTCAGTGGTTGTCAGGGGTTGGAAGTGGAGAAGGATGACCAGGCCGAGCACAAAGGGTATTTTTAGGGCAGTGAAAATACTACGTATGATTATGTAATGGTGGATACATGCCACTATACATTTGTCCGGACTCCAGGTGATTGTCAATGTAGGTTCACCCCTCCGGTTGGGGATGCTGAGAGTGAGAGAGCTACACATGTGTGGAGCAAGGAGTATGGGACATCTCTGTACTTTCAGCTCAATTTTGCTGTGAACCTAAAACTGCTCTAAAAGATAAAATCTAGTAAAAAAAGTATTTATTACTTCCCCAAACTTTTAAATATATCTTTTGTGTTTAACCTTATTACTTACATAGATGGAACAATTTTCTGTTCAAGGTTCTGCTCATAATCATTATATTGAAACATAACATGATAAAAATATATTATAGAAAAATACCATATATTGGAAATATATTCTTGAAAATACAGAATACATTACTTATAACGTATGCTTGTTGGCCCTCATGATCCTAAAAGTTATAGCACATTTAAATGTATGTGACTTATGGTTCTTTTTAAAATAAAGCTACTGAGAACAGTCAAATGGTGATAGATCAGTCAAAGCTGCTTTGCGTCCATTTTGTTCAGACTCATTTCAATTCATTCTTCAACAAATATTTCTAAAAGCAACTGTACTAAGAGCTTGGAATAACATGAATGTACAAAACGGTTAAAGATCTCTGCCCCGTGGAGCTTATATTCAAGTAATTCTAATTGACTCGTGCTTTCATTTTCTTTGTTTTTCTCTTTGTATACTGAAGAGGATAAATTTCATATTCAAGCTAATCTGTTCCTCCCAAATGGTAACAGTGCAACACTGGCCAAGCTGATTCAGACAGCACAGCTTCCCGGTGTCTGCAGGGCTGGACCAAAGAGAAGAGTCTTCCGCGGGTGCTAGAAAAGCGAAGCACGCGTTACCATGGAGACTGCGGAATGGAAAAGCGTTCGGTTTCTTGTTTCCTAGCCGCGAATGGGGTCGTGGTTCCTTCGACCTCGCCTGGGGAGAAAGGGGACGGAGGGCTTCGGGCTATACTTGGGCCACACAGCCGGGAAGCTGAGGCCGCGGGGCAGGTCTGCGTGGCGGCGTCGAGTCCGAGCGGGGAAGCCCCTTTGCGGGAACTCTGGGGCGGGGCGGGGCGGGGAGGTGGGTAGGGAGGGTCCCGCCAGCAGAGGCATCTTATTTTTAACCTCTTCTCGGCTGTTTTTCTCTCGTCCATTTGCTCTCCTCCTTTAAGCCATCCTTTAATATTAAACATTAAAAAATATATTTGGCAAACATTTGAATAGAGCGCGCTTATTCTGGGTCAGGTGTCGTTTTAAATGCTTTATGTGTGCTAACTCATTTAATTCTCAAACAATCCAATGGGGTAAGTATTATCATTATCCCAATTTTTAGATAGGCCTGGAGAAGATAATAAACTTGCCAACAGTGTCACAGCTGGTAAGTTGAGGGTGGGAAACCCCGGCCTAACACATATATTTTCTTTTTATGTTCTGTAAGGATTGGGATCCTTTTCATTTTATTAGACAGAAAAGGACAGTTAGCACTGTCATTGAACCCTCAACATGGTATGATCTCTTGAGAAGATTAAGCAGCCATTTGGTGGCAGATTGATCACTTTGAACCCTTTCTATTAATACCTTGCAGTGGGCAGAGACTCATCCTTATAGGGATTTGTATGTATTCCAGGTATAATTTTGCTTCCCTGTCTCCAATGCCCCTGCTAATACTACCCAAGGACTCACAATGTCTGATGTACTGACATGGAACCTTGCCTTACATCTCAGACCAAGGGACTCACTTTACTGTGAAGGATGTGTTACAAAGGGCACATGATCATGGGATCTACTGGTCCTACCTTATTCTATATTACACAGAAATGGCAGCCTGTTTTTCCCCAGCTTTGCCAACATAATAATTAGCAAAACTTTTTAATTATATGATAATATATTTCAGGAAGAAAACACTGACAACCGTGAAATTCAAACTAGATAGTAGAGAAACTGGAATTGGGGAGACCAGTTAGAAAGCGGTTTGGAAACAAAGATACACATGAGTTTTAAAGCTGTGGGCTAATGTAGATGTTGATGTGATTATAAGTCTCTGTTAAAAGAGTTAGGGTGAGGTTTGAGGTGGTTTTAGATTATTATTTTTGCTAAAGAACCCAGAAATGACTAAGTTTATCCCTGTCAATCACTTCTGACACTCTACTCATATCATGTTCCTAAGGAAGTTGAACAAAAGGAGCGATAGCCAAATGGGACTAACTATAATAGCTAATATTTATTGAGTACTTATTAATACTGTACTAAAGATATTGTGTGCTACATTTTACTTAATATTCTATGGGGCAATAAGCAGAACTATTCAGAAATGATCCTGGGATCTCACTCTAGATTGCCCAGGAAATGTGCTAGCTACAACTGGAGTTTCCCGTTCCTCTTGGAAAGAGGGGCTGCACCTACGTATAGCTTTGCATGAGACCAGCTGCTTACACTTTCTAACACGAAGGGGCTGCAACTGTCCATAGGATGCATGGTCTCCAGGTGTTGGGCATCTGGTCCTCAGATGCTTCCTCAGCTCTGCTAGCATCTAAACCCAGACTGCCCGGCAATCAAGTAGTCTGCTTGTTGTCTTACTGAAAAGTGGTGTTCAAGTTTATCCTTGACAAGATAGAATAATTGGGTCAGGACCAGAGCCCCAACCTATTGCATGTGAAATGGCTTGTTCTTGCCCCTGGTTCACCTCTCCATGGGATTATGAGAGGATTGAGAACTCTATGCCTCTTGTGCCTGACTCTTGCTTTCTAAGTTTCCCCAGTAAATCTTATTCCCATTCCTTCGTTCATACTATGTGATGTTGTAGAATTTATTGCAAGGCCCATTGTACCACATCCTTGCAGCAAATTTATGACTCAGAAATTACTATTTCTATCTTAGAGATGAGGAATATGAGACAGAAAAAGTCACATAGCAGGTAGGTGGTAGGATTTGAAACCAAGTCATCTAGTTCCTGAGCCCATGATCTCAAAAACTTTGTTAAACTAAATGGAACTACTAATTTATAAAGAGCTAAGTGAGTGCTCAGATAATCAAATAATCACCCATGGAGAAGTTCAAATCTCTTGCAGAAGTTCAGATCTCTGTTGGAGCATGTAGCCTAGATTTAACCTCCAGTGGTGCCTTTAACTTTGTCCTAAGTCTTAGGCTTGTGTCAACTGCTGGCCAGCTACATGGAGGAAATAAGTTGAGAAAAAGCAGGAAGCAACATGGCTGGGTCTACAGAGAAGATCCAAGTTTAGCTGTCTCATGCTCTTTGGGCCCAGAGGAGAGGAAAAGCAAGACAAAGTCTTAAACTTTCCACCAGATATCAAGACCTTGTTGATGTCCTAGAACATGACCAATCAGATTAATGATGGCTCTACCTGGGAAGAGTAGCTGAGAAAGGATTAAGTTGAGGCAGGCCTGGTGTGGGCAGATGTTGTTGAATGTTTCCCACTACCCCTTCCAGCCCACTGGAAGAATGGGTTTTTTAAAAAAACATACACTCAAGATGAGCTCTATTAGTCATTTCCTCATCTCACTTATTATTCCAGTTAAACCAAGGCTGAAGGACAGAAAGATCACAAACTTATTAATCTCTGGACAAACCTAGCTCAGGGCCAGAATCAGGAGGGTGAATCTCAGGAGGCTGTAACCCAACTGATTGCAAATAGGATTTTGGAATAACAGTTTCTGAGGTGTCACAAAGAACTGTCAGCCCTTGTGTCTGTTCTCTAATAGAATTTTTACTTTCTTCTATGATCCCAAATTTCATAAACTCATACTATAACTAGGAAGTAGGCAGAAATGTCCTTTTGATGAACCAAATAATCAGAAACTTTTCTAATAATCCTCTTTGTGTATTTTTCCAGCCACAGAACTGAGTCATTCATTACCCAAAGCTAAACCCTGCCTACATGGTAACGCTTTTGTAAATGGGATTCTTTCTCTCTGACATCCCTTTTTCCTGCAGTCCCTTATACCCTCTCAATACCAGTGTGGCTCAAGGGGCCTTCAGTTCTGTCCTAATTCAGTCTCACATTCAAGCTGCACCTCCTTAGGCACCAGAATGCGAGAGAAGGTTGTTCCTTCAGGGAATATTTTCTTTTGGCAGGGCCATGTCACTGAGTCAGGCTTACTAATTATGTCCCAAGGTGGGCTCAGCCTCTGGCCCTTCAAGGAGCTTAGAGAGCTCTGGAGAGCTAAAGGACGCAATTCCACTCAGTTCCCCTAGGGACTTGTTTTGTTACGACCCTGTAGCGGTTGCCGCCAGCCTCCCGTCCCCGGACAGCGCGCCTCTTTCCTCCGCGCGGAATCTCGCCTTGCCGAGAGGTGACAGCGTGGTGCCAGGCCTCGCTCGCTCTCCGCGCCTCCTCGGCCTCGGCGCCCACTCTGGCCGCGCTCGAGGAGCCCTTCAGCTTGCCGCTGCACTGTGGGAACCCCTCTCTGGGCTGGCGAGGCCGGCTCCCTGTTTGCGGGGAGGTGTGGAGGAAGAGGCGGGAACTCTCTTGCGGGCCAGTGCGAGTTCCGGGTGGGCGCGGGTTCCGGGGGCCCCACACTCGGAGCGGCCGGCCGGCGCCACCGCTCCGGGCAGTGAGGGGTTTAGCACCCGGGCCAGCAGCTACGGAGGGGGCGCTGGGTCCCCTACCGCTGCCGGCCCACCCGCGCCGCGCTCGCGTGCTTCAGCCGCCTCCTCGCGGGGCAGGGCTTGGGACCTGCAACCTGCCATGCCCGAGAATTCGCGGTGGGCTCCTGCGCCGCCGGAGCCTCCCCGACGATTGCCGCCCCCTGCTTCACGGCTTCCCGTCCCATCCACCGCCCAAGGGCTGAGAAGTGCGGGCGCACGGCGCGCGGGACTGGCGGGCAGCTCCGCCTGCGGCCCGGGTGCAGGATCCACCAGGTGAAGCCAGCTGGACTCCTGAGTCTAGTGGCGACTTGGAGAACCTTTATGTCTAGCTAAGGGATTGTAAATATACCAATTAGCACTCTGTATCTAGCTAAACTGGTGGGGACTTGGAGAACCTTTATGTCTAGCTAAGGGATTGTAAATACAGCAATCAGCACTCTGTGTCTAGCTCAAGGTTTGTAAACAAACCAGTCAGCACTCTGTGTCTAGCTAATCTGGTGGGGACTTGGAGAACCTTTATGTCTATCTAAGGGATTGTAAATACACCAGTCAGCACTCTGTGTCTAGCTCAAGGTTTGTAAATACACCAATCAGCACTCTGTGCCTAGCTCAAGGTTTGTAAATGCACCAATCAGTGCTCTGTGTCTAGCTAATCTAGTGGGGACTTCGAGAACTTTTGTGTCTAGCTCAGGGATTGTAAACACACCAATCAGCACCCTGTCAAAACGGACCAATCGGCTCTCTGTAAAATGGACCAATCAGCAGGATGTGGGTGGGGCCAGATAAGGGAATAAAAGCAGGTTACCGGAGTTGGCCATTGTAATTTGTTTTGTCCTGTTTCACATTGTGGTGGTTTTATTTTTTACTATTAGCTGCTTGGATCTGCATTTTGTTTTGTGAGGTGTAACACTGTGAGGGCCTGTAGTTTCACTCTTGAGGTCAGCGAGGCCACGAACCCACCTGGAAAAACAAACAGTTCCAGATATGCCGCCTTAAGAGCTGTAACACTCATTGTAGAGGTCTGCGGTTTCACTTCTGAAGCTAGCTAGTCGACGAACCCACCAAAAGGAACAAACTCCAAACACGTCTGACTATCAGAAGGAACAAACTCCAGACACGTTTTTTAGAACTAACACCCTGAGGGTCTGCAGCTTCATTCTAGAATCATGCCAAGAACTCACAAATTTCTGACACATTGCTTTTCCGCAGGAGGTTGCGGGAAGACGTACAAGGAAGGGTCGGGATGGTGCTTGAGGTGGTCAGAGCCACACCCAGGGCTGCATTCTCATCAGAGACACCTCTAAGTTACTGCGAAGTCGGAGACACCAGAAAGGAAGACTCCAACGTATTCCGAGAGGAGTGGAGGCAAATGGGATAGACTAGCCCTCCCGCCCGGGATCCCGCGTCTCGGGGAACGGAGACCCGGGCACACGCCACTTGCTTGCTGGGAGGTTCCTTACAAGTTACATAGAGGGGGAGCTTTTCCTGGCCAAACGTGGGTTATTCTCGTTCTCCCTTCCCCACACTGTCGCAGAGGAGGAAGACGTCTTGGTCGCCGTTAAGAGCTAAAACGAACGCCAAGGCTCTAAGTGGCCCTGGGGTCCAGGCTCGCCGGAGGCACCAGCGTGTGCAGGCCCGGAGCGCCGTCTTCTGGGCGAGGAGTGTCATTAGTAACACTTTATGTTGCGGATAGGTGAAAGAAAAACTGACGCTTCGGAGATGGGGGTGCCCAAAGAGGAAGAGAGAACAGCGATTAGGGCCTTAAACCTCACACCCGAACAAATTCGGCCGGAGTTACTGAGCGGCAGGCTCTCTGATGGAGATGGGTGCTTTCAGACTTAAGACGTGAAAACAAAGATCAGCCACTCATGAACGAACTCAAGGCTCACTGAGATGCAACTGCCATGAAGAAGTGGGTGCAGGGTGAGAGGTCTGTCTACCTCCTTAGAAGGACCACTGTGGCTTGTGCAGAGATCCGAAGTTTGTTCTCATTACAATGGGGACGGTGAGTGCTAGTAATGTGGACCATTTTTCAATAGCGCCACCTTGTGGCAGTGACAAAATGGCCGTAGTGGACTTGGGCTCAGGTGCTTTCTTGAGTGTGCAAACTGGTAAGAACTAATTTTTTGAATCAGATTTGGGGATTATTCAGGCAGAAGGGGATCCCTAAATGGAAACACTGACATTTTAATACTGCAAGTGGGGGATGATGAACAGACAAATAACAAGCAATGGGGGGCCACATTTGTGTTCAGAATTCATGGAACTTTTTTTTTTGATTTTTCTATTTCTCATTTTTTTAATGTATGTATTTTGAGGGTACATGTAATATTTTGATACATAACGTATAAAGGTCAAAGATAAGGATAATTTGTGTGTGTGTGTATATATATGTATAAACTTAAATGTCCTTTTTGCTTGGAACGTTCAAATTTTTTTCTAGTTATATCTAAATATATATCAAGCAATCTTTTAGATATTTTGAAATGTCTAACATTATTTTGAGACAGAGTCTAGCACTGTCACCCAGGCTGGAGTGCAATGGCGTGATCTCGACTCACTGCAACCGCTGCCTCCTGGGTTCAAGCGATTCTCCTGCCTCAGCCTCCCAAGTAGCTGGGATTACAGGCATACGCCATCACACCGGGCCAATTTTTATATTTTTAGTAGAGGCGGGGTTTCACCATGTTGGTCAGGCTGGTCTTGAACTCCTGACCTCGTGATCGGCCACCTCTGCCTCCCAAAGTGCTGGGATTACAGGCGTGAGCCACCGCGCCCAGCCAGAAGTGTCTAATAGATTATAGTCACCCTACTGATCTATTGAACTCTGGTTGTCTTTCTTCTACCTAATTGTATACTTATACCGTTTAACCAACCTCTCTTTATCCCACGTCTTCCCTCCTCTTTCCAGGCCCTGATAACCACCATTGTACTCCCTAGCTTCATGAGATCTTCTGTTTTAGCTCCCACATAGGAGTGAGAACATGCAGTATTCATGAATCACACTCATCATGAGCGATCTTCTTGGTTGTTGAATTGGGGTTGCTAGTTATTTTGAGAATTTTTGTATCTATGTTCATCAGGGATTTTGGCCTGTAGTTTTGTTTTTGATTTGATTTCTGACACAGATTTTGCTGTATCCTTGTCTGGTTTTCACATCAGGGCAATGCTGGCCTTGTAGAATGAGTTTAGAGGAATACCCTCCTCTTCAATTTTTTTTAAAAGAGTTTGAGTAGAATTGGTATCAGTTCTCTAAATATTTGCTAGAATTCAGCAGTGAGGCCATAATGTCCTGGGCTTTTCTTTGATGAGAGACTTTATTAAGGCTTCAATTTCATTACTCATTATTGGTTTGTTAGGGTTTCTATTCATGGTTCAATCTTAGTACGTTGTATATGTTTAATAATTTATCCATTTTTTCTATGTTTTCCAATTTGTTGGTGTATAGTTGTTCATATTCTCTGATTCTTTGTATTTTTGTGGTCTGTTATATCTCTTTTTTTTTCTTTCTGATTGATTTATTTGGGTTTCTCTTTTTTAGTCTAGGGAAAGGTTTGTTAATTTTGTCTATCTTCAAAAAATCAACTTTTCATTTCATTGATCAAATGTATTTATGTTTTAGTTTCAATTTCATTTATGTCTGTTCTGATATTTATTTCTTTCTACTAATTTTGGATTTGGTTCATCCTTGCTTTTTTGAGTTCCTTGAGATCCATTTTTAGGTTGATTATTTGAAGTCTTTTCCCTTTTTTGATGTAGGTGTTTATTGCTATAAAGTTATTGTTATGCTGTATTCTGTAGGCTTCGGTATGTTGTATATCTATTTTCACTAGTTTCATGAAATTTTTAAAATTTTCTTAGCTTATTCATTGACCCATTGGTTGTAGGAGCATGTTGATTTCCATGTGTTTGTATAGTTTCCAAGGTTCCTCTTGTTGATTTCTGGTTTTATTCCATTGTGATCAGAAAAGATACTTGATATAATTTTTACTTTTTTGAATTTGCTGAGACTTCTTTTGTGACTTAAGATATGGTCTGTTCTGGAGAATGTGCCATGTGCAAGTGAAAAGAATGTGTACTCTGTAGCAGCTGGGTGAAATGTTCTATAAATGTCAGGCCTACTTGGTCTAGTGTGTAGCTTAATTCCAATGTTTCTTTATTGATTTTCTCCCTGGATAATCTGTTACTGAAAGTGAGGTGTTGAAGTCCCTACTATTATTATATTGGAGCCTATCTCTCCCTTGAGATTTATTAATGTTTGTTTTACATATTTGGATGCTCTGGTGTTGGGTGCACAGATATTTATAATTTTTAATATCCTCTTGATGAATTGACCCCTTCATCATTATATAGTGACCTTTTGTCACTTTTTACATTCCTTGACTTGTAGTCTGTTTTATCTGATATAAGTATACCTAATCCTGTTCTCTTTGATTTCCACTTGCATGGAATATCTTTTTCCATAAATTCACTTTCAACTTATGTATGTCCCTATAGGCAAGGTGGGTTCTTGTAGCACCACATAGTTGGGTCTCGTCTCTTTACCCATTTAACTTCTATACATCTTTTAATTGGAGAATTTGGTCCATTTATATTCAGTGTTATTATTGATAAGTAAGGACTTATGACTGCCATTTTGTTGCTTGTTTTCTGGTTGTTTTGTAACGTCTTTCTTCCTTTATTCTTTTGCTACTGTATTTCTTTGTGGTTAAGTTATTTTCTCTGGTAGAATGCTTTAATTCACTGCCTTCTATTTTTAGTGTATTAATTACAGATTTTTGCATTGGGGTTACCATGAGGCTTACAAAACATATCTTATAGCTACTTTGTTTTATTATTACTTATTATTCTGATACAGGGTCTCTGTCACCCAGGCTGGAGTGCAGTGGTGAGATCTTGGCTTACTGCAGCCTCTACCTTATTGAACTCAGGCAATCCTCCTACCTCAGTCTCCTGAGTAGCTGATACCATAGACACATGCCACCATAGCCAGCTAAGTTTTGTATTTTTTGTAGAGATGAGGTTTTGCCATGTTGCCCAGAGTGGTTTTGAACTCCTGAGCTCAAGTGATTAGCTAGCCTTGGCCTCCCAAAGTGCTGGGATTACAGGCATGAGCCATGGCGCGCAGCTGATATTTTACAAAGATGACAACTTAACTTTGATCACAAAGAAAAGACTAGAAACAAACAAAAAAACTTAAATAACCCCCACAAAACCCTGCCCTTTAACTCTATACCCCTACATCTTGACTTTTTGTTGTCTCGGTTTACATATTTTTATATTGTCTATCTCTTAGCAGGTCACTGTAGCAATTATTGTTTTTGATAGGTTTGTCTTTTAGATTTCATACTACAGTTATAAATGGATTGCACACCACAATTAGAGTATTAGAGTATCCTGGGTATGTCTTGTACTTAATGTTACCAGTGGTTTTTTTCCTCAAATATTTTCTTTATGCATGTTAGCATCTTTTTCTCTTAGATTGAAGGACTTCATTTGCCATTTATTTTAAGATAGGCCTGGTGGTAGTGAATTCTCAGCTTTTGTTTGTCAAGGAAAGATTTTATGTCTTCTTCATGTTTGAAGAATAGCTTTTCTGGTACATTAATCTTGGATGGCGGTTTTATTTCTTTTAGCACTTTGAAAATGCCATCCCACATCTACCTGGCCTGTATAGTTTCCATTGAGGAGTCTGTTGCCAGAATAATTGGAGCTCTTTGTATGTTATTTACTTCTTTTCTCTTGCTGCTTTTATTTTTTATTTTATTTTATTTTTTTTGAGACTGAGTTTTACTCTTGTCACCCAGGCTGGAGTGCAATGGTGCTATCTCGGCTCACTGCAACCTCTGCCTCCCGGGTTCAAGCGATTCTCCTGCCTCAGCCTCCTGAGTAGCTAGGATTACAGGCACCCACTACCATGCCCCACTAATTACTGTATTTTTAGTGGAGACAGGGTTTCACCATGTTGGCCAGGCTGATCTCGAACTCCTGACCTCAGGTGATCCACCTGCCTTGGCCTCCCAAAGTGCTGGGATTATAGGCATGAGCCATGGTGCCCAGCCAACTTTTGTAATCCTCTTTGTCCTTGACCTTTGAGAATTTGATTATTGTATGTCTTGGGGTGGTCTTATTTGGGTTGAATCTGTTTCATGTTCTCTAATCTTGTACCTAGATACTTATATATTTCTTAAGTTTGGAAAGTTTTGAGTTATTTCTTTGGATAAGCTTTCTAATTTTTGCTCTTTCTGAATTCCCTCTTGAGCACCAATCATTCTTAGATTTGTCCTTTTGAGGTACTTTTCTATATTATTTAGGTGATCTTCATTCCTTTGTATTCGTTTCCCTTTTTTCTCCTCTAACTGTATTTTCAAATAGCCTGTCTGAGTTTACTAATTCCTTCCACTGTCTGATCCATTCTGCTGTCGAGAGTCTCTAATAAATTTTTCAGTTTGACAAGTATATTTCTCAGTTCCAAGATTTTTGTTTGATTTTAAAAAATTATTTTAATCTCTTTGTTAAATTTCTCTGATAAATTTTTGAATTGCTTTTGTGTGTTATCCTTGAGTTCACTGAGTTTCTTTAAAACTGCTATTTTGAATTCTTGGTGAGAGAGCTCACATACCACTGTCTTGCCTAGGGTAAGTCATTGGTTCCTTGCTTTGTCTGTTTGGGGAAGTCATGTATATTAGTCTGTTCTCACACTGCTATACAGAAACACATGAGACTGAGTAATTTATAAAGAAAAGAGGTTTACTTAGCTCATGGTTCTGCAGGCTGTACAGAAAGCATGACAGCATCTACTTTTTTTTCGCCCTCTTGGTCTTGCCTTCTTTCTGACATCACATGGAGTCTGCAGTCCAGGTTTTCCTTGGCCCTAGTAAATGACTGGAGCACTGCCGGACCCAAATGTAGAAGGTCTTACGGGGGATATCCCAATAGGGTGGGAAGTCTGGCTAGAATTTCGTGCTCAGGGAACCTGTGGAACATACCTCCTATGGTGTGTCGCTGCTGACCAGCTTCGCTGATTTGGCGTCTCCTTTGGCTGAGTTAAAGAAGAGTGTTTCTAGGGTTGGGGAAGGAAGTCCCACCTCCCCACTTTTTCTCTGGTTGTCTTTGGGAATATTTCTCCCTTTAAGTACTTAGGGACAGATCTCTTGCCAGGGAATCCAAGATGGTGGGGAAACTGGTTATCCACTTCAATCTCACTTTTTCCAGTGTAGAAACTGGCGGTGAGGTGGGGGAAGTTTTCCACATGCTTGGTGCTAGGCAGATTTGGGAGAGGGATGTCACGGATTTGGAAGTCTGATTCTTACAGCGTCTGCTTGAAGTTTTTTACTTCTTTGTTGCCACGGGCACTGTTCCATCTTCATATTTGAGTTCTGGGATATTGCTGGTGATAATCTCAGCACCGTGTATTTGTTGTAGGTTTTCTGTGGAGGAAAAATAAAGCCAGCTTCCTTATATGCAGCCATTTTGGAACCAAACTCTCACACATTCCATGGAACATTTCTAGCCAGCAAGGTACAATGACTAGCAAGGAAACAAACTTTTTTTTTCCTTCAGTATTTCAGTTGACTCACAAGAACATGAAATGTGACCTATCTTTTCATGTGGCCAACTTTAAATGTTAACTTAATATCTTAGATAAAAATAGTTTAAAATACACATCCATTTAAGTTAAAAAGAATAATTTAAAGTTTTATTATTCTTTGATAGTTTTTCTTTTGATGCTACACCTAGTGACTACCATATTTTAAAACAGACATGTTCTAATTGCTCTTGAATCTTCAACTCGAAAGAAACTATGGTTTTATAAATTAGTGATAACAGTGAGTGTCCTCTTTAAAAAATATCTGCCATTTCTGACAAATGACAAATAGCTGATATTATTTTTTCTTAAAAGGAACTCTATTCTTTTAACATACAGTCTCTCTTGTTTAATAAAACTGAAAGTAAAGAATAGATAGAAATAGTCCTACCTCAGTTCAGGTCAGGTTTTGTTGCCAACAGAGTTATGAAAACTTTTAGTTTTCTACCTGGGTGTGGTAGCTCTCACCAGTAATACCAGCTACTTGAGAGAACTGCTTGAGGCCAGGAGTTTGAGACCAGCTTGGGTAACATAGTGAGACCCTGTCTCAAAGAAAAAAAGGAAAGCTTTTAGTTTTCTGACCATTTTATTTTTGTTTATTTTAATTTTTTTATTTCAATAGGGTTTTGGAGGGACAGGTGGTGTTTCCTTACATGAATAAGTTCTTTAGTGGCGATTTCTGAGATTTTGGTGCACCCATCATTTGAGCAGTGTACACTGTACACAGTGTGTAGTGTTTTATCCCTCACCAGCCCCCACCCTTTTCCCCGAGTCCCCAAAGTCCAATGTATCGTTCTTATGCCTTTGCATTTCTGACCATTTTAGATTCAGAATTATGGATAAGGGATTTTCAGCCTATACTGATCATGTCTAGAAGTTCTGTTTGTTTCTTTAAAAAAAAGTTCATGTAGCAGCAGATAACTAATACAACCAGAAATAAATGAGATATTGTTTCCTCAAATTCTTTTTTTTTTTTTTTGAGATGGAGTCTTGCTCTGTTGCCCAGGCTGGAGTGTAGTGGTGCAATCTCGGCTCACTGCAACCTCTACCTCCTGGGTTCAAGCCATTCTCCTGCCTCAGCCTCCGGAGTAGCTGGGACTACAGGTGCCCACCACCACGCCCAGCTTACTTTTTCTATTTTTAGTAGAGATGGGGTTTCACCATATTGGCCAGGCTGGTCTTGAACTCCTGACCTTGTGATCTGCCCACCTCAGGCTCCCAAAGTGTTGGGATTACAGGCGTGAGCCACCATGCCCAGTCACAAATTCTTGATACTATATTATGTTATTGTTACCAGGCAAAAGGGGCTCACTGCTGGATGTGCTAGAAGCTAATACTATGACACTGGATTTCTAAGAAAAGAAAAGCTCTTTATTATAGGTTGACCAATAAGGAGACAGGAATCTAGCTCAACTGTATCTCCCTGTGCTGGCTTTAAGATAGTAATTTTATTAGAAAAGGTTTGCGGGTGGATTCTGGGATTAGCAGGTGGTTGGTGGAAGGAAAAGGGAGGTCTAGAAAGTCCTCAAATGCACAGTTATCTCCATTCCTCTTCATGGGTCCCACATGCAAATTCAAAGGGAGTTAGTATGAAACATGCAGTGGAAATCGGGCTGTGACATTAACAAGCTTGTTCTGTGCAAACTCCATTTGGTCATGTTGGTTCCAACTAATTTTGGACACTCTTGTTATCTCACAAATGGAGGGAATTTCAGCGTTTCAGCAAGTTATTTATTTTCTTATCTGCTATCTGGCAAACTCAAGATTTCTGTTAGTTATTGGTTTCCTATTCTTTGGGGCACAATTTCAGTTTCAACTTTTCAGCAAGTTGTTTCTTTTTTTATATACTATCCTATAAACTCAAGAATTTTATCATTAAAAAAACTCTTTGGGGCATGATTTTTTCATCAAACTTAAAAAAAAAATCCCCAATATAACAGAGAATTTCCAGCATTTTAACCTGAAACTGAAGACCATTACTGAATGCAGTTTTCAATTGCCAATCTAGAAGTTTACTAATTCTGTGTATTGGATGTGCATATCCTTGTCAATCATTTTGGCCTAAGGGAGTCTTTCTTTTAATCATCTTTTCAAATAGGAAAAAGCACCAAATTAAGTGTTTTCTCAAACTTTTTCATTATAGTTATTTCATTTCTAACAAAATTTTAGTGCCACAGTTATATTGTGTAACTGCTTATGTACAGAGGCTCTTTGGAGGACCACCAACCATTGTAATACCAAAGATTTTTGCTACCTCCCCTTGAATCAATTTTGCCCCTGTGGGGATGATATCATCCCTGATATGAAGGCATATATTGAGAGAAATAAGACAAACTATTAAACCAAATTTTAATAGATGACAGTACTTTAAAAGAAAATTAATTTAAAAATTTAGTCATTTCTGGGATAAGATAATGAGCAATTTCTTTTATTTCTCTTATTTTCTAGTTTCCATTATGTACTTATATATACCTCTAGGGGATGTTGTAAAGATTCTATAATATTATGTATGTATTCTATAATATGTATGTGAAAGAAAAACTGTATCTTTTCCTTTGCTAACTCATAGATGTTTAAATATATTACATTTTAGGTGTTAGATGATTTATATATCTTCAGTGTTAACACAAACTGAAGATATTGCTCTAATATTCATCACCCAATGAGAATTTGTGATATTCTGCAGATTTGGTAACATTTTCATGGAGATTTAATAAAAAACATTGACATATTCATTCTACAGACATTTATTGGCTATGTAATTCATGTCAGAAACTGATTCGACACAGCAAAATCACGTGAATAAGAAGGTCTATATTGTTGAAAAGCTTACCAATGCATCTTCTTCAAACACACATACAAACAACTAAATAAAAATGGGATAATGCCCTATACTTATATGGTCAGGGTTTTCAAGGACTATAGACCATAGACTGATGAGATTCATAAATACTTTTCAGTTGAGACAAGATTTCAGCAGGGTATGAAGGTTGAATAGAAGGTTTTTAAGTGATAAATGCCTAGCAAGATTTAGGATCACTCATTTTTAACAAAGGAAAATTGATACTCTTTTTTAGTGGCCACAATTTTATCATTCTATACTTTTGTCTTTCTTCCATAGTCCTTATGACACCATGAAGTTTACAGTGTCTTCATGCTTTCCTTATCCTGATTTCACTGTCCTCTCTCATATTTTTTTATGTTTACCAAGGTATGTACAACTGACAATTTTAGAGTCATCTGCAAAGAAAAGATAACTATTAGGTACTGGGCTTAACACCTGGGTGATGCAATAAGATGTATAATAACCCCCCATGACACGTGTTTATGTAACCTTCACATGTACCCCCAAACCTAAAATAAAAGTAAAAGAGGAATCAAAACCTTGAAATAAAGGTATGATGTTCTTGCTGTGGAAATTTAGAAGCCACAGGGTTTAAGGATTGTAGAGACATCATAAGCCCTATTACTCCCATCTTCCTACTCAATTACTTCATGTAAGCTGTGGCTTACTCTGTCTTTGAAATGACATAGCAAGGGCACTATAGATATGGGGAATCTTTCACTTGCAGAGAGGATTTTCAATCTCTGAAATGGCTGATTTGCAGAGAAGTGGAGTCGTTTATTCTCTAGCACAGGGATTTCCAGATTTTGAATGTATTTACCAGTAAAACAAAGTAAAGCAAAGTAAAAACATAAGCTTGCTAAATTTTCTTTTGTCATTTAAGAGCACCAAGCTTTGAGCGTGAATGTGCTTTGGATAAATGAATTGATTTCACTTCTCTTGATAAATGCCAATATTTCTTTAGTGCTCTACATTCTACTTTTTTCCATCTAATTCATGATTCTGCTGAAGATTTTTTCATCCACAGTATTCTCTTCAGTGCACTCTTTACATCTTTGTTTCTTAAAGTGTAGATGGGAAGGTTAAGGCTGGGTGTGATGATTGTGTAAAAGAGTGAAGAACTTCCCTTCATCTTGGGATATGGTATTCTGTGGCTTCATGTATATATAAATGATTGTTCCATAAAACAGAATTACTACTGTGAGGTGGGAGCCACATGTATTAAGGATCTTTTGCAACCTTGTTGCTGACTTGATCCTCATTACAGCTTGAGTGATAACTCCATATGAGATAAGAATTAGTGATAGAGGTACGAAAAGAAATACCACTCCGAAAGCAAAGACAACAATCTCAATTACTTTTGAATAGACACAAGCCATCTTGATCAATGCTGGCATCTCACAGAAAAAATTATCCACTTCCCGGTGCCCACATCTTGGCAACTTCAAAGTCAAGGAGCAAACAATTAAGGCACTGGCAAGACCACTCAACCAGGCAGTGGCAAAGCTGAGGGTGCATTTTAAGGTGTAGTGAAGAGGTTGACAGACAGCAGCATAACGATCATAGGCCATCACAGCCAACAGAAGACATTCTGTGGCTCCCAAGTCAAGGACAAAAAAGAATTGGAGTACACACCCTCCATAAGTAATAGATTTTTTTGGGCCCCATTGATTTGCCAGCATCTGGGGGATAATGCTAGTTGTATAACAGAGGTCCAAGAAAGACAAATTGGATAAGAAAAAATACATGAAGGTATGGAGCTGGGTGTCTAGATAAGATACAAGAATGATGGTTGTATTTCCTACCAGAGTCACAATATAGATGATGAAGACAACCACTGAGATGATGTGCTCTAATTGGGGTCGATCAGAAAACCCCAGAAGGATGAAATCTGTTCCAGAACTTACACTGCTTGTTTCCATTGTTCCTTAAGAAAAGCTAGCAGGCAATATCATGGTAACCAAAAATAGTGTCAGGTTTAGGTAGAACTGAAAATCTCTGAAGTTTCTCAAGGGTATCCAAAACTCTCTTATTTGCATGCTCTCTCTCATTTGGAACATCTCTTTTAACATTTCCCTATGGCCCAGTGCTCACAACTTGTTCATATTTAATCCAAAATTAATAATATGCTAAATCCAATCAGGCTGAATTGTAAATCATTGAAAAAACTTAATTTGCTATGTCATTCATTGTTCTATGTATTTCAATTAAGTAATAAAATCATGAAGTCAATTATGTGATTTTAAGAGAGGCATATGTATTGAGGAGTTGTTCCTCTTTGAAGCTATGACATAAGCATCACTTGATCATGATAAATCCTTGCATTATTGAAGGAGTTAAGCTTGAGGTAAAAAGTTAAATGACATCTTTTTTTGGAATAAACTCCACCATTTGATAGCAGAATCACTTTCAATATTTACTTGCAAATATCTACATTTCAGCCATTATAATTATAATTATCCTCACCACCAACTTACTCCTCCTCCTTATATTTTTTTTACCCCTCAACATTGCAGGCACTGTTGTTATTCTATCAATTTTGGTGTTCCCTACTACACTGCCTTTTTTTGTGAGTGTGTTTTTTGTTGCCAGGAAATAATTATCTTTCTTATTAATATTTACTTACATGTATAAAGGCCTATATGTTTTTTAAACAGCTTTAATGACTAATATTACACCATCTAAACAGCCTTACTGATTTGTTGCAGTTAAATATTGAGGTAATTCCAGAACTATTTGGCCACCACGTACAACGATCTGTGTCCAATCCTACTTACCAGCCATTCAGCAGAATTAGCTGGGCGCTGGGCAGGTAATTCAAACAAAAAGCAGTTCATTAAATAGCCAGAGTTGTTTTAATCTATGGAATTTACCAATCCAACATGAGTGGATGTTCTGATTGCTTTGAAATCCTTTAGGTAAAACCATCACCCCATTGGGCTCTAAAAGAATACAGATACAGATAAAAATGTCATCAATCTCACCATTTCTGATTATTGTATCATATCACTAAGTAGACAAAATATTTAATGACTGACTGAGTTAGTTTTTTTTTGTTGTTGTTGTTTGTTTTTTTTAAAGATAGATTCTTGCTCTGTTGGCCGGATGCAGTGGCTCATGCCTGTAATCCCAGCACTATGGGAGGTTGAGGTGGGCGGATCACTTGATGTCAGGAGTCCAGACCAGCATGGCCTACGTGGGGAAAAATTTTGTATTTTCTACTAAAAATACAAAAATTAGCTGGGCGGTGTGGTGCGTGCCTGTAGTCCCAACTACTTGGGAGGCTAAGGCAGGACAATTGCTTGAACCTGGGGGCGGAGGCCACAGTGAGCCGAGATCGCACCGCTGCACTCCAGCCGGGGCGACAGAACGAGACTCTTGTCTCAAAAAAACCAAACCAAACAAAACAAAAATCTTGCTCTGTTGCCTAGGCTGGAGTGCGGTGACACAGTGACAGCTCATTGCAGCCTGGACCTCCGGTGCTCAAGTGATCCTCTCAACTGAGCCTCCTAAGTAGCTGGGACCACAGATGCATGCCACTGTGTCCAGGTAATTTTTAAATGTTTTTGTAGTGATGAGGTCTCACCATGTTGTTCAGGCTGGTTTGGAACTCCTTGGCTCAAGCAATCCTCCTGCTTCGGCCTGAGCCCTGGTGTCGAGCTAATGGCTGAATTAGTTTAAACATTTTTTCTGCTGATAATTTCTGACCACGAAATTCAGACCTACCATACTTTACATTTATAGTGTCCTTGAGGCCATGGAATAGAAACCTCATTTGTTTCTGGTATATAGTAAAACAAGGGGAAGATAGATCATTTATATATGTCATTGTTATAAGTGTTTCAGTTAGAACAGAATAATGTTATAATCATAAAGAAGGAAATGTTATCAAGTAGTATGAGATAGAGGTGTAGTTTTTCACAGCACAAAAATGGAAATCTAATTAATAAGTGTCCAGTTTTTTTATTTTTCGCAATAGGTTGTCAACTAAGGAATGATAGTGCTTCATTGCACAGATTCTGAACTCAAAGTCCCTGGCATCAAATTCCAGCTTCACCACTTGGAAGCTGTATCCTTGGGCAATTATTTAACTTGTTTGTGTAGGAGGTTCTTTATACATGAAGAAAATATAATAAAATTTCCTTCCTCAAAGGGATGTTGTGAGGGTTAATATTTATAAAAGCACTTGGAACTGAGCTTGGTTCATCTTTAATTCTAAAAATGATAACCTATATTCACCTGTCATTGTTATTCTGTCTACCCCTTAGTCCATTAATTTTTCACACTAGTGATTTTACCGCAATGACCTAGAACTAAACTGGAATGTTTTTTAAAAAATTTGTGTAACTTTAAAATTTAGAAACATTTTTATATACACAAAAATATGCAGAATCACAATATGCACATTGAACTGAAAAGCTTCAGGAGCAGGAGATGACTTGAGGTCTCCAAATGCTTTGATTAAAAAATTCACTCAAATTCTTTTGACTGCTGTTGGGTTTGTGTTGGGAATTAAAAGGTCATGAATTTCAAAGTGGAAAAAAACCTCAGAAGTCATGAATCTAGCCTTCTGCTCTGCATAGGAGATCCTTCAACAGAATCGCTACACAGCTGCTACTGGCATAACTTCAGTGACAGGGAAGTCAATTACACTTGAAGCAGCCTCTCTCCTTTAGTCAATGCTGCTTATATTGAACTCAAAGATGATTCCTTGCCCAGCCCTGGCTGATTTTCTTTATTCTGAAAATAACACAGAGTAAGTCAATTTAACATGGCCTCATAAAAACCCCAGTATTATTATATGAACAGTGCATGGATACAACAAATAAAAAGTAAAGCTTGGTGAGTTTCAGTGTATATTCTTGTAACTATCACCTAAATCAATAAATAAAACATTGATGATTACCCTAGGAGCTTTTCTTTGTGCCTTTTACCAATGATAACTCTTCCCTATCCCCTGAAGTATCCACTATGCTGCTATTTATAGTAATCCCCTCTTTGCATGTTAGTAGGTTAATTACCCAAATGTGCACCTCTAGACAATATTGTATAGTTTGGCTTACTAAAAATTTTTTATATACCTTTTAACTCTCTTTTAATATTAGAAACTGTTACCAAATATATGCTTAGATTTCTCTTCCCAGACAAAGCACATTGTTAGCTGTTCCTACCACTACATGCTCTTTTATTACCATGCTTTTTCTTGTTGCTCTCCCTGGACACACCATGATTTGTCAAGTGCTGCAAATTAGTGAGTATAAAAGTAAGCACGATACTCCACTTATGCAACACTACTGAAGAGAATAGTGAATGTCTATGATCTGCATAATTTTCTAAAATATACGTTGGTTATTTTTAGCAGGTATAAGACATTACTGGCTCTCTTTAAACTTTGGATCACGTAAAGCCCTAGGCATTCTTATTAGAAATGCTGCCAAGTCAGGCATGACAATTTATGTAGTTTAATGTTGTGAACTCAAATACAGGACTTTTCATTTAATACTTTTTAACATTTTCATATTGATTTAAGCTTTGGATCTCAAACCAGATATTTTAATTTCAATTTAAAAGTGAATGTGTTATTTGAAATGAGACTTACAACACTCCAGCTGAAGAAATAGATGGCAAAAAAGAGGCATGCTACATTTTAATCGAAACTCAGTTTTTCATTTTTCATAGTATGGACTTCAGAGCCCAATAATCGCGCATAACTTAACATTTTGCTTTCTCCAGTGAAATCTGAGACAAATGAACCAAACATATTTCAACATAATTTATGATATTGAGAGAAAATTAGAAGCACAAAATTTCAAAACTGTCTAAAATTTTATAAAAAGTAAAAATATATGGATCTTTTATTATAAAGCATGAGGTATATTGCTGTAGTCATACAAAATTCAAGATGAAAGGACGAAATAAAAATAGGTAAGACCCTAGACTGGTTCAGACCGCCTGTGATTTTTGTTACAATTGATCTCAGCCATTTCCTTACTCTGTGGACTTGAGCAGGCTAATTAACTTCTTTAGCCTCTGATTCCTCATCTGTAAAATAGCTATTCTAATAGCACCTGCTTTGTAGGATGGCTATGAGGAGGATTACATGCTATGCTAAATATTTAGCATGATGCTTGGTGCATAGAGAGCATTCAGTAACTTCAAAATCCACTAACTGCTCTTGTTGAAGTTTAATCCTCACTCCTGAGGATTAAATTTATATTTAATCCTCAAAATGTTAGTATTATTTATATCTCACATACCTTTCACATTTTTGCTTTCATGTTAGACTGAGTCTTACGCTATCTAGGATCTGTTTTCTACCTGGAGTCATCCTCTGTTAGAGATAGCAGAGAATACTTACCAGAAGCTGAAAAGATTAGAATATATTTTCATGAAGGAAGAATTCAGAGCTGTCATGTTCTCATGTAGTCCAAACATACCCATGTTCCCATTATGACGTTTCTTCATTTAATTAATAAATTAGAAAAAAATTCTTGTTGGATGAGTTACTAATGCCCTGAAGAATTGGATTAACCACTGGTCATACTGACACTACAGTGCCATTCACACTTAAATGCAACAGCTGAAATAAGATTTAATAGAAGTCTCTATTTAATGTGGATATTGGAAGTAAACTAAATGTGGGACTGGTGAAAATCCTTAATTAGGTTTGGTTAAATATATTTTCGGTTGGCTATTTGATGTCTTTTTAATGTATACTCTTGTTATTCATATTTACAGCTAGATTTTTGCCTAATTAAACAAGGAGAACACTGTGTTGGTCAATGTATATTCCAAGAATCATTAACATGTAGCAGGGAAGTATTTATTTACAGCTCTAAAGGCTACCTATGTTGATATGGTTTAGACCTTGAGGACTGATGCCCCACAGAGGTGATTAAGTAAAGCTATGACTGTGGTCAGAGGCATATCCAAATAATAATTTCATGAAAAGTTCTCTTAACACATTAGGTTTCGGCCAGGCACAGTGGTTCATGCCTGTAATCCCAGCACTTTGGGAGGCCAAAGCGGGTGGATCACCTGAGGTCAGGAGTTCAAGACCAGCCTGACCAATGTGGAGAAACCCCGTCTCTACTAAAAACAAAAAATTAGCCGGGCATGGTGGTGCATGCCTGTAATCCCAGCTACTCAGGAGGCTGAGGCAGGAGAATCACTTGAACCTGGGAGACGAAGGTTGCGGTCAGCCGAGATTGCGCCATTGCACTCCGGCCTGTGAAACGAGCGAAACTCTTGTCTCAAAAAAAAAAAAAAAAAAAAAAAAAAAGACGTTGGGTTTCATCTTTTCTTTTTCTTTTTAAGTTTTTAAATTTAAAAATTTGGAGATTAATTATATATTATATTAAATTTACATTGAAAAATGAATATATGATGTAAACTATATAAAAATGAACACATTTACTTGAAATTTGGTTTATTCAATTGGTAAGATCAAAATTGGATAAATTAAGTTATGTAGGTGTTGTGTCTATAGGACAAAATATTTAGTTTTAAAAAATTTATGGGATAATCATAATTCTAGGTTTATGAATTATTATCATCGTTCTATTTTCAGCAAATTAAAAATAGTATGAACACTCTGGAGCTTATCCCTCAATTTATGGTCTGGAAACTTACCACCATCCCCAGCTTCTGGTAATTACCATTCCACTCTCTGCTTCTATGAGTTTAAGTTTTTCAGATCCTCATTTAAATGAGATCATGTAGTATTTGCCTTTCTGTAACTGGCTCATTTAACTTAACATCATAGCTTCTAGGTTCATCCGTGTTGTTGGAAATGACAGGGTTTCCTTTTTTTGTTACGAGTGAATAGTACACCACATTTTCTTGATTTATTCATTCATTGATGAACACAAAGTTTGATTCCATATCTTTGCTATTGTGAATAATGCTGCCATAAACATGGGAGTGCAGACATCTCTTTAACATACTGATTTCAATTCCTTGGATATATACCCAGTGGTGGGATGGCTGGATCATATGGTAGTTCTATTTTTAATTTTTGGAGTAACCTCCACACTGTTTTATATAGTGGCTGTATTAATGTACATTCCCACTAACGGTGTGCAAGGGTTCCTTTTTTTCCCTACATTCTCACCAAGCTGTTATCTTTGCTTTTTATGACAATAGCCATTCTAAGAGTATGAAGTGATATCTCACTGTGCATTTAATTTACATCTCCCCATTGATTAGTGATGTTGAGCATTTTTCATATACATGTTGGCCATTTGTAGGTCTTCTTTTGAGAAATGTGTATTTGGGTCTTTTGCCCATTTTTATTTTCATTTTTAAAATTTTTAAATTATTTTATTTTATTTTTTATTTTTATTTTTGAGATGGAGTCTCTCTCTGTCTCCCAGGCTGGAGTGCAGTGACACAATCTCGGCTCACTGCAGCTTCCACCTCCCAGGTTCAAGTGATTCTTGTGCCTCAGCCTCCTGAGTAGCTGAGACTAGAGGCACGTACCACCATGCCTAGCTAATTTTTCTATTTTTAGTAGAGACGGGGTTTCACCATGTTGGCCAGGCTGGTCTCGAACTCTTGACCTCAAGTGATCCACCCATCTTGGCCTCCCAAAATTCTGAGATTAGAGATGTGAACCAACACAGCCAGCTCCATTTTAAAATAGAATTATGTTTTCTTGTTTGAGCTTCTTATATATTTTAGATATTAGCCCCTTATTAGATACATCATTTGCAAATATTTTCTCCCACTCCATAGG